>NC_000011.10:57858407-58161437 GCF_000001405.40 Homo sapiens | reverse complement strand
GTGAGAATTCAGGCAGTATTTTCTGTCCATCTATTACGCCATTGCCTCATTCTTCTCTCTCTCTCTGTCTCTTTCTGTCACTGAAGATCAGAGCCTTCTACCTACTCTGCCTTGTAGAACATTTAAGCCCACAGTTCCCAAGTTTAAATGTTTTTGGTTCAGTCACATATATAACTCTTTTCTTTTTTTTTTTTTTTTATACTTTACGTTCTAGGGTACATGTGCACAACATGCAGGTTTGTTACATAGGTATACATGTGCCATGTTGGTTTGCTGCACCATCAACTCGTCATTTACAGTAGGTATTCCTCCTAATGCTATCCCTCCCCCAGCCCCCGACCCCAGACAGGCCCCCAGTGTGTGATGTTCCCCGCCCTGTGTCCCCTATTCAACATAGAGTTGGAAGTTCTGGCCAGGGCAATCAGGCAAGAGAAAGAAATAAAGGGTATTCAATTAGAACTCTTAACTCTCTCCATTCACTTCCAAGTTCCCAGGAGATTACTCTAGTTGGCTTGATTAAGTTAAGTGAAATCTCTTGTTCGGTCTACTTGTGACCATGAAGTCGCTGTCATATATTACAAAATGGTTGTTGAGGATTTCATTATTGTAGACTATGGTGGGCGTGAACTTGCTACATTTCAGTGATACCAAGAAGGCCAGTGTGGATAAAGCAGAGAGTGCTAGGGAAAGCTATCTCAAACTTCACATATTCAAAGAAGAACTCGTGTTTTCACTTTAAAAATATATATATCAGGCTGGACAATGTAGCAAGACCCCATCTCTACCAAAAACAAGAAATCTTTTTTTGAAATTAGCCAGGCATGGTGGCACATGACTATGGTCCTAGCAATTTGGGAGGCTGAGACAAGAGAATGGCTTGAGCCCAGGAGTTTGAGGTTACAGTGAGCTATGATCATGCCACTGTACTCCAGCCTGGGTGACAGAGCAAGACTCTACCTCTAACAACAACAACAACAACAACAACAACAACAACAACAAATATTCTACTCATTCAGATCAAAATTCTTGGAATCATCTTAGACTTACTTTTTCCTCCTATAGCCCACATTCAATCTGTAGTTATCTATCACTTCGTAATAAATTATCTCAAATCTTAGTGGCTTAAAATTGCAAAAATCATTTATTATCACTCATGGGTTCTCAGATCCAGGATTTCAGTTAGGACATGTCAAGGCCTCAACTGAAATATCCAAGGATTGAAAGTTGAATTAACTGAAGGATCATTTAATCACATGTCTAAAAGTTGGTGCTGCCTACAGCTGAGGGGCTAGCAGAGCTGTTGACCATAACACTCCACACATGGCCTCTTCATGTAGTCTAGGCTTCCTCACAAAATGGTGGCTGAGTTCTACAAGCAAACATTCCAAGTGAAAGTGAGAGCCAGGCAGAAGCCATGTTGCCTTTCATGGCCCAGCCTCAGCAGTCACAGAGCATCATTTCTGCAACATTTTACTGGTTGAACTAGTTATTAAGATCTGCTCAGTTTCAAGAGAAAAGATCATAGACCCCATCTCTTGACGGAGGCATCTATCAATATCTTATTGCAGGAAGAGAACATTGGATGGGATGTAATTTGGTATGAGTATCTTTTAAAAATTAAGTGGGCTACACTATGCATCTGTAAATCCTTTCAAATCTATCTCCAGAAAATATTTTGAACCTGACCTCCATCTTCACTGCTATCATTCTAGACCAGATGACTATCAAATTGTTTTAGACTGTGGCAATTACTTTCAAACTTGTCTGTCTGTTATACTTTCAAATTCTCTTTTGTCAATTCTTCACACAAAGCCAAAATATTCTTTCCCTGTGCTGCCAATGTCCTTTTGAATAAAATTCAAAGTCCCTGAATTGGACTTCATGAATTGACTCATGGTTGGCTGCCTGCAGGAAGAGTGAGATCTGTTAAAGCTTTCTCAATCCCTCCAAGCTACCATCAATCTAATGACTGTTTTTTTTTTTAACTTCTGTAATTCTGTAAGCTGATGCTAGGTGGCTTCTGTATCTTCCCATACGAGGAAGTCCTAGACAAGAATTTGTTTCTATTTAGTTGCTCTCTACAAAACCCTGCAAGAAGCAACAATACTCTTAATATCCTGATATTTAGCCAAGACCCCTAACATCTCCATTTCTGGAGGTATGTGATCTGAGTCTCAGATAATAACAGGTGATGGTAGTTCACCAATTTATTTGCCAGCACATACCAAGAGACAGTTTCAGGACGGGGAAGTCCCCACTGTTCCCATCATTGTCTCAGATGACAACACATTTTTTTTTCTGAAGGTCTTATTTTACACGTTAGTCCTGATACATCTGATTTTTATATTAGTTAAGATATTTGGATGCAAGTATCAGAAGCCAACTCAAGTGACTGTAAGATGTTTAAAAGGGACTTATTGTAAGGACTGGAAAGAATCTCACATAACCCACTGGCAAAAATGCAGCCAAGTTAAGAAAGCACTACTTATTTGTGAAGAGCTATCAGGAACCTAGGGAGTGTTCCTTCCTCATATCTCATTTCTGCTTCTCTCTGCACATTAGCCTCATATTTCTCTATGCCTGAAGAATTGATTCCTTTGCAACCCAGTCCACATGACAGAATGTGGCTAATCACAGTTCCCAATTGTATATAGTACAAGTCCAGCCCCTTAGAAACACCAGTCTTTCATAGTTCCAATTCCAAATTCCTGCAGAAGGGTCTCAAACTAGCCCATCTTGAGTCAGGTGGCCTCTCCTGTTTCAGTGAACTATGGCCTGGAAGATGGAACCACCTTGGTCATAAGGTTCCCATTTCTTTCCTTTGGCTATGATGTATCCACTGCTGAAAGTAGAGGCATTCAAGAGACTTATGGTAAGGATTGGTAGTCTCTTCAAAGATATGTGATATAGCAAGGACCTGGACTCTTGCTGTGTAATAGACATGATTAGGACTAATAGCCCACTTCTTTTAAAACTCTTCCTATGAAAAATATGTTAAAAAAAAAAAAAAAAAAAAGCAGACCTAGGCGGCTATGTTTATATCACATGACCCAGACCTTATTTGAATGTACAGTGGAAAATCTGCCCAAGAGTGTGGCTGGCCTGTTGACCCAAGTTTATTCTCTGGAGAATTTTAACCAAAAAACACAAGTACCATGGTCAGTCTGGTGGTGAGAACTTGAACTGACTACTTATGTATGTTTGTGGGCTAGTGGCCATGTTGAGGCACCATAGAAACAGAGAAAGTTAGTTTAAAGAAGGACGGAAAGAATCAGAGTGAAGCAGAGCTGAGTTGGACCCTGATACCCCAGAGACATGAGAATGAAGCTTTGGTTCCCAGTAGCTCCTGGAGTCTAGTTCCCATGAGGCCTCACAGCCGTTCAGCTTCCTTATCCTTGAAATTGACTACTTTAGCTTTACAAAAAAACTCTCACTCTGCTGAGCTAGTTTGAATAGATTTCTATTTGCCATAGCCAACAATCCCTGACTAAGAGAGCCTGAGAAGGTGTCAAATAAGGAGTGAAGCCTAAGGAGTGGGAGAAAGTCTCATCTGCCATTTAGCTGAAGTGCTCAGAAAAGCATCAGCTAATGCACCTCCCTGCTCACGTCTGCTTCTCCAGTTTTCAGGAAATGAAGTTCTCAGAGTCCTTTAAAAACATTCCATATGTATTTCAAGCCTCATTAGGAAAGGACCTGCTGGTAGAGGCTTCTAGTCATTGAAACAGCAATATACAGTTCTTTCTGAACAGGATGGGCTATCCTCACTTGGCTTACAGGTCATCAAACAGAACTTACAAGCCTGATGTGTAGCATTAAGCAGAGGCTACCTCAACCACTCCATAATCCTTCCTTCCATCCTTCCTTCCTTCCTTCCTTCCTCTGTCTTTTCCTTCCTTCTTTTCTTCCTTCTTTCCTTTTTCTCAGGTATTATTTTTACTACTAGAGGATAAGGATTTAATGATGAGCAAAAGAGACACAGCTCTTGCCCTCATGACGTTTACAATCCGATTGGGGAAATAGACAGTTATTGAATATTAATCACTGAAAAATGTAAAATTACATTTATGCTAAGTGCTACAGAGGAGAGATACATAAAGCTACGAGCAATAATAAGAGGTTCATAGACCCCTTCAGGGAAGGCCTGGGAGGATTACTGAGCAAGTGAGCTGAGATCTGAATGTCAGTAGGAGCGACCCTGGTAGGAAAGTGAGTAGACGGTGCAAAGAGGCCTGAGCAGACCCTGGACAGGATGGAATTAGCCATACTCAGGTATTTGAATGACTGGAAGGAGCCTTTAAGCCAGGGCAGGGCTAAGGAGAGTATGGTACCAGGCAAGCCTAGCAGTTGGTTGGGGCTGGATTACTTAGAGCCTTACAAGCCAGGTTCAGGATTTTGGTCTTCGATCTAAGACCAACTGAAACAATATGCTACAAGGCATCAGGTTGACTCACAGGTTATTAAGAAAAATGCTTTATTATCTTATAAAAAAGTTCAAACTTTCCTGCTCTCCATCATCCACACCCTTTCCCTAGTTCTCATGTGCTAATAGTTTATTAAACTGTTCTGCAACTGAAACGGCAAAATGTAAAGTCTAAGTCTAGCAAAGGGCTCTACTATCCAGGAAATGAGCCAAAAATTATCAAATATATGGATAGATATACAAAGTGACAGAGAAAGACAGAGAGAGAGCAGAAAGAGAGAGTATAGATCAATACACAGAAGAAGTCTCAGGGAATCTTGTCTCCAATATATCTGTGAGATATTACAATGTTGTTCCATTTGCTAAATAATGTGTTTATTATCATAAAGAAAATACATGTTTAATCCATATGGCCAAAGTAAAATACCTATACAATTACAGTCATACAAGATGTAATTTTTTCTTAATATTTTAAGACCTCACTAACCAAGAAAACCATTCTGAATTAGAGAAAAGATACAATCACAGAACTCCTATTTTATTACCTACACATCGACTTTTAATTTGAACTACTAACAAAGTAGTTTTGAAGCTATGTTCTACCCTGTTTTAATGAATGGACATAAGGACTGTCCCACACAAGGTAGCAGCAGATCACACTGTCTCATGGTTCTGCTCATGAGTGGCAGTCTTCTTCCTTCTATACAGGGCTTGGGGACAGGCTTGTGCTTTTTATTTTGTTGAATTTCTAGGCTTTATAAATCAAGATGAAGCATCAAGAAATGCACAAAAGATAGGCAACACTGGCTGGTCACAGTGGCTCACACCTGTAATCCTAGCACTTTGGGAGGCCGAGGCGGGTGGATCACCTGAGGTCAGCAGTTCAAAACTGGTCTGGCCAACATGGCAAAACCCCACATCTACTAAAAGTACAAAAATTAACCAGGCACAATGGTGGGTGCCTGGAATCCCAGCTACTCGGGAGGCTGAGGCAGGAGAATTGTTTAACCTGGGAGGTGGAGGTTGCACTGAGCCAAGACTGCACCACTGCACTCCAGCCAGGGTGAAAGAGCAAGTCTATCTCAAAAAAAAAAAAAAGGAAGGAAAAGAAAAAGAACAGCAAGACTTGGCCATTTCATATGCCAAAATTATAAAAAATGCTAAAAAATATTATCCTGCTTTAATCAAAAAAAAAGAATTTGCCATAACAAATCATACTTTTCACACTTGTGTCTGAGCTGATATTCTGTCACCTCCCAACATCCTTGGAAAGCAGGTGAAGTTATTATACCTATTCCACTGTTAAGCAAACTGAGGCTCAGAATGATTGTGCCACTTGTTCAATATCTCACAGGAATAATGGAGGCAGCATCAAATCCAGGTCTTCCTGATTCCCAGTTCGTACTACTGGAAGAAGACCCAAGTTAAAGACACTATCTTGGATCTTTCATGGAAAGCAGGGCCAGGACCAGGGTGAGGCAAGGTAAGCACAAAATTTAAGGAGATTCTCACTCTCAGGCACTGACCCTGCACTTGCATGACTCTGAGAGTGAGCACTTCCTTAAAAGTAAGTACTAAACCACACGATCTTCAAGGTACCTGTGTGGTTCATTTTCTGTATGAACTTGGCTGCGCTACGGTGCCCAGTTATTGAACCAAATACCAGCCTAAGTATTGCCGTCAAGGTATTTTTTTCTGCTATGATTAACATTTAAATCAGTTGACTTTGAGTAAAGCAGAGTACTCTTTATAATGTGGGTCTGCCTCATCCCGTAAGTTGAAGAACTTAAGGGAAAAGAGAAAGGTCTCACAAAAAATAATGAATTCTTCCTCTACATAACTTAAGACTGAGAACTACAACACCATCTCTTCCCTGAGTCTTCAGCCTGCCACCTGCTCTGCAAATTTCAGACTGCCAGCCCCCACAATCATATGAGCCAAATTCTCTAAAATAAATCTAGATAGATAGGTAGACAGGTAGGTAGGTAGGCAGGAAGGTAGGTAGAAATATAAATGCTGTATATAGATAAAAACATATTTTCCATTGTTTCTTTAGAGAACTTGGCTGATACAGGACCTTAAAATCACTATCATCTAAGCAATGAGAAGCAAGCACCTAACAGCTCACCCTGATGGAAAAGCCCAGTGTAGTGGGAGGTGAACTTCACAATGGCTGAATGCACCTCTAAAGACAAACTGCCAACATTCAATCCTAGCTCAGCTGCTGACTATGTTATGTGACCTTGGGAAACTTTCTTTTTAAATTTTCCTATTGATATATAATAATTGTACACATTAATGGGGTACATGTGATACTTTGGTGTATGCATACAATGTGTAATGATCAAATCAGTGTAATTACAATAGTCATCACCTCAAATATTTGTCATTTCTTTGTGTTGGGAATGTTTCAGATCTTCTCTTCTAGTTATTTTGAAATGTATGATTAATTTCTATTAACTATAGTCACCCCACTGTACTAAATGAAGGAAAGCCATCTCTCTTGGGCTGTGCATTTAACCCTCTCCAATAATAGTTATAAAGATGCAACAAAATAATGTTGGATTGGGAAACAGTAACAATTCCCATTCCTTTTCAACTCTCTCAGCTTCATCACAGGACAAAAAAAAAAAAAAAATCCATTGCATTGATTTTTATTGCTAAGCCAAAACACTTAATCTTATTAGTGGATAAGGCAGCCTGCAGAAGACCTTGTGTCTCCAGGCCACTGGGCTAAGAGTAGAGTTCTCAAACTCTTAATTTCTTTATGCACAAGGGAGTTTCAGTTCAAAGTTGCTTTCCTTCCTCCTTCTCCTCCCCCTTCTCCTCCTCCTTCCCCTCCTCCTTCTCCTCCTCCTTCTCCTCTTCCTCCTTCTCAACTTCCTCCTCCTCCTCCTTCCCCCTCCTCCTTCCTCCTCCCCTTCTTCTTCTTCTTCTTCTCTCGCTCTCTCCCTCTCTGTCTCTCTCCATTGTCACTTCTTTAAATACAGCTTTCTGGCCTTTTCTCTCCTCTTAAGACTTGCTTATGTGACCCTTACACTCTATTATTACCAACAATTAATATTTATTGGCACAAAATGATGATAGGTTGTACAGAGCAGAGTAATTCCAGAGAAAGCCTTCCTTCCCTCAAATCCTAATTCTTCCTCCATCCAATCTGCTCTTCTCATATGCTGAATCATAGTCTAGTGATATAGTGACACTATTAATATTCTGTTACATTTATACAGCTGAGGAAATCAGAGAGCCAAGGTTAGAGAAGTTTGAAAGGTCATATAGTCCAGAAACTGTGCTACTTTCTACATACAATTCCACTTTTATCTGTGATAGAGATTGCAAACTGCTGGGCTGAAAGAGAAATCCAGACATCATATCAGGAGTTTAAAACCCAAGTTTTAAAAATCAATAAACTTTCCATTTTTTAAATTCACTTTCAAATTTCTCTTGGAAAAAAAAAAAAAGATTTCTTGCAACACATGGCATCTCTTGGTTAGAGCTGAGAGGTCATTGCTCCTATAGAGCATGACCCACCCTTCCCTATTGAATTATCCTGAGTCCATATCACTCATTTGCTTGGCTCCTGATGTTTGAATCTTCCACAACAGTCCCCAAGAAACCATGTATCTACAATTGAGCACTCCCGGGGAAAGGGAACTCACCAACTCCAAAGACAACCCATCCCCTCTTTGAACAGTTTCTTCCAGAGCTCTTTCTTAAACTCTAAAAGCCAAGGCATCCATCTCCTTAACACTAAACAAAAGAAGAGATTTCTTCACTGAATTTTTTCCAAAGTAAGCATCCCCAGTGCCTCCTCTAATTTGGTTTCTGTTTCCTTCACCACCTTGGTTTTCATTTTCTGGGCATGCTTTATTCTATTTCTATTTCTTTTAGAGGATAAAATCCAGAAATAAAGGTTTCTTCCTGCTAGATTCAGCTCATCCCTCTATCTTCTAGAATGTTATCATGTACTAATTGAAGAAGAGCTTACTAAGTGCCTACCAGGTGGCAGGCTCTGTGCCAGGCACCAGCATCACTTTGGCAAGCAGCACAAGCTAAGTGCCCGCCCTCCTGGAGCTCGGATTCCAGAGGGAGACATGTTGCCCAGCAATCTCTCAGAGAGATGGAAACTTGCACTGTCATGCGTGCAAAATAAATTCAAGATTGATTCAAGATGTGAGACATAAAAAATGAAATTGTAGCAAATCTAAAAAAAAGGTAAATAATTTGATTATCTTGGAGACAAGGCCTTTCTAATATCAATAGAAAACCTAGAAGCTATAAAAGAAAAAAATGAATAAATCTAACTACATCAAATTTTAACATTTTTGGAGCCTAAAAGCATCATAAATGAACTCAAAAGGCAAATCTGTGAAAATATTTGCAATACAAATGACAGACAAAGGACTGATTTTCCTAATGTACAAGTTACTGTTACAAATCAATCAACAAAGCACATAAAAAATTTACAAAAGAAATATAAATGATGCAAACAAATGAGATGATTCTGAAGTTCTTTAATAATCAAAGAAATACAAACTAAAATAATGAGGTAATTTCCAAGTAAATATTGGCCATGAAATTTTAAAACAAATGCTCCCAAGTGCTGTCAGATCATAGGGTATCCAGCATTTTCATTCACTGCAAATTGAAACAGCCCTTCTGGAGAGAATTCCATTATTAGCTTATTTTAAATGTCCTGAATTTCATAAATATATACTAATATTATCTGTGAATTATAAATAAAGCTTTAAAATAAAATAAATGTTCTGATTCTGCCATTTCATTAGTTTCTATTCTTTATCCTCTCATCCCACCTATCCCTGAGTCACATAATGGCTTCCAGAACTAGCTGCCACCAGCACCTCCCCGGGTCCTCATACCAATCCTCTTGTAATACCAGTTACAGATTGAGTAGAATCACTACTCCATCTGTAATTTCTGGAACTCAGGACCGCTGTTCTCCTGGCCTGAGAGGATTTCCCCATGGCCTGTCAGAGCTCCTGGGAAATGCAACAATGGTCTGGTTAACTCAATAATCTCTATGTCAAGGTTCCTTATAAACATGCAATCTGAACTGTCTTGGAGTGTCTTTCTACCCCAATTCCCTTACCTACAGTAGATTGTTGTAACTGGAAAAGAAATTTAAGTACCCAGAGCAACTGGAGAGACTGAGTAACTTCAGAACCAAGGCAGTTATTATTAAGCCTGGGGTAATTCTGTGTGCAAGGTTAAAAAAAAAAATGGTCTGGGGGCCGAAAACTAAGACATAAATTCCTAAATTCACTGGCTATATCATCTAGAAATGTCTTTTCTCAGTAAGGACTGGTTGTGTACACATACTTGTAATGAGCTAATACCTACTAGACCTATGTTTACCCAGCATTTTTAGTTCACATTCATCCAACGCTTGCACTCTAACATCTGTACAGCCCCACAAGCTTTCAACAGAGGAGTTTTACTTTATGTTGTTTGTATTATGAAACAAGAGTCATACTGAAGACAGTTTTTCAAACTGTCATTCCGTCTTCTGCAGATTTGGATTTGCCTTCCCTGAGGAACATCCCCTTCCCCAAGTAAACTATGAAAGCAAATGATGCAACACCACCTTCTCAAAAGCAACATTAAGACACAGTTGCTACTTAGCTGTGGTACCTGGGGCAGGGTACCTGGAATTATTTAACCATCCCAGGCTTCATTTGCCCCACTGGTAAAAAGGAACCAATAATAGATGAGAAAGAAGGCTGGGCCTGAAAATGAGTATGAGAGCTCTTTTCTCTTAATCCTGAGACTTTTTATATGACATCTCCTCTCATTGTATTAAGGATCTCAGTAAAAGTTAGTTGAGTGCCTTTTCAACAAACGATGCTAGGGAAACTGGATAACCCACGCAAAAGAATAAAGTTGGGTCCTTAACTTGCATGTGGCATACCCATACAAAAATGAACTAAAAATGGATAAAATACCTAAACATAAAGGCTAAAATGACAAAACTCTTAGAACAAAACACAGAGGAAAAGCTTCATGACATTGGATGTGGCAATGATTTTTTAGGTATCATACCAAAAGCACATTTTGTCTTACTAGAAGGTCTTCAGGGGCAATAACATACACGGAGCTATCATCTCCCACGATGATGATGCCTTCTTCTGGAATACCTCCTGAAGGACCTGCCTGGGGCTGTTTTAGAGTTAACTTGCTTTCTGTGAGTAGAAGGAATACACTCTAAAATAACAACACATTTGTATATTAACTACGTAAACTAGTAACATAGTCTTTTATTATAATTATCAAGTATTATGTACTCTGCATAATTGTATGTGCTATAGTTTTATATAGCTGATAGTACAGTAGGTTTGTTTACACCAGCATCACCACGAACATGTGAGTCATGTGTTGTCCTGTGATGTTAGGATGTTTACAATATCCACAGGTGATAGAAATTTTCAGCTCCATTATAACCTCATGGAACCGTCATTGATGTGTGATCCATCGTTGATTGAAATATCCTTATGTGGTGCATGACTACATACAAAGAACTCATGCAACTCAACAATAAACAAACAACCCAATTTATTTTTATTTTTTGTAGAGGCAAGGTCTCATCATATTGCCCAGTGGTTGGGGAGGCCAAGGTAGGAGGATCGCTTGATACCAGTGGTTCTCCCCCAACACTGGGATTATAGGAGTGAGCTACCACACCAGGCCCAAACAACCCAATCTAAATATGAGCAAAGAACTTGAATAGACATTTCTCCAAGAAGATACATAAGTGGCCAATAAGAACATGGAAAGATGTTCAACATCACTAGTAATTAGGTAATGCAATTCAAAACCACAGTGAAATACCATTTCATACCCATTAGAATAGCTATTACCAAAAAAATGGGAAACAAGTGTTGAGCATGTGAAAAACTTAGAACTCTTATATATTGCCAGTGGGAATGTAAAACGGTGCAGCTGCTGTGAAAAACAGTAGGTGGTTCCTCAAAAAGTTAAGCATAGATTTACCATATGATCCAACAATTCCACTTTTAAGTAGTATACACTATGCAAAAGAATAGAAAACAGGGACTTGAACACATCTTTGTTCACCCACATTTATAGCAACAGCATTCACAATAGCCAAAATGTAGAAACAACCCAAGTGTCCACCAACAGATTAACAGATAAACAAAATATGGCATATCCATGCAATAGATTATTATTGATTTATAAAAAGCAGTGGAGTTCTGATATGTGCTACAAAATGCATGAACCTTGAGAACATTGTGTTAAATGAAAGAAGCCAGACACAGAAACACAAATATTATATGATTCCACTTTTATGAAGTACTTAGAAGAAGCAAATCCATAGAAACAGAACTAGAATGGTGATTGCCAGTGGCAGGGGGGCAGAGAGAAATGGGGAGTTAATGGGTACAGAGTTTCAGTTTGGGATGATGAAAAAAGTTCTGGAGAAGGATAGTGGTGATGGTTGCAAGACAATATGAATATATTTAATGCCACCAAACTGTGTACTTACATGGTTAAAATGGTAAATTTTTTTAACCACTTAAGTTTCCATGTTATGTGTATTTTATTGCCAAAGAAGCCTTTAAACAATCAAGAGGAAATTTTTTAAGTTAGTTAAGTGCCAACTATGTGCCAAGTCCTAAGTGACACACCAGGAATACAGTGAGGAGCAAAGTCCCTACCCACACAGAGTTCCCAGCATATAGTAGCTCCTCAATAAAGAGCTAATTTATTGAATTAATGAATGAAATATTTTAGGCTCTGTCTATATATAAAACAACAGATGTCAACAGGCTATTTTTACAATGCTTTTTTCAGGGGTTTTAATACCCAAAGAAGCATATTTAGTAAGGGTAGAATTAGAAAGAGTTTAGATATTCATTCTATTACAAGATCAAAAGCACTTTTTTGCTGCTCTTGCTGTCATTTTTTATTTTTGTGTTTCACTATTATGTTTTAAATAAGAACAAAGATGTTGAGAAAAAGAAAAAGACACAATGTTCTTTTCAACTATTTTCAGAAAACCTCACGATTTTTGAAGAAGAGATGAGTGGAAATAGCTGAGAGTTTCTTTCCCAACAGGACCAAAAGGACGAATTGTATAATGTCCATGAAGCATCTTGATCTCCACAAGCAACTTCGCAGATCCGCTACAGGGAAGCCGACAGCCCACTTTCTTTTCAACTTCTATCGGCTTTCCCCAATTTCTCTGGTGATTTATCCTCTCCACATTCTCTATCTAAGTAAGATTCAGGAGAAAATTTAGTTTGAGGTTTGAATTCAGCATCAGGCAAAATGAGATTCAAAAACTAGAGCTGCCTTACCTTTTTTGAATTCCATCACCAGGAAAAACCTTCAAACCAAACATGCTTCATTTCTTTTTTGCCCTTTAGCCCCATAGCCACCAAAAAGGCATGGGAGAACCATGGGGATGGTGGCATTGGGGCTTGGGCAGCTCTGTTCTTGTGGTCATTTGCACATGGCTTTGATGGCATTTTCTCTTCCCTGTAGCTTAGACAAATAGAATTGGAGCAAGGAGGAAAAAAAGAAATCTGGTAAGTATTTCTATCCATCTTGTATTGATCTTCATGACAAAAGAAAAATTGTGTGTGGTTGTTTTTGCTCTTATCTGAAGCACTGTGGCTCCCTCAGACAAAATGCATTCCCATATACAAAAAGTAAATATATATATATATACACACTTCTGCCAAAGGCCCTAGATTACGTGTTGTATGGTTTACACTCCATCATTCTACACTAGACCCATGCCCTCATGCTGATAATCTAGTTAATTTAGATTTACACCTACACTCAATCAACTTAATATATGTGAAAAATACAAATCCATAATTAAAGTTTTGGTGTCGCTCTAAGTGATCAAGAACATAGTACTTTGGCCTCTTGGTGAATTGATTTTAATGGGTCAGTTGAGACTTTGAGGATCTGCTTTCTTCATCTTTCCAATATCATTGTTGGTAAATTGAGGCCAAAATATTATAGCTAAAAATGTATAATTCCAAAGCCTAGTTCTTAAAAGAAATACACTCAGAAGTGAGAAGGAAAAAAAGAAAACAATGCCAGAATTCCTGACTGAATTCTATTTCTAAGAGAATATGTGTAGAATCTATTTTAAGAATGAGACTTTTTTATTTTAAGAATGAAATCTTTAAATGAGATAAGTGAAAACTCAGCACAGAATCTGACACACATTAGGTAATTTATGAATGTTTTTATTCATTTATTAATATATGTAAATAGCAATACAACATACACCATTCCCCAGTGTTTTTTTACGTTAATCAGAAGATAATTGCCTAAAACACACTAAAACTTCATTTTATTTTTATCCACTTGGTGCATACATAAGGCAATTGTATAAACATAAAATACTGGGGATGTATCAAAGATCACTCATTTATAGGCAAAATTGGTTGCCACTCACAAAGTAGAAACTGGGAGGGGTATGAGGTTTTTCCTGCCACTATAAAAATAGCAAACCCCCACTGTCTAGCATTTTACTCATTTCTTTGTTTTTACATTTGAAGACTTTTCCTGCCTTTAAGCACAGAAGCAGCCCAGTAAGGGGTGGTTTCTTAAGCTCATAAACACAGTCTGGCACAGGGTAGGAGGTTAATGAAAACATGCTGATCCCTTAAGAAGGAGTAGTTGATGATCATTTTGATGAAGGGACAGATAGTGTATACCTGTGTCTACCTGAGAAAGGTCACACTTTATGGAAGGAAGAGTGGACCAATGAAAAGGTGGGCATCACCAAAAACATATTTCCCTAATTTTGCCACTTTGCCAAGAATCAGTCCTAAACCACCATCAAAGCCATGCACCTGCTAGCTTTCTCTAACATAACATGTGTCCTAGAATGAAGCATACAGTATTGCATGGAAATCAAATGCCATGCACTGGGATGCACCAACTGTTGTTTCATAGACAAAGTGGTTCTATTTCCCTCCAACTCCACCACCACCAGCGTCCTTTCCACTCATCACACTGCAGCCAAAGGAATCTTTTAAAAATTCGTATCTGATCATTTCGCACTCTACTTTTGAAATAAAGTCCACAAGTCCCCAAGCAAATCTGCAAGGCTCTGTGACAGTTTCTATGGAATTCGCCAGTTGCATCTCACACTAAGCCCTGCTCCCTCATGCTACAGCCAATCCCAGTTCCTCAAGGCATCCCATTTCACAGACCTTTGCATTTGCAATTCTTTCTGTCTAGAAGAGTCTTCACAACCCATGACTATGGCATACTTATTCCTGAAGCCTCTGCTTAAACGTTAATTTCTCTCAGAAGCCTTTTCTGACCACACCAAATTAGGCTGGAACCCTATTATATAGCATAATAACACCCTGTGCTGCTTCTTTTGTTTCACTTTGCAAAATTGTAAAAATTAATAATTAATTAATTAACTGTGCAATGGTTGATTATCTATATCCCAAGTTCTAATCTCCATGCTGAAGGAACCATATCTATCTTATTTATTACTCTAAACTTAATATTTGATACATAGTAGATATAATACATACTTAAAATATTCTAAACTTAATATTTGATACATAGTAGATAGCATATATTTGCTGAATTGATGAATAAAATTGTGAGGTCTCCATGGAGATATTTCCCAGGTAATATTTCTAGCAGATGAGGAAGTCATTAAAAAGTGGCAGTCAGATTCATTGTTATCTGTCTTCTGACAATAGAGTAAATGTCCTAAAGGAGATAAAAGTAGATAATGGTTTTCATTACTGAAGAATAGGAAATAACTTGAGTTAATTGAGGCAGATGGTCCATGAACAATGCTTCAGAAATAAAATAGAGCTTCTGACCTTTGGTGATCGAGAAATATTACAAAGTTATATATGGGACTCACTTCAGCCCTACATCAAGATCAAATTGTTTCCAATAATTAATGCAAATCATTACATCCTTCTTTTTTCCACAGTGTCTGAGACCTCTATGCCATCTTGGGAAGCAGGCTAACACACCTCCTTTCCCTTCTTTATTTTTTCTTCTTCTGTTTAGTTGCTTTTATTTTCTATGACAAATCCTAAATTGGGTATGACTGAATGTTAAGAAAAGTTTTCTTTCATCAAAGCTGATATCCACACTATGATCCACAACCAAAAATGTGACTGCCCCTTACTATATAAACAATGAGTTACTGTTTTGTAATCATGCTAGGCACAAAAATGAGCTTAATAGAAAAAAATCCGAATAGCTGAGAAAATGCTCCACAATACGCAGGACAGATAAGAAAAAAAATCTATATTTTGTAGCATGTTATTATTTACAAAGCCTTTTGGGATTCCCTCTCCCTTGATCCTGGCTTAAGATCTCTTGACCTTTACCCATAGCAAAGCAGAAATTTTTACTGATGAGAAAACTAAAGTGGATCATTTCTGGCTCTACATCATAAAGCCAATAAAGAAAGTACTGGAACCCAAATCCAACTTTTTCTGCCTCAATATGTCTTTGTAATTATGAGATCTGGCTCATGTGTTAAGAGGACGAGACAAAAGCCCAGAGCAGGATTTGCAGAAACTTCTGGCTTGATGGGGCTCAAGAGTTACTCTGCTTGGGAAACCCTTATCCTGTTGAAAACTTTCTTCAGAGCCTCTTTCATGTCTTTGTTTCTCAGGCTGTAGATCATTGGATTTAGCATGGGGATGACCACAGTGTAAAATATTGACACGATCTTGTCTTCCTCAAGGGATTCGCCCATGTTGCCTTTCAGGTATATGAATATGAGTGTTCCAAAGAAGAGAGTCAATGCAGTCATGTGAGAAGCACAGGTGGAGAAGGTCTTGGCTTTCCACCTGCTGTACGAATCTTCAGAACAGACTGAATGATGAACAAGTACGATGTAAGAATCACTGAAATGCTGGTTGTGATGACCAGAAAAGCTGAGAGGTAGATTACCCATTCCCGTGGCCTGGTTTCACTACAGGCAAGCTTCAGCAGGGGTGGGAGGTCACAGAAAAAGAAGTCTACATGGTTGGACTTAGAGAAGGAGATAGAGAAGGTGCAGCCAGTGCAGATCACAGAATTGACTATGGCACCAGAATATGCCCCGGCCAGCAGCGCCAGGCGGGTCTTTGGTGTCATGACTATGGCATAGAGGAGGGGGTTACACACAGCCACGTACCGGTCATAAGCCATCACAGCCAAAAGGAAACACTCAATGCTAGCACAGAGTGTGAAAAAGAAGAATTGGCTGGCACAGCGCTCATAGGTGATGATCATCTTATCAGTCCCAAAGTCTCAAGCAACTGAGGACCAATAACAGAAGAGTAGCAAATGTCCAGGAAGGAAAGATGACTGAGGAAGAAGTACATGGGAGTCTGGAGCCGAGGGTCAGTCTGAATTAAATTAGCACAATCATGCCCAGGTTGCCCCCCATGGTGATGAGAAAAATGACCAGAAACACAAAGAAGAGACCTATCTGCAGCTCTGCCTTCAACCGGAACCCCCTCAGAAAAAATTCTGTCACCGTGGTGCCACTCTCTGCCATGAAGCCAACGTTATCCACTGAAATTAAAAAATAATAATAATAAAGTCTCATTAAAGATAAATTTTTATGGCTGCATAGTATTCCATGGAGTATATGTGCCACATTTTCTTAATCCATGATAAGTTCATGTCCTTTGTAGGGACATGGATGAATCTGGAGACCATCATTCTCAGCAAACTATCGCAAGGACAAAAAACCAAACACTGCATTTTCTCACTCATAGGTGGGAATTGAACAATGAGAACACATGGACACAGGAAGGGGAACATCACACACCGGGGACTGTTGTGGGGTGGGGGGAGGGGGGAGGGATAGCATTAGGAGATATACCTAATGTTAAATGACGAGTTAATGGTTGCAGCACACCAACATGGCACATGTATACATATGTAACAAACCTGTACATTGTGCACATGTACCCTAAAACTTAAAGTATAATAATAATAAAATAAAATAAAAGATAAATTAAGGCAGTAATGGCTTGACTTGATCACTGCTCACTAATTATAATAATCTTTTAGATTTGTAAAGCACTTTACATTTTCACAAACTTTATTTTACTTGATCCTTCAGAAATCCTTCGAAGCACATATTGTTTTTATTTTTATTTTATTTTATTTGTTAAGTTCTGGGGTACATGTGCAGGATGTGCCAGCTTGTTACATAGGTAAATGTGTGTCATGGTGGTTTGCTGCACCTATCAACCCATCACCTAGGTATTAAGCCCAGCAAGCATTAGCTTTTTTTCCTAATGCCACCCCCCCGCCTACAGCCCTTCCCCAACAGGCCCCAGTATGTGTTGTTTCCCTCCCTGTGTCCATGTGTTTTCATTGTTCATCTCCCACTTATAAGTAAGGACATGCAGTGTTTGGTTTTCTGTTCCTGCATGAAACACATATTGTTAATCCTATTTTTGACAGAAGAATATGAGGGCAAAAGAAGTAAAGTGACCCAGATTTCACAATTGGTAAATAGGCAAAGCCTAGGTTAGACATCATTTCCTTAGGCACTTCCAAAACTTCTGACAGGTCCCAAATTAGAAAACTTAATCAGCCTCCTGTGGAGGAAAAAAGCACTTTGTTGAAGAAATCCTAGTGGTGTAGTATAAAAGACATGGGCTTTGAAATAAGGTGTAGGTTTGAATACCTTCAGACCTTGAGCAATTTAATTAACCTTTCTGAATTTCAGCCTCCTTCTTGGTTAAATGAGGATTACAATGCCAAAGTTATAATATTATTGTAAAGGACATAATTTACACAGTATGTTGCACATGGTCTGACACACACTTAGAATTATTTTTACTAAATTCTGAGATAATATGAGTGACATGCTCTTAGGTTCATATACATTGTGGAATCTTAAGTCCACAGCCACCTGGAGTTCCAACATCAACTCCACCTTTCTTTAGGGTTGTTTCTGATGTGCATATATGCACAATGGATTTGTATGCCAGACAGTGAGCCATAAAGAACAAACACTGTTAGGACCTCTATAGCCTGTTGCCTGCCAAGTCGCCTCTTCCTCTCTGTTCCTGCCAAGCAACATGGCCTGGTTTCCAAGTTCTCCTCTTATTCCAAAGGATCTGTCCTAGTTTTTTTAATGCCACTTCATTATCAATCAGTGAGATACATGAATCAAGCTATTCCACAATTAGCCTGCAAAACTCATTAACAGACAAAGCCAGCACACTGAGTTTTGAATTCTAATACAGATGGGGTTCTCGCCAGGTATTGGGAAAATACTATCTCTGTGCCTTTGAATCTTGATAATTTAGAGTAATGAACATAGTGAATGTGGACTTCAGAGGTGATTCTTCTTGTCCTCTTTCCATCCTTGAAACAAAAACTGAATTTGAAAAAGATCTCATAGGACTTTAGATAAAGAATAAAGTAAAACCTTGATCAATGTTTGGCAAAAGCTGATCTAATTTTTGAATAATGTTCAGCAACTGGGGGGAGTTTTTTCCCCCACTGAATTCTTGATAGGGTAAATATTTAGGTTGTTTTTCTATACTTAAGGCCAAATCTTACCCTGATCTTCTCCCAGAACAATGATTCGCCATGTTCTTAAAAGGAGTTCCTGTAAATCATCCTGGCCAAAGGGAAAAAGAGGCTATATTCATCTATTTATTTAATAAGAATCTACTGAGAACTTACTATGTAGCAGGCACTTTTCTAGTTGCTTGGAACAAAACAAAGGGTCCTGCCTTCATGCTCATTCTCGTGGAGCCTGGCATATATATGTTCAAAAAAGAAGAAATATATTCTTCTACCATGATGGAAGTTGGTAAGTGCTGTGAAAAAAATGCTGCAGAGTATGAGGAATTAAAAGTATCAAAGTAAGGATAAGGATATTAAGACCATCAAAAAGACTCACTGAAAAGGTGACATTTCAGCAGAAATTCTGGGAATCAGGTAACTGTACATATGTACTTGCATACATCATTTGGCCACAACTAATAGAAAATAAAGACATAAATTGCCAGCAATGGACCACCCTTCTCTGATTACAAAACATATGGAGGTTTTCAGGTCTTTGGGAGACATGTTCCAGGCAACATTGTTCAGAAGTGTTAGCCTTCTGATAACAGAGAGAAGTCCTTAAGATACTAGAGGCTCAATAATCAACCTAAGATCACCCAGCACAAAGGTAAGGCTGGAATCCCACAAATATATATAGTGGCTAAGAAAATGGGCACAGAAGACAGAGTTTGTTCCAAACTCACACTCAGGCATTTCTATTTGTGTGACCTTGTACAAGTTACTTGACCTCAAGTCTCAGCGTCAACATCTAGACACTGACAATAACAGCTGCACATCCCTGACGAACATTGATGCAAAAATCCTCAATAAAACACTGGCAAACCGAATCCAGCAGCACATCAAAAAGCTTATCCACCATGATCAAGTGGGCCTCATCCCTGGGATGCAAGGCTGGTTCAACATATGAAAATCAATAAACGTAATCCAGCATATAAACAGAACCAATGACAAAAACCATATGATTATCTCAATAGATGCAGAAAAGGCCTTTAACAAAATTCAACAACCATTCATGCTAAAACCTCTCAATAAATTAGGTATTGATGGGACATATGTCAAAATAATAAGAGCTGTCTATGACAAACCCACAGCCAATATCATACTGAATGGGCAAAAACTGGAAGCATTTCCTTTGAAAACTGGCACAAGACAGGGATGCCCTCTCTCACCACTCCTATTCAACATAGTGTTGGAAGTTCTGGCCAGGGCAATTAGGCAGGAGAAGGAAATAAAGGGTATTCAATTAGGAAAAGAGGAAGTCAAATTGTCCCTGTTTGCAGATGACATGATTGTATATCTAGAAAACAATGTGCAAAAATCACAAGCGTTCTTATACACCAATAACAGACAAACAGAGAGCCAAATCATGAGTGAACTCCCATTCACAATTGCTTCAAAGAGAATAAAATACCTAGGAATCCAACTTACAAGGGATGTGAAGGACCTCTTCAAGGAGAACTACAAACCACTACTCAATGAAATAAAAGAGGATACAAACAAATGGAAGAACATTCCATGCTCATGGGTAAGAAGAATCAGTATCGTGAAAATGGCCATACTGCCCAAGGTCATTTATAGATTCAATGCCATCCCCATCAAGCTACCAATGACTTTCTTCACTGAATTGGAAAAAACTACTTTAAAGTTCATATGGAACCAAAAAACAGCCCGCATTGCCAAGTCAATCCTAAGCCAAAAGAACAAAGCTGGAGGCATCACGCTACCTGACTTCAAACCATACCACAAGGCTACAGTAACCAACACAGCATGGTACTGGTACCAAAACAGAGATATAGACCAATGGAACAGAACGGAGCCCTCAGAAATAATTCCGCATATCTACAACTATCTGACCTTTGACAAACCTGACAAAAACAAGCAATGGGGAAAGGATTCCCTATTTAATAAATGGTGCTGGGAAAACTGGCTAGCCATATGTAGAAAGCTGAAACTGGATTCCTTCCTTACACCTTATACAAAAATTAATTCAAGATGAATTAAAGACTTACATGTTAGACCTAAAACCATAAAAACCCTAGAAGAAAACCTAGGCAATACCATTCAGGACATAGGCATGGGCAAGGACTTCATGTCTGAAACACCAAAAGCAATGGCAACAAAAGCCAAAATTGACAAATGGGATCTAATTAAACTAAAGAGCTTCTGCACAGCAAAAGAAACCACCATCAGAGTGAACAGGCAACCTACAGAATGGGAGAAAATTTTTGCAATCTACACAACTGACAAAGGGCTAATATCCAGAATCTACAATGAACTCAAACAAATTTACAAGAAAAAAACAAACAACCCCATCAAAAAGCGGGTGAAGGATATGAACAGACACTTCTCGAAAGAAGACATTTATGCAGCCAAAAGACACATGAAAAAATGCTCATCATCATTGGCCATCAGAGAAATGCAAAAATCAAAACCACAATGAGATACCATCTCACACAAGTTAGAATGGCGATCATTAAAAAGTCAGGAAACAACAGGTGCTGGAGAGGATGTGGAGAAATAGGAACACTTTTACACTGTTGGTGGGACTGTAAACTAGTTCAACCATTGTGGAAGTCAGTGTGGCGATTCCTCAGGGATCTAGAACTAGAAATAGCATTTGACCCAGCCATCCCATTACTGGGTATATACCCAAAGGATTATAAAACTTGCTGCTATAAAGACACATGCACACGTATGTTTATTGCAGCACTATTCACAATAGCAAAGACTTGGAACCAACCCAAATGTCCAACAATGATAGACTGGATTAAGAAAATGTGGCACATATA
This sequence comes from Homo sapiens, assembly GCF_000001405.40. Classification (NCBI taxonomy): domain Eukaryota; kingdom Metazoa; phylum Chordata; class Mammalia; order Primates; family Hominidae; genus Homo; species Homo sapiens. Next base: position 58,139,648 of record NC_000011.10, on the reverse strand, counting down.
CACCATGGAATACTATGCAGCCATAAAAAATGATGAGTTCATGTCCTTTGTTGGGACATGGATGAAGCTGGAAACCATCATTCTCAGCAAACTATCGCAAAGACAAAAAACCAAACACCACATGTTCTCACTCATAGATGGGAATTGAACAATGAGAACACATAGACACAGGAAGGGGAACATCACACACTGGGGACTGTTGTGGGGTGGGGGGAGCGGGGAGGGATAGCATTAGGAGATATACCTAATGTTAAATAATGAGTTAATGGGTGCAGCACACCAACATGGCACATGTATACCTATGTAACAAACCTGCACATTGTGCACATGTACCCTAAAACTTAAAGTATAATAAAAAAAAAAAACAGCTGCACATGAACACCTGAACTTAAAATAAAAGTGAAAGGGAAAAAACCCTGTATATAAGATTATCCTCCTTTTTATCCAATATCATTTATTTGTGCTAGAGGTTTGCCCCCTTATTCTTTCTGATGGGCCAGAATTTGATTTTGTTAATATTTGCTATTTTCTTTTCATTTTCTGTTGAATTTCCTCCTTTTTCCTTTTACCCTCTTCCTTTCTTCCTTCCTCCTCCCATCTTCCCAGGGCCCCACCCCTGCTTTGTCTTTCTGTCTCCCCTCTTTCTTTAGCTTACTCTATTGTAAATTCAATTTGTTTTGGTTCCTTCTTGTGTCTTAGAAAATATACCACACATTACAGAGGTTGGGGGGTGAAATGGGGACATGATGGTCAAAGGGTACAAACTTTCACTTAGGAGGAATAAGTTCTTGAAATCTATGGTACAGCATGGTGACTATAGTTATTAATAATGTATATTTCAAAATTGTTAAGAGTACATTTTAAATGTCTCACCACAAAAAATGCTAAGTGAGGTGATAGATATGTTAATTAGCTTGTTCAATCATTCCAAATTTTACACATTTATGAAAGCATCACATTGTACTGCATAAATATATACAAGTTTTGTCAATTAAAAATAATAAAAATACACGTATGATTGTAAAAGGAATAATAACAGCACAGCTGTGCTATGAGAAGAAAAAATACAATTTAAATTAATGGAAACAGCATGCTGTGTGCCTAGTAACATTCAGATGTTACTTTTGTACTTTTAATACAGAGTAAACAATTCATATCCAAAATTATTACAAAAAGTATCTTTCAAACACTAGGTTTTTAAGTTGCTCCTAAATTTAATTTATTCCTACTTTTTTGCTGACTAAAATAAGACTCAAAGTGGGTAAGCTACTTTCCCAAGACCACAGTCAATAAACGTCTCCAAATTCACTGTGCTTAACATTAGCTTACACTGTGGCCATCACTTTGGCCCAGGAAGTACGACGCTCCTGCCCAGCCTCAGGCAGCCCCAGCTGGGGAGGCACAAATCAGGAGACCCATTTCATCTACAATTGCTCTAAGAGACACTTTTAGGTCTCTGCTCTGGGAAAGGAGGAGGAAGCATTTTCCTATGGGGAGAGTGACATGATTGGGGGATGGCAGTTGACGGTGATGAGCCAGAGAGAGCATGTGATACGAAGGCTGGAAACAGCACCTGGAGGCCTGGATTCAAGTGTGGGTGCTGCCACTAAAGCAAGTATCTCCCATCTCTTGATGTGCATCCTCATATAAAAAGACAGCACTAACAGACCTCAAATGATGCATCCTGTTCTATAACACAATGGTCTCTCTTCTGCTCTTAAAAGTCTAATGACAGAGGAAAAGAGTATCTATGAATATTAATGACTGACATTAAGAGAGTATTCACTGTATGATAAATACTGTTCTAGGTATTTTATATAAACTGCCTCATTTACTTCTCACAATACCCCAACACAGGACATATTTTTCCTATCCCTATTTATAGACTGGGAAACAGGAGCTTGCAGAGATTAAGAAACTTGGTTTAGGTAAATTCCTAGGCAGGGATTTGAACTGTGGTCTGTCAGGCTCCAGGGTCATGTACCCAGCCACTGTCTCATGGCTCATTATTATGAAAATGATGAAAGTTATTAATAATGCCCTGCAGTGAGTACCTTTCTATGCCCAGGACTTTTCTAGTGGCTTTACATATATTATCCTCTTACACTTGGGCAAGGAGGAAAGTAATATAAGTTAAATAAATTTTTTGGCAAATGACCCCAATTCTGAGTTGGAAACACTGCCCCTGTTCTCCTCTTTGTAGCATCATTTTTATTCTTCATGTCTTATCTGCAGGGATGGGAGGGTAGAAGAGATGCTCAGGGGTCTCATCAGAATCAAACTATAACAGGGAGCCTGCACCCCCGGAGGGCCATCATCTCCAGCACAGATTTAAGTTGCAGGATAAAAGTCACGTGAAACAAACCTTGCTTCCAGCTCCTCGTTATTGTCTGCCCACCTGTACTTTCCCTTTGCCCAAATCTTACTCCTCATTTTTAATTTATTTTATCTTGCTACATGTTATGCATTTTTATAAGCCACTTTAAATCTCTTTTGGAAAGAGGTATTGATGAATAAATAAATACAAAATAAAATTGCCCATTTGCCACATGTCAGAATAATCGGAATCATCAGCCCTCTCTGCATTAGCCCAATAACAGTGCCGCCAGAGGACTTTGCCAAATGGGTTCTGGAAAGACAGTGCATAAACTGTGGTTCAACCTAAATCAGACTGATCTATGGATGACAGAAAAAGGCAGATGCTCAAGCGAGAAAATGAAAACACTTAGGGAGGTCTCCAGGTCTGTGCTACTACAGCCAGCTCCTGAAGTCTTTGTAAACCAAAATCCCAAAATAATGACCTAGGCTTTCCTTTTGAGACAGTGAATAGTCTGAAGGGGGATTGGGAGAGGGTCTCCTAACTCACAGTACACATTAATGTGATCCTTCTAAGCTTCAACTCTGTCCATTTTGCAATGGGCAGAGGAATATTTTAAAGACTAAGGTTGCCCAATGGTCGCTCATCTTCAGAGGAGCTAGAAGTTTGGTTCTCTCCAAGAACAGTTGCACCTTGCCATGTGATACATCGCCTAAATTCGTAGACTGGTTATGAATGATTTGTAATTCTCAATAGAACCGCCAGTCAATTTCCTAGTGATTAAGATTAGGGAAAACAAACAGTATCTCCTCAAAATCTCCAGGCAGGGAGAGGAACCATGAATCCGTTTGGCCTCAGAGGAAAATATTTGGTCCCAGGCAATTTAGATCAACTGAGTTGCTGGGAAAATGAATAGAAGACTGAAGCAACAGTTTCCTGTTTTGAAAACCTACAAATATTTGAAACTGCTGGGTTTTAAGGATGCACAGGAAGAAAGTGCATCCTTAACGCCATCATGAACCCACCATGCTCCACAGTATTGAGCAATATTAGCATTTAACATTCTCAGCAATCTGTTATCTAATTGTTGTTCAGGCACAGAAACATTTCACTTCCAGACAGACCTCCCCTGGTGGATGTCTGTAACTCTGGGTTATCTTTCCCCCACATTAGTTACCTATGATAACCATGGTAGGTTATCCAAAAGCTAAGGGAGAAAGATGTCAAGATTGTCTGCTCTTTTAAATTATTAATGCTCCCCAAAATCTCTACTACACCTCAGAAAACTAATGGGATTTTCAGGAAAGAGAAAGTCCAGCAGGATTTAATAGGCCCCATCTGTCGTCTTCAGGCAGCGAAAGCACTGGGCTAAGAACCCAAAGGCTACTGTGGATTGAACAAGAAAGTGCATGGGAAGATGATTCTAAAAGTGAAAAGTGTTCACTTGCAAGGGATTTCAGTAAGTGCTCAGAGATCAGCTTGATAATAGTACACACTGTGGGAAATATATAGCCATGGATCTGAAGAATATTTATATAGCTCAAAAAACTAATCCACTTAGAACCTCCAGGTCAGGTTTAAAGTTATTTAAAAATGGGGAGTCATAAAGGTTGTGCAGTGCACCCAAAGTTATGTAGCCAGTGTTCTTGGCTGGAATTATGCAACAAAGATGTATAAAGTCTTTGCCTATTTGCTCTGTGCCAGGCACTATTCTGGACACTGTGGATGTAGTGACAAATATATAGAACTAAACAGGCAAGGATGACAGTGATTCTCTCTCTGCCACTAAAATCAAACTGGTATCATCTGCTTGTGCTGACTTAAAGAAGAAAGAGGGAAAAGGAATGAGGTACAAGATGCCTTGGCTGCTATTCAATGTGTCAGGGTGGACTTCAGTGGACTCAGAATGTTTAAATGGTGAAAAACTAGAGCAGCTCCTTCCACCCACATGCTGTCTGTGTTCAGGTAGATAAGTAGTTCAAGCGAGAGATGAAAATAGAGCCTCTGTTGAAGAGCAGTCTGTTTCCCTCAAAATCTTGTTTGGAAAAAAACTTTAGTTGGCCATTTTCTAGTTGAATAAAAACTCACAAAGACATAAGAGAAATATTTTCTGGCAATACATTTGCACTGAAAATAGCAGAAAGGCAGAACCAGCATGGTCTCAAGGAGCCCGAATGCTTTGAAGCTCTATCACAGCAGGGTCAATTCCCAGCCAGTTGCTTAAACTCCCTGGATTCCAATTCTTTCATATATAAGATGGGTATGACATCACTTAACTCACAGGAGTGTTGTGGGGATGAAATGAGGTGACATATTGAGTGTTCAACAAAGGTTGGTTCTGTTGCACATAGGGAAGATGTGAATTCCCTCTCCCAAAAAATTACAAATTACTTCCATAATCCCATATTTTAGAACATTATGCACCCATTATTTCATTTATTCTCCATACAGCCCATTTTCAGATGAAGAAAGTGAGAATCAGAAAGGTCAATTGACATGTCCAAGTGTCATATGGCTAGGAAGAAAAGCAGCCAGAATTGGGACCTAGACCCTTTCCACCATACCACAAAATCCCTTACCAAGTTGCCATAGGGATATGGATGCCCTGCCTGAAGACAGGAGGTCACAGAGAAAGACACGAAAAGTTGGAATCTTGAGGTTCTTCCTCATTTTGCAATCCTGTAATAAAATTCTAGAAGGGCATATAAAGTCTGCTCAAGTGCTGACCCTAAATCTCTTACACTTCTCCTTCCCCAGTGCCTTCTCACTCTGACCCATCTGCTCTCAAGACTAACTATGCAGTAGACTCTTGGAACTTAGAGTCCACAGGTCACAGTTCCACTCACCTGCCTTCAGGAAGATAAAGTAGCATCAGCCCCATCCTAGAGATGAGGTAAGAGAGTCCCTGAGATGAGGAGGGATTGTCCACATACAAAGAGCCAATGGGAAAGGTTGGGGATGACTAGAGCCTAGGTCTCCTACAGCCTGGTGAGGCGCTGTCTCTGCCATCTGGGATGCTCCTCCTTTCAGAGTCTTAGCACAGCTGTTCTGATGACCAGAGCTACTAGTGCTCTCTGCCTCTCAGACACTGATGGAAGCAGATGAAATTCTCTTCTTTCAAGGGGGATTAGGGAGAAGAGCCTCAGTGATGGAAATTCCTAGGTAGAACAAGCCTTGCAAAGCATGAGCATGGACATCAGGCCTCCTTAATTCTGGCTGGGGCCCTTTCATCCCTAACCTCCTTAGAGCTTCTCAGCCAATCAGCTTCTAAATGAGAGATCTCAATTAAGCTCAGTCAAGCACTCACAGAAAGTAGCTTGATGGACTCTGAACTGCAGGAATCTGAGGCTTCACTGCCACCCAGAGCAGAAATATCCTCTCTGGTATCACTGATGGCTGATCTCGGAGCTAGCAGTGACCCCTTCTGACCAATTACACCTATGAGAACTGAACAATTCCAAAAATGGGGAAATTACTCATCCACAAAGGAGATTGTTCTATTTTAGACCCTACCTGTTGCTTCTAGCTCTCTCTATAACGTCAATGGCGTCATGCTGAATCATTCCCAACACCTGCCAGCATTTTACAAGTTTCTTAGAAATTCAATAAGAGTTGCTGCTTGCTCTTCCACTTTCTCAATGTAACTAATTACATGTAAATAGCCTCCCCACTTTTCCATGTGATCTCACCTTTCTATGTCTTCTGATTCTGAAAACAATCACGTGGAGTAGGTATGCAAGGCATTATCAGTTCCATGTTATAGATAAGGAAACCAAGACACAAAGATGCTAAGTGCCTCGCATTATTGCAAGGGAGAAGCGAAAGTATTAAGTCCCAGCACATTGTGCTCCCAGAAAATCACATGTAGCTTTGACCCCACCCTGAGCGCCAGAGGGAGTGGGAGAAGATCCAGCAGCAGCCTGTCTGTGGCACAGAGAGCCTGGACTCTGGTTACACCATCTCCCCTTATGCCTTCAGCCCTCCTGCTGCAGCTAATCTCTGCATGAGCTCATCTATCCCTTCTGCTCCTCCAGTGTTTTCATTCTGTAACCAATCTCCTCTATTAAATTCTCTGAAATACCAAAAACAAAACAAAACAAAACAAAAAGAAACAAAGAGAAAAACCCATTTTATGTTAGAGGAAACTGAAGTTCAGATTATCAAGTACATTTCCAGTCTGGTCTGTAGTGCATTTTCTCTCTGATCTACTATGGCCATGCTCACCTTCAGCAGGACCAAAAGGTCCTTCCCCAGTCTGGAAGGCTGGGCTGAGCGCAGGTAGAATGTGGTGTCTAAGTGGGGCTTTGGAGGCCCAGATAAATAGACATCTTCAGCACCTGTAACTCACAGGCCTGGCATCCAGGGGAGCTGGATTAATAGGAGCTGGAGCTCTGCCCTATCCTAGACTGGATCCTTCACTCCAGGAAGGCAATTAGAAGACTGGAGCAAAGGGATTTGCCACTGACTGGGGTTTCTAATCAGCCCTAAGCTTCTAATTAGGCTTCTCCAATGCCCAGAGGAAAGAAATCTTCAGAAAAGGGCCTCTGCAAAGTTTGCTTTCTCAATCTCTCCTCACTCAACCTTCATCTTGTCTGGCGGCCTCCTCCATAATCCAACCTCACCCTGGGGATGAGGGAGATACCTCTGTGTTCTGCTCTTTGAGGAGTTGTCATCAACCCAAGGTGACCCTTTCTGACCAACCTCATTTACAGAGCCTGAGTGAAATGTGACTGTGTGAGGTCCCAGCAATCTGCTCACTCATTTATTCAGCTAATATTTAATTAACTATAGATAAAGTACCCAGAGCAATGTCTGGCACATCATATTTTTTCTATCTCTGTTTAACTCATTGAGTCTTTACAACAATCCTATAGGGTAGATACTATTTTTATTCTATGCCTCAACTGAGGAAACCGAGGCTCAGAAAGGTGAAGTAACCACTCATGGTCACACAGGTAGTAAGAAGAAGAGCTGAGACTGGAACTAGGGGAGGCTGGCTCCAGACTCCTTACTCTTAACCACTATCCTGTGTGGCCTAGTGTAATTTAGCTGATTGTAAATACAAATTATTTCATATAGAAAATTTGGACAATGTCAAAGTCTAAAAGAAGAAATTTAAACCATTGAACCATTCCAACAAGCACTGTTAACAGTTGGAGGAAATACACTAGAACAGAGTTATTTAAAACATAAGCTCTGCAAGTAGATTGCTCTACCTTGTGGATTTAAGTGAGTTATATCACTTCTATATGCCCACCTCCTGGGATAGTCAGAAAGTTGAAGAAGATGATACATATAAAACACTCAGAACTGGACCTAGCATTCGGTTGGTGCAAAAGTAATTGCAGTTTTGCCACTATTAATACTATTAATATCCTTCCAGAATTTTCTACTCTAGGTATTTTTTTAAATTGAAATCAAAGTTTATATTGCCTTTTTATACTGTTCCCTTGGGGTGAGTTAATAAGAAGAAAAATAACTGTTATAAAGTTTCTCAAGTGGGAGAGGCCTATAAGCCACCCCAATACCCTGAAAAGTATTGAGACTCCTCATTGGACAGCTCGTGAGTGTTGGGGGCATTGAACACCATATTCTGAGACTCCATACCCTGAAAGTCTAGGTGACCACAGGAAAAGAAAAAACTAACCCCCAATCTTGCCGTAACGCTGGTGAGATTTCCTTCTAACATACCACATGCTGTTGAACAAACTCAAGGGTAGTCAGAATGCTCAAAACTCTTAGGTAAAGGAGAAACCTCCACAAACGAAAAAATCTTTTATATTTATAAAATTATATAAAACATTGTTATATAATGTTATAAATATTATATAAGACACTGTGATATACATCCTTCTAATCTTAACAGATAGGCAATTATGACACATTTAATTTAGAAGACTTATTAATAAAGATATATATATTTCTTATCCTTACATGTGATGGAGAAAATTTATATCCCAAAAAATGTATATTCCTCATCCTGCTATTTTGCTGTGTCTAACACTAACAGCCACCACTGATGACACAGTCCTGTCCACCAGGAAGACCCTTCAGTCCTTTACGGTGGTTTCCACACAGGCCAGCTCCCCACCCAGGCCAGCTGAGAATAATTTACATCCCTGAACCTTTGTGGAGGTCTGAGTTTGAATCCCCTAACTCAGGGGAAATTCCCCAGGTTGCTATGTAGATCAGTGGTCCTTCTGAGCTCTAGCCCTGCAGCATTTAAGAGCCAAAAGCACATGTGTGCACAGGGAGATGTTTATAGCATTCAAACTCCAGGCTCCTCACATCCAAAATATCCTACCGCACCAAAGTAATTTGGGTCACTTTGGTATTTTCAATTTTTTATTATGAAATAACAGTACCATGATTATAGATTTTTATAGATATTAATAATTACATCCTTTATAGACATTAATAATTATGTCCTATTATAGACATTAATGATTATAGACATTAATGATTTTACCCTAGGAGTAATTTCCTAGAAACAGAACAATGGGGGAAAAGGGCATTTTTTTTTTTTTGAGACAGTCTTACTCTGTCACCTGGGCTGGGGTGCAGTGGCGTGATCTCAGTTCACTGCAACCTCCTGGGTTCAAGCTATTCTCCCACTTAACCTCCCAACATAGCAGGCATGTACCACCACACCTGGCTAATTTTTCTTCTTGTGTTTTCTGTTTTACTTTTTGGTAATTTTTTAGTAGAAATGGGGTTTCGCCATGTAGGCCAGGCTGGTCTCGAACTCCTAGCCTCAAGCAATCCATCCACCTCGGCTTCCCAAAGTGCTGGGATTACAGGCACAAGCCACCACACCCAGCCAGGAAAAGGGCACTTTTATTTTTAAGGGCCTTCATGTGAATTAGCCAACTGACTTCAAGATGCTCCCCAGCACTCCAGTGTAGGAAGGGAAATGTTTGCCATCACTCCTGTTAATAATGAATATTATAATTTTCTTTCAAATATTTGATGATTATGTAGGCAAAAAGTATCTCATGACTACATTTTTTTTGTAATTTTTCCTGCCTACTATGTTAAATTTTTTCATATATTTAGCCATTTCTATTTCTTTGTAAACTCAGCACTCTTATATTTTGCCAGTTTTTCTATTGAAGTGTTTAACTTTTCTGATTGAATTGTAGAAACATTAAGGCTCTCTCCTCTCATTGTTTAACAAATATTTATTGAGTGCCTAGTGTAAACCAAGAGCTGTTCTAGGCCCTACAGATGCAGCAGTGAACAAGGCAGACTCGAGGAAGAGCATTAGGACAAATACCTAATGCATGCGGGGCTTAAAACCTATATGATGGGTTGATGGGTATGGCAAAGCACCATGGCACAGGTATACCTATGTAACAAACCTGCACATTCTGCATATGTATCCCAGAACTTAAAGTAAAACAAAAATAAAATAAACTCACCTGTATTTATATATACCAGGAAAAAATAAGCAAAAAATAATTTGAAAAAAACAGAAAAAAAAAGCCCTGCCCTCTTATAGCTTATATTCTAATAGGCAGCAACAGAGAGAGTCATGTTATAAAGAAATAGAGAAGGGTGCTGTGACAGAAACTATTTGGAGTAGCGACAGAGAAAGGGAACTTCTGGAGGTCAGAAAAGGTCTTGGTGATGGGGTATTTACACTGAGACCTGCATGAAAAGAAGACACAAGCGCACCTTCTCGAGTGAGTAGCATTTCAGGCAGAAGGAACAGTAAATCCAAAGGCTCTGAGGCCAGAATATGCTGGGGTCTCAAGAAACAGATAGAAGACCAGTAGGAGATCAAAACCAGAGGGAGGTTGGGGGTAGATCACAGATAATCATATAGGCCGCAGTAAAAATATCAGGTTTGAGTCTAAGTGCAATGGGAAGCCAATGGAAGGTTTTTAATAGGGAACTTACAGAATCTGATGTAGGTTTTAAACAATTTCTCTTGATTCTATGAGAAAAATGGATTATAGAGAGGCAAGAGTAAAAGCAGGAAGACATTTAGGGGGCTATTGTGGGAGTGTCCAGAGATGAGGGACACCAGGAGAGGTAGTGCTAGTGTTCTACTTACACACACACACACACACACACACACACACACACACACGAATTGCTCTGCCTGGCCCTTTGTGGTTGGTTTAATCGGACGTTGTGGCAACCACCACCGTTGAGATGGTGGATGGGCCGTGGAGATGGTGGATCCACCTGGGTTCCTGAGATACTCTGATAAGCAAACCTGTAAGAGATATGTACCTGGAGCAAGAAATAAATCTGTGCTGTTTTAAAGCACTGAGATTTTTATGTTATTTAACAGTGCAGCATAACCAAGGATAACCTAGCTAAAATACCTGAATAGTGGGAAATGAAAAGAAACGAGTGAATTTAAGATGGTATGAAGTAAATCTAACAGGACATGCTTTCCATGTATGTCATAAATACCTTTTTAGTATTTGATTTGCCTTTTTTATGTGATGTTTTGACATATGAAATTTTTAACATTTTTACAGACACATAAACTTTAGTATTATATTTGCTTTTTTATTTTTATGCGATGTTTTGACATATGGAATTTTTAACATTTTATGTAGACACATACATATGCCTTTATGCTAACTTTCTGTATTTTTAGGTTTAAAAAAGTACATTTCCACATTTTCTTTATCCATTCATCTTGTTGATGGGCACTTCCACAAAAATTTTTTTTTAATGTTAAGTAAATTTCCCACTCTGAGTGATGACAAAGTGACAAAGATTCACTTATATTTTCTTTATAACGCGATAGATCTGACATTTGTTTTGATATAAGCTGTGAGATACTGTTCAAACTTCTCAAATACGTAACCAGTCATTTCATTATCAATGATTCCATAAATATTTCTTTCTCCACTAATGCAAAATACCACCTTTATTATATACTAATTCCTCGTGGATACTTGGATTTGTTTCTCAGCTTTGCCATTTGTCCTACTGATGTATCTACCAATTCTTACATCTGAAAAAGATTGCTTTAATTATTAAAGCTTTATAGTAAGCTTTTATATCAGGCAGGTTAATTGCTCTCTTCCTACTGTTCTTTTTTTTTTTTTTTTAGTTTTTCTTGGCTGTTTTCACCTGTTTGCCCCTACTATTCTACTATAAATATTGAAATATTTTTTCTATTAATATATTATTTTTCTAACAAATCCTTACACAAAGATTATGAAAGTGATACCCTTTTCATAATATCTAGTGATGCTCATTTTGACAGTTTGGTATACATTCTTCTAGATATTCCAGTGCCTATACAAACATACAAAACCATGAATACTTCAGAGTTAGTGTCAAAAATTTTTTTCAATTTAAATGGTAGAAAGCCAAATAAAATTGACTTAAAAATTAAAAAATGAAATTTGTTGATGTAACCAAAAACACTTTATCTGGATAGCTCCAGGCAAGACTTGCTTCAGAAATTCAAATATCCTCAGGCTGCAGTCTTGGACATTGGGGTTTTCCAAAAGTCCAAACTTCATTAGACCTCAGTCTTCCTTTCTTCCTCTCTTAACTTCTCTCTGGGCTATTTTCACTCATTCAGTGGCATCAGAAGCCCCAGATATAAACACTCAAAATTCTATCAGGAAAAAAGAGCATCTTTAAGTATCCCAGTTAACAGATCAGTACACCCACCTGCAGCTGCTATGAGTATTGGCTGCTAAGAGCTCACAGCTCTCCTTCTCTGGAGAATTGCCATTAGCTAAGGGATCCACTTTTCCCAGAATGCCTGGGAAGTCACACCACTTGGAGGCAGCCCACAGTCAATGGATGGTTGGTGTGGGCTGCAAAAAGCCAAATCCCTTGTCTGGAGGCAGAACTAGGCCCATGGCATAATTCACATTCCAGAGTTACTCTAAGAATCAGGCCAAAGCTAGCCTCCAGCTGAAACTACATCCTACATCTTTGCTTAGCTATTTCCTGTTTCATTCACTCCCTTACAGGTTTCTCCTTCAAGCACTCCCTCAGTGAGGCACTTGCCCAAAATTCTGTCCCGGGTCTTTTTTTAAGGAAGCTAACCTAAGATGCATCTCTTCCCAAAAGTCCAAACAGAAGTTCTGGAGTGAGGCCGGGCACGGTGGCTCATGCCTGTAATCCCAGCACTTCTGGAGGCCGAGGCGGGCAGATCACTCGAGGTCAGGAATTCAAGACCAGCCTGGCCAACATGGTGAAACTCCGTCTCTACTAAAACTACAAAAATAAGCTGGGCGTGGTGGCACATGCCTGTAGTCCTAGCTACTAGGGAGGCAGAGGTGAGAGAATCGCTTGAACCCGGGAAGTGGAGTTGCAGTGAGCCAAGATCATGCCATTGCACTCCAGCCTGGGCGACAGAGCAAGACTCTGGTGAAATGCTTAACAATAACAATAACAATATTAAAGATAACAATAGTAATGATTATGTTATACATCAAAGCACTCTAGATCCCCCAATGTGTCAAAAGGAAGGAAGGTAATATCTACTGTATAGTCACCCCATTCTACAAGTTCCCCAGGGGATGTTGAATGGAATATTCTTATTACTGGCATATTCCTTCACCCTGTCCCAATTACCACTCTACCTTCTATACCATTCCAGGAAGTATTAGAATACACTACATATACTCTTACCACACAGTTATTTCAATAGATATTTAATTATAGGAAATAATAAATATTGTCCAAAAATGTATTGGAAGGTAGAATTTCTTGTGCTAACTGCCAGGAGTCCTGATCTGTGGCTGCCACCCTTCTTTGTAATATATTCTTGTATCAACTGGCATCTGGCATCTGCAATTATGAAAACCACCCTAGTTCGCCTGAATGCTTGCTAATTTTCAAAGGTTTTTTATCCCAGCCATGTTACTTAGAAGCAAACAGAGCACATGGCCTCTTTGAGATTTCTTCTGCTGGAAAAGTTCTGATCCTACAATAAAAAGCTGATGAAAGCTTATAGGACACAGAGAGGTTCTACTGAATCAGGAACCAAGTTATTAGTAGGAAGAAAGATAGGTTCTCCAGGAACCCACAATCCAGCAGAGGAGATGAGACTATTCACTAAAGAATAACTATGAACACTGTAAGACAAGTGGAGTTCAGTGCCAAATTATGTGGTTCTAACAAAGAGATCATGGGTTTCAGAGACGAGGGAAGAGACAAGAGCTGGAGTGGTTAGAGAGTTGACCATGGAAACCCTGGAAATAGATCTTTAAGGAAGGTGAGCTGACAAGCTCCTCAGTATAGACATGAATGAAGTATGTTTAGACCACACCAGACTCATACCTTCCTGAGCCAATAATCACTCTTCCTTGAAATTCTGAGCAGACAATGCAGCCAGGTTTCAGCCCCTGATATGGGACTTGACATCAGGACTAAGGATGAGTGTGTTGTAAAGAGAACTTTACCAGGAGTCCTAAGATCTGAGTTCCAGTCCTGATATTACCACTGAGTAACTTTGGGAATGGTGAGCCAGTGGCAAAGAAAAACCAAGTTCATTCCCAGCAGAGTCTGCAGTTGAGCTTTGAGACAAACAAGGCTTACGAGTTTTCATGAGCTCCCATAAGATTTGTTTTTATTCTCTCAGAAGTGTGCAGAAGCTGAGATAATGAGCCTCTGCTGAAGTGTGGTCTCCCTGACCGGGCCGGCTATTCTCTGGAGTCCCAGGGGCTGTCCCAGGTCCTGATTCATGATTCAAGGAAAACCACTGAGATCACTGCATCCCTCCCATAAAACTATCCCCAAAGGCAATTTAAATATCCCACTGGTTTGCTTAGTAAGAAGAAAACCTAAAGTCAGTCAGCTACATACGTCTATTTGAGCAATCTTAGCTGCTTTCTACAAAATGCTTAAACAACCTTAGCTTAGCTTGACTACAAGGCCAAGATAAATCCAACTGAATTATTCCACCAGGTAATTAAGACTTAATTATTACCTTGGCTCTGAAGTAAGGTCCACACAAACTAGAGAAGGTGTAACTGGGCAGAGAATCTTGCCTTTGTCATCAGAAGTTGTCATCTGATAGGACCATGACCAGACTGGGATTTCAGCTCTTATGTGAAATATACAAGTAAGACTGGATCAGCTTTTTTTTGGGGGGGGGGCGGTGGGTAAGGGGGGAATCTACAGCTTTAATCTCTTTGGGCTTTTGTGTCACTAAGTAGATTTCAGAAAATATAAATAGTTTCATGTGGGAGGCGTGGTACTAGACTGCAGAGCTTAGACAAGATATTTTCCTGTAAATGACTCTACTTTCTGTAATTATGCTGGAGTAGAATTAGTCATATGTACTAGGACTCTGGCTTTGGAATAAGACAGACCTGGATTAGACTCCAGGCTTTTTCATTGACTAGTCATGTGACCTTGGACAAGGTACTTAACTATTCCGAGTCCTAGTCTCTTCCAGGACAAAATAATACCTTTTTTGTAGGATCATTGTATGAATTATATGAACTAATGTGTCTACAATGCATAGTATTGTGATCAGCGCAGAGAAGATGTTCGATAAATGGTTGCCAGGATTAGGAAAAGCAGCACAGCGTGTTGATTCAACACTCCAACTCTGGGGTCAGAGAACCAGGGTTAGAATTTAAACATATTTTCTTTCTAGCTGTGAAACCTCAAGCAAAACATCTAATGTCTCTAAACCTTCATTTCCTCATCTGTAAAATAAAATATTTCTCTCTCATTATGTTATTGTCAAGTTGAAAGGAAATAAAAGCCTTTAAAGTGCTTAGCATCTACCTGACTTGGAGCAAGAGCTCAGCAAATGTTAACAACAATATTTCAAGACACTGATTTCAGTAAGGTGAGAAACATTAACTTTGTTGAGCTCCTTCACCCTCCCCAAGGGACTCAATCTTTGGAGGAAAATGAAGAAGAGTATGGAGAACATCCCAAGTTAAAGTAAGTACAAGTGTTAGGGACCATCTCTTCTGTAAAGGGTTCCTCCTGAATTAGAGGAGTCTTTTTCCCTATCCCCTCCAGAGGTCACATATTCTTTTATGTCACATATTATAATTTAAATATATCACAAGTAATAATATCAACCTATAAATGTTCCTAGGCTTTCTTAAAAGAGTCACTGGCCATAAACCGTTGCTTTCCCTTTCATAAACTGTCCTGGGTTCGGGGAGTTGGTTGTTTCTCTCTACTCTTGGCCTCACCCAAGCTGATGGTACCCCAATCTCCTTCTTAAACAAGATCACACAAAACTGGGTGTCACCAGTCTGCTCCTAAAATTTTTCCCTCTGGGAAATATTTTGGAAATTGCCTGTCTGAAAAATAAGCAAGCTCTACCATATTAGATAAACATCCATTCTATTTCAAGAATCGTTACTATATTCTCATTTTATTATTGAAAAAATTGAGGTTCCAATTGGTTGAGCAGTTTTCCAAGGGTATATCAAGAGGGATATGGTCCAACTAAGTCTCTCTCAAGTTATAAAGAAAGAAAAAGAAGAAAAAACATGGACCACAAAGAACTCCAACATCAATCTTTATACTTGATGCCCACAGAAGTTGAGTATTTGCCTAATGGTTTTAGAGAGGCGCTTTGATTTTAAAGGTTTGGGGCTTGGATCTGCATAAAGGGTCTTTCTCATGCCCTAAAAAGAGAACATGATAAGATGGAAAGAATACAGAATTTGGAATTAGAATGTCCTAGGTTCAAATGTCTGTTCTGTTCCTTCCTAGGTGTATAATAAGTTGGACAACCTTCTTAACTTCTCTGAACTCTGCTTTGTTCATCCATAAAATAGTCATAGCTATACCCAACTTGGAGGGCTTCAGGAAGGACTAGAGCTAATGTATGAAACAGGCCTTGCATGCATGTGCCACAAACTCAGTGTGATTGCATCTGCACCCCAACAATCTGCCACCTAATCTCTGGTCAGGAGCCTTGAACAATTGTGTCTCTAATCAGAGAGACCCCCAGGAATTAGCCATGAGATAGATGTAATATGACCTACAACAATTTCAGAAGTAGATACTGAGAAAGGTGTTGAAATTAACCAAGTTATCTCATGATTTGAAGGTAAAAAAGCTCTGATTAACTGCAGGGAGATTTCTTTGTTTCCATAGATTATAAAGATATAGGAAAATGGAGGGAGACAACAAAACAAATTTATAGCTGAAAGCAGAGGATTTGCCATCAACTAACTCTTCTGCTTCTACTTTCACTTGGAGGTAATTTTAGACAAATTAATCTCCCAAAGATTTAAATTCCTCATTGGTAAAAATAAGGTCATAATATCTGCTTAAAGGGCTGCTTTCAGAATTAAATAATATATGCAAAGCACTCACAGTCTCTAGTAGAATTGATAAGTAAAATATGTTATAAGCATACCAAGCAAGACCATAACAAAATCCGAAAAAAAAAACAAAATTTACCACAATTACATAAACAAATCACAAAAATACGGTGTATGCTAAAAAATGAGATTTATGTCACAATATCATGTACACAAATTTTAAAACACACCACAGCCACTATATTTTAATATACATATATTTCTAAATAAATATGAAAAGAATAAACATAGAAGGATATGTATTTTGAATACACTGGAGTGCACACTTAAGAGGAACAGGGGAAGGAGTAAGAATGAGGCAGGACTAACAAAAATAATAAAATAAAATAAAATGAAGAAGAGCCTTGCCCTGACCAATGATGATGGTTTATCAGGAACTGAGGAGTAAAGGCCATTCAATTTTCTACCTAAGGCCCCAAAATATTATGTTTAAGTAACTATAAATCACTTGAAATAGTGCCTGCATTGCTTTATATACTCAGTATTTAGTAGATACAGAGCCTAAATACCTAGACATATAAATCATGGATTGTGAGAAACAAAAGATTCAGTGGTCATATAACCTAGCTCTGCCATTTCATAGAATAGAAAGCGAAGTCCATGTTGAAGGGAAAATAAACGTTTGAAGTTTACTCAGCTAGTGAGTGCCTGTCATAGAGGTGACAACCACAGAGCTTGAACCATACCATGAAGGCCTTCCAAAGAAGCTGACTCGTCCCCAGACCCTGCTGCTGGAGCAAGGTGGATGGAATAGCCCTGGGACATGTTTGACGTGATCTGTCAATGTCTCTCTCCCACTAGGACCCTGATTAGAGCTGAAGTAAGCTCCAGACCCAAGAACAGCTACCATGAGCCCTTTCATGAAAGTGTGTGCTGCTTGTCTCTCTCTACCCATGTAGTGAATAAAGCAGTCACAATGATTCTAGAGATGGGGCCTCATCACAAGTTCAAAACCTCTTCCTGGCAGGTCCCAGTGGAATTAGACCTTAGGTGAAAGAGAAGTAAAAAAAGGGATCCCATGGAAGCCAGAGGACCTGCCTGTTATCCCCAAGTCTGCAAATAGCTAATTATTTGACTTTTGGACAAGTCATTAACCTCTGTCAGTTGTCTCAATGCCAAAATAATGACAATATCAATCAAGTCAACTTTACAGGGGTGTGGAGGCAATCACAGACATTTATGGATATAAAATGTATGAAAGAAGGTAGAAAGAGGTATTATGATGAGTTTTTACTACTATGGATTTTATCAAAAATAGCAATCCCCATGTTGCCACAGCAAAGAAAATTCCCAGTTGTGCTACAAGGAAAAGAGTTTCTTAACAATCTAATTTCTATATTCATGGCTTCATCAAACATAGTTCTAGATTCAAGGACTCTGAATTGGCAGATTCCAACCTGAGGAAGTTGGGGGTGTAAGATTAAGGAGGCCAGGCAAATGGTTCAAGGGGAGCAGTGTAGGATAATGGAATCTGGAGACTTGGTTGTGGATCCTGGCTCCTCTACATGTGGGTCAACGGATGGTTTCATTTCTCCAATCTCCACTTCTCAAACACAAACAAACTAATGTCACCTGTCCAGTAGGATTGTTGCCAGGTTTCTGGCAGGTCCTGGGAGAGTAGAGATGACTTTGGGAAAAAAAAGAGATGGGAACCTAGGCTTCCATGCACACTCTCCCAAGGAAGGCTTTAGGCATTTTAATGAGTATCCTGGATGGACTTGGAACATGGTATTATGCAGTATTACGAGGTGACTCAAATCTGTACCATATGGCAACAGGAAATCTTAGGAAATGCAAAATTTCCATGACTCAAATATAAAGCAAACTAAACATAATTATTTTAACCAATTTGTTAGATCAAAAGAAAGGAGCATTTATTTGACTTGATGTTTGAAAGATTCTCCCAGAAGCAGAAGTTTAATGACATTTCCTTTTCTGTGTATCCAATCACAATATTTAGTCTTTTTGTGTATGGCATGTACATAGTCATAATAGAGAAACACAAATTACTGATAGTAGAATCAACCCGTAGTCAAAATATAGAGAAGACTTAAATTAGCAAGCATTCCCATATGAATGGGATAAAAGACTGATTTTTTTGTTAAGGGGGTGGAAGGGAGAAGAGAGAAAAGAACAAGGGAATAATTTCTTCATCTTACTTAGTGAAGGTCAAATTTACTCAGTCAAAAAACAAGAATATATGTATATATATATATATATATATATATGGTATTGAAATAAAGATACAAATATATTACACAAAGATAGCAATATTAACAAAGTTCATGCGGGTTAAATGGATTATGTTTCAGTACAGAAAATCAATAGCTACCAACTAAAATTGATGATAATAGCAACAACAAAAGTAGCCAACATTATTTAGCTTTATGTGCTGGGTACTGATCTACACTTCTTACAGGTATTAACTTATTAATACTTAAAAGGCTACAAATTGAGTTCAGTGTATACTGCTCGGGTGATGGATATACCAAAAATCTCACAAATCACCACTAAAGAACTCATTCATGAACCAAATATCAACTGTTCCCCAAAAACCTATGAAAATAAAAAATAAAAACATATTCAAATTCAAAAAAAGATAATAAATTTTCTTTTCCTTAAAAAAATTAAAAGACCCCTATGACATAAGCATATTTTTCTATGTTACAAATAGGTGAATATGTTATTTTATGAATGTATGAACTTTGATTTTGGACAATGTATAAACTCTACCCAACTTTGATTTTATGAAAAGTTGAGGCACAAAGGGGTTAGTTAACTTACCCAAGGTCATAAAAAAGTAGCAAGTCCACGAGTTTGAACATATTATTTATAATCATGATGTATAAGTAACTAAAAAATATAAAATGCAATATGTTGAAGATGATGGCCCCTGAGCTGGGGTGGTGATGATTAAAGTAGAAAGAAAGACTTTTTGTTATCAGCTAATACTATTCGACTAGGCAATTTTTTTACTGCCCATTGAATAATTATATAGTAAGACGGAAAATATATCAATGTGTACTATAAGGGAATGGTGGGCAGGAAGAGCAGATTCATCAGTTCCAACTTGTGAAAGGCTTTCATAAGAAGAAGTGATTAAAATTGCTGTATCTAGAAGGGGTAAAACTAAGGCCAGTGTGTGAAAGGTACAGAAGGAGAAACCCTAGGTCCAAAAAGAGAATCAACAGGTGGAACTGTTTGCAGATGGAGGCTCATACGGCAACTGAGTGACCGTGTGGTGGGTATATGGTAAGTGAGACTCCAGCCCCAGATGGGACTGGAACAGATACTGTCTAGGTCTCTTCCAAACCTAAGAATTGTATGCCTCTTATCTTTACAGAAATTTCCAAATGTAAACTAGGATTAGTTTGAATCAGAAATACCAGCTTAAGGCTCAGTTCCATAAAATGCAAGAGATGCCCAAGGAAAATCAGCCAGTTTCAGAATTTCTTAAAAACAAACTCTACAAATAGACCCAGAATTAAAACCAAAACTTCCACCATAGAGGGAAAGATTCTGTCCTTCAATTCTGAGATTCTTTTTATTTCATTATCATCCTCAGACCAACAGTCCACATTGTCTCCATGGCCAAGAATAATCTCACCAGAGTAACCGAATTCATTCTCATGGGCTTTATGGACCACCCCAAATTGGAGATTCCCCTCTTTCTGGTGTTTCTGAGTTTCTACCTAGTCACCCTTCTTGGGAATGTGGGGATGATTATGTTAATCCAAGTAGATGTCAAACTCTACACCCCAATGTACTTCTTCCTGAGCCACCTCTCCCTGCTGGATGCCTGTTACACCTCAGTCATCACCCCTCAGATCCTAGCCACATTGGCCACAGGCAAAACGGTCATCTCCTACGGCCACTGTGCTGCCCAGTTCTTTTTATTCACCATCTGTGCAGGCACAGAGTGCTTTCTGCTGGCAGTGATGGCCTATGATCGCTATGCTGCCATTCGCAACCCACTGCTCTATACCGTGGCCATGAATCCCAGGCTCTGCTGGAGCCTGGTGGTAGGAGCCTATGTCTGTGGGGTGTCAGGAGCCATCCTGCGTACCACTTGCACCTTCACCCTCTCCTTCTGTAAGGACAATCAAATAAACTTCTTCTTCTGTGACCTCCCACCCCTGCTGAAGCTTGCCTGCAGTGACACAGCAAACATCGAGATTGTCATCATCTTCTTTGGCAATTTTGTGATTTTGGCCAATGCCTCCGTCATCCTGATTTCCTATCTGCTCATCATCAAGACCATTTTGAAAGTGAAGTCTTCAGGTGGCAGGGCCAAGACTTTCTCCACATGTGCCTCTCACATCACTGCTGTGGCCCTTTTCTTTGGAGCCCTTATCTTCATGTATCTGCAAAGTGGCTCAGGCAAATCTCTGGAGGAAGACAAAGTCGTGTCTGTCTTCTATACAGTGGTCATCCCCATGCTGAACCCTCTGATCTACAGCTTAAGAAACAAAGATGTAAAAGACGCCTTCAGAAAGGTCGCTAGGAGACTCCAGGTGTCCCTGAGCATGTAGATCTAAGTAAGAGGAATTCTTGTTTTAGTCCACTTTCTTCCCATATGAATATATCCTAATAGGCACCATTACTATATGCAACCTATACCCACAAACAGAGAAGACAGAAGATAGGTACCACCAGGCACACAGGAAAAACTACAATTGTGGTGAAATTAGTTTCCAGCAATTCCATGTTCTTTCTTCTTATCCCCTTCTTCCACTTTCAATCCATTCCTTAGCACTGGGCAGTCTCTTAATATTCTCTAATGTCACAACTTATAGAATCTCAGATCCCAGGAGTCTTGAGTTTATTTCATTCCAACCCAATACTCTCTCAACTCATGCCTGGGCTTGCCATCCTTTCCCTCTTGTTTTTGCTCCCATCAATCCCACTTTTATCTCTGTGTCAAAGATTATATCTGGGGACCTCTGCGAATTGCACAAATTGGCCTTTTTTTCTTTTAATATGAAGGACTGATCACCTCACTAAGCAGGGAGTATTGTATAAGGAAAAACTCAGTCTCCAACTGGCCAAGGGAAGGAAGTTTGAGAAATGAACTTCTCTCTTCAGAAGAGACTTGTGTCACCCGCTTAGAGTGTCTTCCTTCTTGCTCAGGCCAGAACAATAGAACTTGAAATTTTCCTTATCACTTGGTACCTTACTGGTTTTGTTGTTCCTTTTTTTAATGTTACTTTGGTATCTTCAAGATGAAATGAACCATCCTACCTTTGGGAATGTCTCCTCAAGCTCTCTCATTTCTGAAGGCCATGGTACATTGCTTCTCCTCCTCACCCTATTGCGTGTCTCAGGAACAGTTCTCTCCTACCAAGCAACCCATTTCCAGGAAGAGCAAATCAGAGAGCACCAACAGATAAATAGAAAGACAACTGAACCCCATATTACCTTCTCTAATGAAGATCTGGTGAGAGGGGAAGTAATCATGACTCCTGTACCAGACTGTAAAACCCTTGAGAACAGAATGTTTTCTTCACTATTGAGTCCAAAGCCTTTTGAAAGAATTTGTATGGTACATGCTTGTTCCTATTTGAGCCTTCTGGCAACTCTATGGCAAATGGGAAAAACATAGTTTAATGTAAAATTCCCATTTTGCAATTAAGGAAGTACTTCCTCATGAGTCAAAGAGTACTCGGAGTATACAGCAGTAGACAAGGGATGGAGTCAGGCTTGAATCAGAATCCTGATTCCACCACTGATTTATTATGAGACTTTGGGTAAATGATTTAATTTTGCAGACCTAAAACAAGTATAACAATTCCCAATTCAAGAGGATATTGTAAAAATTAAATAAAATGATGAATAAGAAATAGCCAAGCACTAATCAGATGTTCAATATAGATTGCTCTCTTATCTTCTCTTCCCTTTCCCTCACTTTCTGATGTCAACCCTGGACCCTTGCTAGAATTTAATGGCCACTGACAAAAGCAAAATAGATCACCAACCAATGATGATAAAAGTCAATGAAAGCAATGAACTGAGGAAGATGTATAACTCAATCCTTTGCACCAAGGAATAAAACAAACGAGTACTTACCTGGAAAGGTGGAGTGCATGTATCTATATCCCACATAGTCAAGAATAATAAAAGGATGTATTTGTAAGTGAATATGTTATTTTATGAATATATGAACTCCTCTACCCAGCTTTGATTTTATGAAAAGTTGATCCTCATTGCCTCTCCATATGGAAACAACAATTTTATTAAAATAATTCACCAAATATCTTGTAGTTGACTGATTCAGAAATAAGCACCTGACCCATGTTGAGCTAATAAAAATTTTCCATCAGCATTGTGAAGCTGAACATGTAAAAGAGATTCAGAATAGAAAACCAGGTTGACCAAGGTGAAGAATATCCAAATAGCTACTAAATGTATGAAGAGCTGCTTATTCTCATTAGGAAATGAGAATAATAAGCATCATTCTCGTAAGAATTTTATCAGGAAATGCATACTTAAAACCATAATAAGTTCACTAAGTTAGCAAGAATTTAAAACTATGATACCACTGTGTTGACAAGGATATGAAAAATGAGTAGTATAAATGGGTTTAACAACTTTATAAAACAATTTGGCAATCCTTTAGAAATAAAAAATATATAACCAGTGACCCAGCTATTCCAGTGGCCTAGCTATACACACTGGAGAAACTCTTGCCCATGCACACTAGGATATGGGTACAGAATGTTCATGAAGCATTGTTGTAATAGCACAAAACTCAAAACACTTTCCTTCGGTTTTTCTTTCTTCTGGCCTGGGGAATGAATGTGATGGCTGGAGCCCTGGCAGCTATTGTGGACCATAAGTTGACCTTAAAGATGAAAGCAATGCATAGAAAACAGCAGAGCAGGGAAAAAGAGAAGCCTAAGTCCCTGATGACATTTTTAATCCACCCTATGGGCCCTGGGCTGCCTATCCTCGGGCTTCTTTTATGTGAGAAGGAAACATTCATCTTATTAAAGAAAGTAATTAGAAACAATATAATTTTTAAAATAGGCTAAACAAAGTCACAATATAGGGATATATACACATATGACAAAGCTTTAAATCACACAAGTAAATGGTTATAACCACAGCCAAGATATAGGAGCAAGGGGAGTTGTGAAAGGGGAGAACTTCATAGGAACTTCTGGAGAGAGGAAGTATTCTATTTATCTTTGTCTGATAGCAATTGCCTGAGTATTTGTTTTTAAAGATTTTTATTAAACTGTATTCATTTTAAGGTACTTCTTTGTATATGTATTATATTTCATTTAAAAATACAAACAGATATGCAGACCCCCATTGCACCCCTAAACTAGCATGGAAGCCTGAGTCATGGGTTCGACGCCCATGTCAGACAGTGGCACACACCTCTCTTTCCTTGGCAACAACATAGTGGGATTCAAGGGAAGTTAGGAGACTCCTCCTCAGTTATGGCTTTTCCCTGCTCTGTTGTTTTGACTGATTTTCCACCATTAAAGCAGCCTTCCTTTTCTTTATTTTTAATTGACAAAAACTGTACGCACCTGTGGTGTACAACATCATGCTTTGATATATGTATGCATTGTAGAACTACTAAATCCAGCTAATTATTAATAACATGCATATACCAGATGAGTGCTTGGCTACATCTTATTCATTTTATTTAATTTGTACAATATCCTCTTGAATTAGGAATTGCTTTATTTGCTTTAGATCTGAGAAATTAAATTATTTACCCAAAGTCTCACAATAAATAACATTTTTGTTATTGCAAGTAAATTAGCTTGATTTAGCAGTTCTACAGTGCATACGTATATCAATACATATGTTATTGTTAATTATGATAAATATTTTTGTGGTGAGAATATTTAAAACTACTCTCTTAGCTATTTTCAAGTTTCAATTCTCAAAGCAGCTTTTCTTTATGTCAAAGTTAAATATCCTGTACAACTGAACGCTTATCCCAGGGAACATTTAGAAGGCAGGTGATTAAACTGAAGAATGCCTGGTGCTTAAGGCTCCGCACAGAATAGTACGGACAGGTAAGCCATGTGGACAGGCAAGCCTATGAGGAGTTCAGCCAGGCTTCCTAGAATCCAGGCTAATAGATGAGACCAACCTGCTCAAACCCATTGCAGCCGGAAGTCCCAGTTTCCTCCTCCTGACTGCCTTCACCACCACTCTGACCATCCCACACAACCTCTAGCTGGCATTGGAGAAGCTGTGTGACCTCAAGCAAGACATACAACACAACCCCTCTGGGTCTGCTTCCTCATCTGTAATGTGTCAAAGTATTAAACCACAATTAATTTTGCACCAATCTAATAGATCTGGATCATCTCATTTCTTTCTAACTCTGAAGGAAGTGGCATGAAGGTGACAGTGCTCATTCCCCAAAGAGCAACAGAGAAGCATGGGAAAGTATATCATTCAGGGTCTGCCACTTACCCTCCTGAGCCTTTTCATCCCCAGACCCAATGTTTGCCTACCTAGATGAAGAGAAAGGAGGATTTAATATCCCTGTAGTCAGCTCTAACTGAAGGTAACAGGCTTCTCCCAGAAGTTGGAAGCCCTGTCATACTCATTAATTTATGGTTTGCAGGCAAGACTGGGCTCACACAACCCCCACTAAGGGGAGGTAAATCATCACAGTGACTTGCAGAGAAAAGGAGAGAGTCTCTCTTTCATTTATCATTACCAATTTCATACATAAGCATCATCTTAGGTGATGTAGACAAAATGATAAAACCACCCAAGGATACAATTGGATCAGAAAATTCAGTGATTCAGAAACAAGATGGTCTTAATTGGGTTGTTTGGGAAATAAGGCAAAACAGCTGGGCACCTGGAGGACCTATGAGGTCCAAGGCTCTGAATTTTACCCAGCAATGCTGTGTAAAACTAGGCGTACTGTTGGCCCTGCTACCTGCTGGGGTGGGTTCAAAGGTGGGTTTCTAGCATATGCATAAAATTGGCCAGAAGAAGATTTGGTGATTGCATTTTTTGTGGGTTTCAGATTCTCACAGCAGCAATCTCATTCTCCTTGGACCTGCTCAGAAACAGAAGAAATATTAACAGTTCTTCACAGAAGCTCTTCACAGGAGCACAAGGACCAGCTCTTTCCCTATGAGGTAATGTAAATTCTATAATTATATTATGCTTGGAAATAAAATACATTCCAGAGACTATTCAATGTGCTTTCCAATTTTTGAACATAATTTAAACATTATCTGTGTGACCTTTTAGATAAGTTATTTATCTTCCCCAGCCTTCAGTTCTGTCTTCCATAAAACAGGCACAGAAAGGCACACTTTGCAGAGGCTATAATCAGGAACAAATATGTCAAGTGCAGGGGACAATAGTTGGCATAGAGTTATATTATTACCCCCCTATACAACACCATCACCAACTGCTCAAAGCATGAACTGCGAATGAGCTAGCCAGCTCTGAGTAGGTTGTCCCCACTGGTGATATTTGTAAGAAAGCTATTTGCAACAAGAACCTTTTGAGAAGATAATGTGGAAATGGTTGTTACAGGAAGAGAGAGTACAATGAGGGGGGTAATGAGTTGGGAAGTGTCTCCTAGCCTCTGGCTGTCCTGCAGCAGTCCTCCCACCCCCATGGTCCCATCCTGGACTTGTTAGTTCTGGTTTGTACTTTCATGAATCTGTTGCCTTTCCTGAGGCACCAAATGGGACACTAGTGTTGAGGTCCCATCAAGATTGACTTGGGAGGGAATGTTTTCTGACTTACTGGGTGAAAGTCACTTCTCTGGACTTCATTGTTCTCTTTTGCAAAATGAAGAAAATATAGTAGACCAGGTGCATTAAAATTTTCTTTAACAGTAGAGCCCTGCTTCTAAGCAAAATGAAATGAAGCACCTCATTGTTTATAAGAATTCTGAGGCTGAAATGGCAGCACCCACCTGCTGAGCCTTCCCTTCACATCCCACTGCTGTGTCTCCTTGAGACAGCTCTTCCAGAGCTGAGGCTGAGGAACATAGCTAGAAAACCACAGAACCACATCACCAAGGTCCTCTCCAACTCTAGGGTTCTGTGTGTCCATAAGTCCTGGGTCTCTGAGGGTGATCGTGGGTATTTTCAACAAGTGTTGAGAGGAGCATAGTGAGCCACCACTACCAGTGTGTCAGGATTTGCTGAGCCCACTCTGACAGCCATGTGCACAATGAGTGATCCCTAAACACTGGAAAAACAAGTCACTCAGATGCTTGCCTGACATAATGCCACATCCAAATGTAGGGCATCAGACATATATGGGCACAGAAACTAACGGATAAGCTTGGGGTTTCCAGGAATGTTCTTATTGTGTAGGTTTTCCCATTGAGAAAATCATTGACGTTCATGGTTGGGACATTGCAAGTTGTAGCTACCACTCTCCAGGAGAAAGCTGACAGATGAATGCATCCCTCTAGGCAAAAGAGGTCAATCAGAGAGAGTATGACAGCATCTATTCTCAGGCTGCATAAACAAAGTTATGCAAGTCCAACGGGACATGTCCAGGGCTGGACTAAAAGGTATGGCCCTTCTAGGAAAAAAAGGTACTGTGGTTGGCCAATCATAACAACATAAATCCTAATAGGTAGTGAGACATAGCTATCAGTTTGTAAAGCATATGATTATTTAGAAATCTGAATCTGTGGTTTATTTAGTTCCCATATTGAATCACTTAAAGTAATCTTCTAAGCGCCTCAAAGAAACATATTTATAATCTTTTTTTTTTTCTTTGAGACGAAGTCTCACTCTGTCACCTAGGCTAGAGGGCAGTGGTGTGGCCTCAGCTCACTGCAACCTCCACCTCCCGGGTTCAAGAAATTCTCCTGCCTCAGCCTCCCAAGTAATTGGGATTACAAGCACAGGCCACCACACCTGGCTAATTTTTTGTGTGTGTTTTTAGTAGAGACAGAGTTTCACCATGGTGGCCAGGCTGGTCTCAAACTCCTGACCTCAGGTGATCCACCTGCCTCTGCCTCCAAAAGTGCTGGGATTACAGGCATGAGCCACCACACCTGGCCCATATTTATAATCTTATGATTCAGAGACAGACAAAGCAGAAACAGTACTGGAAGATCATCTAGTCAAGCATGTCCTGAAGCATAGATTACATACCTCAAAATTTCCATGCCCACCCCCCCCAAAAAGGACTCGTGGCTAAATAATCATGTAAAATGCTACCTCAAGAAGAGTTATTAAGTCATAGAATAGGATAGTAGATTGGAGTGAGAATTCAAGATGTCTATACTAGAAAGTTCCAAAATGAGTCATGGTCACAATAAGGACAAGTCCAGAAGAGATGCCATTGTGTCAGCCCCAACTGCAACCCAGGCTGAAGGCATGAGCCATGTTTTGTGTCATGTATGGTCCCTTTGAACACAGTAGAGAGTTAATATGTAGGATGGCTACATACCTTCAACGTTCTAATTTATGTACTGGCCACTCCAAAAAAGCAGCTGGATAAATCAAAATCTCTTTTGAAGAGATTTGAATTAAGAAACCCTGAAATAATTTTTCTATTTCAACAGAACTAAAGGCGATGGACCTCCATGAGGTGATGAGCCACAGCAATGTATAAGTCAAATTCATGAGAAAGCAGAGAAGGTTTTAAAACAATAGGAAACTCCTTTGACAGAGGATTAGAAAGGAGCAGACAGTTGAAGCACAGAATAATCACAGTAAAAGCAGTGCTCTGGAGTAAAGATGCATAAACTCCTGCTCTTAAGGTCCTGAGCATCTCCTTAAATTCAGTACTCTAGGACTCCCTTCCATTCTCAGTTTCCATTAGACCCACCTCCATTAGGCTAAAGGAGGTGGGAGCAATAGGTGAAACCAGGGTTGTCCTTGCCCATGCTAACACTCATCAGTAGATTTTATATGCATCAATTTCCACACATTAGTGGAGTTGTTAATTATTAGGAATTTGGTGAATCTGGTATTCTTTCCAAGTCTGGAATACCAGAACTTTGGGTTTGCCTCATGAGCCATGAAATCCCTAGGCTCAAAATCAGTAGGCAGCCCTGAAGGATTCTGTGGAAGTTCTGTGACTGGTAGGACCCCATATTTCACAAACAAGTCCCTAAACCTGATTCCAGACAGCCTCCCAGTGAGTCTTGCAATTGCTGATGGAGGCGACTCCACCCACTCTCCAGGGACTTCATCCTGGAGATCACAGTCCAGAACAATCAGTAGCTGACAAAGGAACTTCCACTACCAGAAAGGGAATAATCAGCCTGATTTCTATAGAAAACTGATTTTACCAAACACTATGAACCCTTTCCATGAACTACCTCTAGAGTACAGAGGTAACAATTAAAGTAGAAGGCGTACTGTCGAGAAGGACCAGTGTAGGATAGCAAAACAAGAAATGTCTTGCTGTTATGACACAATGGTTTAAATCTTGGCTTCAGCACTTGCAATTTATTCTTTGACAAGTCACCTTAACTTCCTGAACCTCAGATAATTCATTTCAAGAGTGAAACTCATAAGAGCTATTCCAGGATTATTGGGAGGAATCACTAAATTAATGTGGAAATGTCTAACACAGAATAAAGGCTCCATAAACCTAATGGTTTCACAGAATCACTGTCTTTCATGGTCCCTCAAGAAAAGAAACTCAAGGCAGGTGATGACATAGTTCATAGGAGAGCAAAAATAGATTACGAAAGTGCTCACAAGGAATTGTTGGGATAACTGGGAATGTTTGACTTGGAGAAGAAGAAACTATATAAAAGTGGGCATTACCACTATCTGTCTTAGAAGAGAGTTGGTTTTACCCAACACACAGAGCCAAGCATAATACTAATGTGTAGGAGGTATAGAAAGAGCAATCTAGCTTACTCAACAAGTAGATTTTCCAAAGGCAGAGTGGACAGAAAGCCTCCATCACATAAAGAGCTCTGCCACTGACAACCCTGGAGGCACCATTCACATGACATCTGTATGAATGGCCCTGCCTGGAGTCATGCAGCCACAGCCTAAGAAGCCACATAGAGGCAGCCCTCATGCACACCTGAGCTAGATAACAATTTGGGGAGATTATTCTAGCACAGAGGGACCCCATATTGGTCCCTTCCAGTCTTGATGGTCTAACATTCTCTGGTCTTAAAGAAAACATCCCAGACAATAAGCAAGTGAATTTGAAGAAAAACTGCACCAAGGTCCAATTTCAGGTGGGATGCAGAGAGAGATAAAAGCTCTCCATAGTAACTGCCAGTTGTGGACTCAAGATGGTAAATACTTTTTTTCTCTCTGAGCAGAGGCTGGGACATTTACTTAACATCTGACGCTGAAGAAAGCAAAGACCTTTAGTTCTGGAATCTCAATTTCATTATCTTCTTCAGGTGAACCAGCTATATTGAGCCTATGGCCAAAAGAAATCTCAGCACTGTGACAGAGTTCATTCTTGTAGTCTTCACAGATCACCCTGAACTGGCAGTTCCACTCTTCCTAGTGTTTCTCAGTTTCTATCTTGTCACTTTTCTGGGGAATGGGGGGATGATCATTCTAATCCAAGTGGATGCCCAACTCCACACCCCCGTGTACTTCTTCCTGAGCCACCTTGCTTTCCTGGATGCCTGCTGTGCCTCAGTAATCACCCCTCAGATTCTGGCCACACTGGCCACAGACAAGACAGTTATCTCCTATGGCTGCCGTGCTGTGCAGTTCTCTTTCTTCACCATATGTGCAGGCACAGAGTGTTACCTGCTGTCAGTGATGGCCTATGACCGCTTTGTTGCCATTAGCAATCCACTGCACTGTAACATGACCATGACTCCAGGTACCTGCAGGGTCTTTTTGGCCAGTGCCTTCATCTGTGGGGTGTCAGGGGCCATTCTGCATACCACGTGCACCTTCACCCTCTCCTTCTGTTGTGACAATCAGATCAACTTCTTCTTCTGTGACCTCCCACCCCTGCTGAAGCTCGCCTGCAGCAGCATGACACAAACTGAGATTGTCATTCTCCTTTGTGCAAAATGCATGTTCCTAGCCAATGTCATGGTTATCCTGATCTGCTACATGCTCATTATCAGAGCCATTTTGAGGGTGAAGTCGGCAGGTGGGTAAGCCAAGACCTTCTCCACCTGCACCTCCCATCTCACCACTGTTGTCCTCTTCTTTGGGACACTTGCCTTCATGTACCAGAGAAGTAACTCCGCCAAATCCTCAGAGGAAGACAAGATAGTGTCTGTCTTTTACACTGTAATCATCCCTATGTTGAACCCCTTGATCTACAGTCTGAGGAACAAAGATGTAAAAGCTGCATTTGGAAAACTCGTTGGTAAATTCCAATTTCCAACGAATGTAGCTTTTGATGAGGGTCCTTCATCATGACCCATCTTTTCTCCAGGTCTTCATATTCTGGTGGGCATCATCACCAGATGGTGATTTCCCTCAACAATGTACAGTAGGTAGTTTTCTTCAGTGCCTGTAAGTGGGCAGGAACTACCTGTCCTGTAGAGGAAAATGCAAGTTTCATGATGTTGGTTTGGATGACTTCCTCTACCTCCATTTTTCTTCCCCGCTCTCTCCTTAGCCCTCCCAAACTTTCTGGATTCTAGGGCTACTCTCTGGCATCACAGAGATAAAAAGTAGCATAGTCATAAGCGAACTGATTACCATATCCAACCTCCCACTCCCCAACTCAGCCATGCTTGGGTTTCTTAGTTGCCCTTACTTATTCTTCTGTTACTGTGCTCATTGACACTGACTTTACTCTTTGTAGAAAATTATAGCTATAAATTGTACTAATTGGAGAATAAGGGTTTTTTGTGGTATGGATAACCTACCAACTCACTATAAAGTGAATGAAAAGAACCTATGAACTCAGTGAAATTTCTAATCAGAAAAAATTAGAATAGATAGGGAAAGGGTGCTTTCTTTTGGCTACTCTTCCTCTAATGTCTTCCTAAATGGTTTCTAATATCTGCAGGACTATAATATCTTCTTCTTAAGTGACAGTTCTCTAGATTCTGAATCTCCAATTTCTTTTTTTCTCCTCCTAAACACAGTGCCTGCCTCATGACAATTACTGCTCTCAGGCTTGTTCCCAGGGTCTGCAAAGTCAACAATGATAGACCTGTAGCAAGTAGTCTCAATTGATACTACTTTCTCAGGTAAAAATAGCCTCTATGATTATAGAAGTAATTATTGTCCACATCAGATGGTGAACTCCTGAGGACAGGGTCATAATGCTTCATTTAATACTCTCTTCTATATTGCTGCTTCTGGTACACTGAAAACTACTATACATTTATGAAAGAAATTAA
Source organism: Homo sapiens (assembly GCF_000001405.40). Lineage (NCBI taxonomy): Eukaryota > Metazoa > Chordata > Mammalia > Primates > Hominidae > Homo > Homo sapiens. The sequence goes on along the minus strand of NC_000011.10, from coordinate 58,107,757 downwards.
AGAAGAGACAAATAAATAGAAAGACATCCCACATTCGAGTGTAAACTAGTTCAACCATTATGGAAGACAGTGTGGTGATTCCTCAAGGATCTAGAACCAGAAATACCAACTGACCCAGAGATCCCATTGCTAGGTATATACCCAAAGGATTACAAATCATGCTACCATAAAGACACGTGCACACGTAAGTTTATTACGGCACTATTCACAATAGCAAAGACTTGGAACCTACCCAAATGTCCATCAATGATAGACTGGATTAAGAAAATGTGGCACATATACACCATGGAATACTATGCAGCCATAAAAAAGGATGAGTTCATGTCCTTTGTAGGTACATGGATGAAGCTGGAAACCATCATTCTGAGCAAACTATCACAAGGACAGAAAACCAAACACCGCATGTTCTCACTCATACTGGGAATTGAACAATAAGAACACTTGGACACAATGTGGGGAACATCACACCCCAGAGCCTGTCATTGGGTGGGGGTATGGGGAAGGGATAGCATTAGGAGAAATACCTAATGTAAATGACGAGTTAATGGGTGCAGCAAACCAACATGGCACATATATACATATATAACAAACCTGCACATTCTGCACATGTACCCTAGAACGTAAAGTATAATTTAAAAAAAAAGAAAGACATCCCACATTCATTAATTGGAAAACTTAATATTACTAAAATATTCATTTTATCCAAAGCAATCTACAAATTTAATGCTATTCCCATCAAAATCCCAATGGCATTTCTTAGAGAAATAGAAATTGTATATGGAACAATAAAATACCTAGAATAGCTAAGGCAATCTTGATAAAGAAGAATAAGCCAGAGGCATCACATTTCCTGATTTCAAAATATAGTAATTCAAACAGTATTGTACTGACATAAAAATAGACATATACATCAATGGAACAGAATAGGCAGCCCAGAAATAAACTCTCACATATATGGTCAACTGATCTTTGACAAAGGTGCCGAGAATACACAATGAGGGAAAAGACAGTCTCTTCGATAACTGGTGTTAAGAAAACTGCATGTCACTATGCAAAAGAATGACACTGGACCCTACGTTATGCACACACAAAAATTAACTCTAAACAGATTAAAAACTTAAATGTAAGACCTGAAACTGTAAAACTCCTAAACAAAATAGGAGAAAAGCTTCATGACATTGGTCTTGCCAGTAATTTCATAGATAATGACACCAAAAACACAAACAAAAAAATCCAAAATTGATGAGTGGAACTACATCAAACCAAATACCTTCAGCACAGCAAAGGAAACAATCATCAGAGTGAAAAAGCTACCCAAAGAATGGGAAAAAATATTTGCAAGCCATCTGTTTAATAAGAAGTTAATTGCTAAAATATATATCGAACTCCGGCAACTCAATTGTAATAAAATAAATAATACAATTAAAAAATGGACAAAGGAACTGAATATATATCTATACAAAGAAGACCTACAAACAGCCAACAGGTATATTAAAAGGTGCTCAGCATCACTAAATCATAAGGGAAATGCAAATCAAAACTACAATGAGATACCACTTCACACCTATTTTGAAGACCATTATTAAAAAAAAAAAAAAGATAGCAAATGTTGGTGAGAAAGTACAAAAATTGGAACCCTTGGATGTGTTCCAGTGTCCAAGGGGGTGGAACATGTTTGTGGGGATGTTAAATGGTACAGCCACTATGGGAAACAGTAGAGAGTTTCCTCAAAAAATTAAAAATAGAATTATCAAATGATCCAGCAGTCCCACTCCTGGACATATATCCAAAAGAGTTTAAATTAGGATCTCGAAGAAAGATCTGCACTCCCACATTCGTTGCATCATTACTCACAACAGCCTAGATATGGAAACAATCCAAGCATCCATCAACAGAATGGGTAAACCAAATGTGGTATAGACAAAAAAACAGAATATTAGTCAGCCTTAAACTGGAAATTTTACCATTTGCTACAAGATGATGAACCTGGAAGACATATGCTTAGTCAAATAAGTCACAGACAGAAAATACTGTATAATTCCACTTTTATGAGGGATCTAAAATATTTAAACTTATAGAAGCGGAAAATACAATAGTGGTTGCCAAGGCATGAAGGGAAGGGAAAATGGATATGAAGTTACACTTAAAAAAGATGAATAAGTCCCAGAGATCTACTGCACAACCTAGAGCCTATAGTTAACAATAAAGTTTTGTAAACTTAAAAGTTTATGAAGAGGGTAGATCTCATGTAATTGTTCTTCCCACAAAAAAAGGAAAAGGGACAAAAGGAAACTTTTGAAGGTGGCGAATATTTTTGTTATTTTGATTTTGGTCGTGGTTTTATATGTAAGCATATGACCAAATTCATCACATTTTATATATTAAATATGTACAGTTTTTGGTATATCAATTATACCTCAATAAAGGTATAAATTAATTGCTGCTTCAGAATAAATCTTACAGAGCATTGTCGTCATTTCATTTGCATGTCATGGCAACTCAAATGGTTGAGTAATAAAGTATTATTAGTGTCTATCTTACCTTCTCTACACAATTTCTTAAAGATAATATCTGGTTAACCAGGGGTGTAGATGCAGAAATGCATAGAATTTATAATAAAAGTGGACTTGTATCCTCTCTGCTATTTAATAACTCTGTAAACTACAAAAAAAAAAAATCTACCTTCTCAGAACATCAGTTTCCTCAAATCAAAAAAGAACAATATTTCCTACTTGAAAGAATTGTTATAAAAATTAAAGATGATGAAAATTAATTTGTAAGTTTGGATTAGTCCGAATTGGTTAGGTTTTCTGCAGCAACAATCGACTCCAAAAAAATATGTTATTTATTGTTCACAATGCTTGACTCAGGCAAATTGACAGGGGGATCTGCTTCATGTAGCCATTCAGGCACCCAGGATTAAAGAAGCCCCACCATTTTAATAGCTATACTGTCCGGAACATGCAATCTCCTCAATCACCAGAGCAGAGGATAAAAAACTACAAATTCACACATGAACATTTACTGCTTCAGTGCATTGGTTAAAACTAGTCACATAGTCCTGCCTCACTAAAAGGAGCCCATCAAAGATAAAAGAAAAGTGTTGCATTGGCTAAGCAATACTGACTCTCCTAGAGATTATCTGCGGTTACAATTATTAACATTCCAAAAAATCATGAATAATCAGATTACTTTTTTATTGTTCATTTTATTTCCTACAAATCACTCCTCCCATATTCGGGGAAATTATTATGTTTTGCCTGTACAAAAGCTTATTTTGTATAGGCAAAATACACTTATTTTTGGATACCTCAGATGGTACTGGAGAAGATTTGGGAAAAAGCAATTTTAGGGGTAGGGAATGAAGACTTCTGTTCTGGGAATGTTTTACATTAAAAAAAAAAAAAACTACCATCCAACTGAGAATTGGCCTTTCTCTCTCTCTTATCCTTCTTCCTCTTTATCCATGGGCTTCTTTCTTTTCTTTCTTCTCCACTCCTTCAGTTCATATGGCAGGTCATGGCCTTGTACAAAATACAAGCTTCATATATTTTAGTTTTACTCAGTATATATTTTTTCATATTTTTGGCTTCAGATAGTAAAGTGTTTTAGGCTACATTGTATTTCACTAATAATATTCCCAGAGAAGGATTCTGATTAATTGAGTTTGGCTTAGATGCCAATGCATGTTTGAATGAAATCTGGCCTGGTAGAAAAGAATATTTTGTGCAAAATGACTACTCCAAAAGTATCCATGCTACTGATGCAGTGCATGCCCATGCACACCCTTGGCCTGAGAACCAGTCCAGTGAGCCCACCCCCAGCAAAGCCACACCTCTGCTACTACAAATTCCCAAAGTCTAACCCACTGAGACACTCACAAACACTACTAATATGGATTATAGCTGAAGAAGCTGCTAAAACACACTACTGTGCTTACCCAGAATAAAAGCCAATGCACTCTGCCCAATTGACATCCTAGGCCCCATCTATGGTAATAATTCTTTCCTTATGAAAGCTACTCCAGTAAATTGAAAGAGGTGACTATTCCACCAGATGCACTGATAATGTAGCAGCATGAGAAACATTAAAAAGTAAAAAACAAAAACAAAACATGACACTTCTAAAGGAACACAATAATTTTCCCTTAGCAGATCTCAAAAAATGAAATTTATGAAATGTAAAAAAAAACAAAATATTAATCTTCGTGAAATTCAGTGAGATACAAGAAAATATAAATATATAATTCAACAAAATCAGGAAAATAATTCATGATCTGAGTGAAAAATTTAACAAAGAGATAGATGTCATAAAAAACAATGAAAAAGAAATATTGGATACTGATATGATTTGCCTATATCCCCACCCAAATCTCATCTTGAACTTGTAATTCCCATAATCACCGCATGTTGTGGGAGGGACCCAGTAGGAAATAATTGAATCACAGGGGCGGTTACCTCCATACTATTCTCATGATGGTGAGTGAATTATCATGAGATCAGATAGTTTTATAAGGGGCTTCCTCCTCTTCACTCTGCACTTCTCCTTGCTGCCGCCATGTGAAGCAGGACGTGTTTTCTTCCCTTTCTGCCATGATTGTAAGTTTCCTGAGGCCTCCCCAGCCCTGTGGAACTGTGAGTCAATTAAACCTCTTTCCCTTATAAATTATCCAGTCTCAGGTATGCCCTTATAGCAACGTGAGAATGGACTAATATAGATGCAAAGAATTCAGTGAATGAAATCAAATCAAATAAACAAGTGAGAGCTTCAACAACAGATTAGATCAAGCAGAAGAAAGAATTTATGAACTTGTGAAGAAAACTCCCAGGGCTTATGGGACACCGCTAAGTGAACAAATATACATGCTATGGATGCTAAAGAAGAAGAGATGGGGGAAAGTGTAGAAAACTTATTTAATGAAATAATAGCTGAAAATTTCCAAAGTCTTGAGAGAGATATGAACATCCAGATCCAGGAACTTTAAAAGTCCCTAAATAAATTCAACCCAACCGATCCTCTCTGGAGCACATTTTAGTGAAACTTTAAAAAGTCAAAGAGAATTCTAAAAACAGGAAGAGAATATGTCAAGTCACATATAAGGGAATCCCCGTTCCACTAACAGAAGACTTCTCAGAAGAAACCTTGCAGGCCAAGAGAAAATGAAATGATATACTCAAAATGCTGAAAGAAAAAAAAAAACCTGCCACCCAAGAATACTATACCCAGAAAAGCTTTGCTTCAGAAATGATAGAGAAATAAAATATTTTCAAGAAAGGAAAGACTGAGGAAATTCATCAACACCAGGCTGGCCTTACAAGAGATACTTAAGGAGTCCTACATCTGGAAGTGAAAGGACAATAACTACCATCATGAAAACACATGAAAGTATAAAACTCACAGAAAGAGCAGAAGGAGAAAGGAATCAAACCTTATCAATACAGAAAAACACTAAACTGCAAAGATAAATAATGAGAGGAAAAAAGTTAAAAAGGGTAAAAAGGGTATACAAAACAACTACAAAACAACCAGAAAGCAATTGACAAAATGACAGAAGTCCTCACTTACCAATAGTAAGCTTGAATGTAAATGAATTAAATTATCTAATTAAAAAGTATACACTAGCCAAATCAGAAAAAAAACAAAAGACCTAACTATAGTCTATGGATCAAAGACTTAAATCTAAGATCCAAAACTGTAAAAATTCTGGAAGATGGCCGGGCGTGGTGGCTCACACCTGTAATCCCAGCACTTTGGGAAGCCAAGGGGGGTGGATCACCTGAGGTGGGGAGTTTGAGACCAGCCTCACCAACATGAAGAAACCCCGTCTGTACTAAAAATACAAAATTAGCCAGGTGTGGTGGTGCACACCTGTAATCCCAGCTACTCGGGAGGCTGAGGCAGGAGAATCTCTTGAACCTGGGAGGCGGAAGTTGCAGTGAGCTGAGATTGTGCCATTGCACTCCAGCCTGGGCAACAAGAATGAAACTCTGTTACAAAAGAAAAAAAAATTTTGGAAGATAACTTAGGAAACCTGTTCTGGACATTGACCTAGGCAAAGAATTTATGACTAAGACCCCAAAACCAAATGCAACCAAAACAAGAATAGATAAATGGGACCTAATTAAACTAAAACGCTCTGTACAGCAAAAGAAATAATCATCAGAGTAAACAGACAACCCACAGAATGGGAGAAAATATTTACAAACTATGTATCCAACAAAGGACTAATAACTAGAATCTACACGGAACTCAAATCAGTAAGAAGTAAAAGTAAATAATCTCATCAAAAAGTGAGCAAATGACATGAATAGACATTTCTCAAAAGAAGATATACAAATAGCCAACAAACATATGAAACAATGTTCATCACTAATCATTAGACAAATGCAAATTAAAACCACAATGAGATACCACCTTACCAGAGCCAGAATAGCCATTATTAAAAAGTCAAAAAACAATAAATGTTGGCATGGATGTGGCAAAAAAGGAATGCTTACACACTGCTGGTGAAAATGTAAATTAGTTCAACCTCTATGGAAAACAGTATAAAGATTTCTTAAGGAACAGAACAAGACTCTTTCTTATATATAAATACTATATATATGTTTATTTATTCATAAAAATATAAATATATGTATAGTCATTCTATTGTGTTATCAAAAACTAGGAGTTAATTATTCTATCTAACTGTATTTTTGTACCCATTAACCAACCCATCTTTTCCTTCCAACCCCACTACACTTCTCAGGTTCTGATAACCACCACCATTCAACTCACTACCTCCATGATACCAATTTTTTAGCTCCCACATATGAATGAGAAAATGTGATAGTTATCTTTCTGTGCCTGGCTTATTTCACTTGACACAACGTTCTCCAGTTCCATCCATGCTGCTGCAAATGAAAAAATTTCATTCTTTTATATGGATGAACAGCCATATAAAATTCCGTTGTGTATATATGCCATGTTTTCTTCATCCATTCATCCATTGATGACCACCTAGAATTCTATACTCTGTAAAAATATAATTCAATAATGAATTCTAAATAGACATCTTCAGATAAATTGAAGCTGAAAGAAATAGTTTCAGTAGACACAAACTATAAGAAATATTCAATATAAATATAAACATACAGAAAATAAATATAAATATAAAAGAAATAGTGGCAAATGAACACTTTTATCTATAGGAAGGGGAAAAACACCATAAAGCGTAAACATGTGTAACATAAAATACTGCTTTTTCAAATTTTTAAGGAACTACTGAATGTCTAATTAAAATAACAATTTATGATAAAGTTTATAACACATACAAAAGCAACATATATGACAATTATAGCACAAAGGACAAAGGGAAAAAGTAAACGGAATTATACCATTGCAAGTTTTTACATTGAACATGAAATGGTATAAAATTAACTCAAGGCAATCTATAATAAATTAAGGGTATGTGTTGCCATTTTTAGAGCAGCCACTATGGGATGAACAAAAAATAGCCATATGCTGTCTAGAGATCCTTCCATTGAGAGTTAGAGTCTACAATAAATGTGGCAAAGTGATGTTGTATGAGTTCTGAGCCAAGGTTTCAAGAAGACTTACAGCTTCTGCTCTCACTCTCTTGAAATGCTGCTCCAAGGGTTAGCATTCTTAAGGATGAGAGACTACCTGGCGTGGGAGAGCCAGCCAACCCAGCCCACCTAGCTTTGTAACCAGCCTACACTATGTGGAACAGAAACTAAGGCACCCCATCTAATGTGATTTACAAAATATTACGAGTCAATAAGTGTGTGTCATTTTAAGTAACTAAATTTGGGAGTAGTTGATAGTCACCAAAAGGATGTATGTTGTAACTTAAGCACAGCTATTTTAAAAAATGATTCAAACAAGTATGGCTAAAAAGCCAAAAGACAAGCTAAAACAAAATAGTAAGGAAAAAACATGATTGATTCAAAAGAAAGGAAAAGAGAAACAAGAAAACAAAGAGAAAATGTGACAAATAGAAAGGAAATTCCCAGATAAAAAACTTAAACTGGGTCACATCAGTAATTTCATTAGATGTAAATGGATGAAGCCGATCAACCAAAAGACAAAGACTGCCATACTATTAAAAATAAGATCCACCTATATGCTACTTGCAAGGGACACAGTTCAAGGAAAAGGACACAAATGGGTTGAAAATAAAAGAACGGAAAATTATATGCCACACAAACACTAAGCATAAGAAAGCCAGGGTGCCTATATTAATGTTAGACAAAAGAGACTTTGGAACAAATAATATAACCAGAGATAAAGAAAAACATTTCATAATGACAAGATGATGAATTTATCAGATGGACCATAACAACCTTACATATCTGTGCACCCAATAACATAGCTTCAAAATACAATAAGGTATAATGTACAGAAATAATGTTATATATATTATGTTATATGTTTTATATATTATATTATGTTATATATTTTATATTATTTTATATATTATATATAATGTATAGAAATATATAATTTATAGAAAGAGTAGGCAAAAAATCATTTAGGATAAATAAGATTTGAAAAACACTATTAAGCAACCTCACCTATTTGATATATAGGAAATGCTACATCCCAAACCAGCAGACTTCAAATTCCATTCAAGTGTATATAGAATATTCACCAAAATGGATCACATGTTGGTCAGGTTTAATAAATCACAAAGGATTGAAATCAAACCAAATATGTTATTTTACCACAATGGTATGAAACTAGTAATACAAGTAATTAATAACAAAAAGAAATTGAACAACACACTCCTAAATAACTCATGCATGGATGAATAAACCATGCATAGGAATAGGAAAATACTTTAAAATCAACACTAGTGAAATAAACATGAAACTTAATGGGATGATTCTAAAGTAGTGTTTAGAATTCTAAATGACTGTAGTAGGAAAGAAAAATCTAGAATCAATGATCCAAGCTTCCGACTCAAGAAGCTAGAAAAAGAAAATCGAATTAAATCCAAAGAAAATCAAAGAAGACATAAGAACGAGAAGACATCAATAAAACAGAAAACAGATGAATGTCAATTATACCTCAACAAAGCTGCTAATAAAAATAGATTATTTATTTATTTATTTGTTTATTTTAGACGGAGTCTCGCTCTGTCGCCCAGGCTGGAGTGCAGTGACGTGATTTCGGCTCACTGCAAGCTCCGCCTCCTGGGTTCATGCCATTCTCCTGCCTCAGCCTAAAAATAGATTTTTAAAACTCCAACAAAGTTAATTTTTGTCCCTTGAAAAGATTAGTAAAAGGCATAACTACCAATAATGTAAATGAAAAAGGGCATTACTACAGATTCTATTGATATCATAAAATATGAGATATTGTAACTAGCATGACAAAAAAATTTGACAAGTCAAAAGAAACAAATTCCTTAATAAAGTTAACTTTCATAAACTAAAACAAGAAGAAATAGAATCTGAATAGTCACATATCTGTTAAAGAGTCATATATCCTGTTAAAGAAATTGAATCTATAATTAAGAACACTTCACTCCCACTCCATCCCCACGACGGGATAAAAAACCCCGGGTGCAGATGATTTCTCTCAAACATTTAAGGAAGAAATGCCAGTTCTATACATATTTCTTCAAAAAATAGAAGAGGAAAGAGCAATGTTCAACTTGTTTTTTTAGTTAGCTTTATTGAGATTTAATTGATATAAAGAGTTTTGCCACATATATACACAATTACCGTAATCAACATAAAGGACATATCCATCACTCCAAAAAGTTTCTTCATGCAACTTGGTAATCCATCTCTCTCCCATGCTCCATTTCCTTACAAACGCTTATCTGCTTTGTGTCATTGTCGATCACTCTGCATTTTTTACAATTTTACACAAATTGAATCAAAAGTATTAACTCATCTTTGTTTGGCTTTATTCAGCATAATTATCTTGGGATTTATCCATGTTGTTGCATGCACCATTAGTTCTTTTTGATTGCTGAATGGAATTTCCTTAAATGGATATACCAGAATGTGTTTACTCATTCACCTGCTGATGAACATTTAGATTGTTTTACATTTTTGCCTGATACAAACATGGCTGCTATGAACATTCATGCAGAAGTCTGTGTGTGGATATATGACGCCATCTTATTTGTCTTGAGCAAATAGCTAGGAGTGGAATACCTAGGGTTTTATGGTAGACAAATGTTTAAATGTTTAAGCAACTGCCAAACTATTTTCCAAAATGGTTTTACATTTGACATTACAACAACAATAGAGAGTTACAGTTTCTTCGTATGGCTTCCAACACTTGGCATGGTCCATATAAAATTGTATGACATTGGAAAGTATTTGCCAGTTTCTTATAATGTTAAATACACATCTAACCTATGCCCCAGTAATTCCCTTTCCTTAGTATATATGCAAGAGAAATGAATGCACATACTCATTCAAAAAGGCTTTTATAAGAATGTCCTCAGAAGCTTGATTCACAACAGCTCAACACTGAAGACAACCCAAATGTGTATGGACAGAATAATGGATAAACAAACTGTAGAATATTCATATTTATACATACAACGACATGGGCAAATCTCAAAAAATATTATGTTGAATGAAAGAAGCCAAGGCCGGGTGCAGTGACTCACACTTGTAATCCCAGCACTTTAGAAGGCCAAGATGGAGGATCGTTTAAAGATGGGAGTTTGAGACCAACCTGAGCAACATGGTGAGACCCCCATCTCTACAAAAAATATTTAAAAATTAGGCAGGGCACAGTGGCTCACACCTCTAATCCCAGCACTTTGGGAGGCCAAGGCAGATGGATCACTTGAGGTCAGGAGTTCGAGACGAGCCTGGCTAACATGGTAAATCCCTGTCTCTAGTACAAATACAAAAATTAGCCAGCCATGGTAATGGGCAACTGGAATCTCATCTACTCAGGAGGCTGAGGCAGGAGAATTGCTTGAACCCGGAAGATGTAGGTTGTAGTGAGCCGAGATTGCGCCACTGCACTCCAGCCTGGGTGACAGAGCAAGACTCCACCTCAAAAAAAAAAAAAAAAAAGAGACTGTCTCAAAAAAATAAAATTAGCCCGGTGTGTATGGTGCAGGCCTATAGTCCCAGCTACTCAGGAGGCTGAGGTGAGAGGATCACTTAAGCCCAGGAGGTAGAGGCTGCAGTGAGCTGATAGTGCCACTGCACTCCAGCCTGGGTGACACAGCAAGACTCCATCTCTAAAAATTAAAACATTATATATTACCAAAAGAAGAAAGAATCCAAACACAAGAGAACATACTCCATGATTTCATTTATACGAAGCTTAAGTAGGCAAACTAATTTATAGTCATAGATGTCAGAATAGCGGTTGTCTGTGGAGGGTGGAGGAAGAATGATTGTCTGGACAGGGACAGGAAGGGATTTTCTGGAGTGCAGAAATCTTTAATAGTTTGATCTGTGTGGTGGTGATATGCATGCATACATATTTTTTAAATTCATTCAGCTATACATGTAAGATGAATGTATTTTACTGTATGTAAATTATACCTCAATAAAGTGCTGTCAGCATAAAACAGAAAACCTGTATTTGGTAGTTGGTTCTCCTGAAAAAAAAAAAAAAGGGAAAGGAAGAGAGAGAGAGAGAAAATGAGGGAGAAAGAAAGAGAGGGAGGGAAAAGTATATTTACAATTTCATGGCTTTCCAGAATAGTCTTTAAATACATATGTTGTCCAGGCATTCCAGTCAATGTAACATTTGTCCCAAATTTTTCATTTTTTTTATTATTAGTTTTGTAACTTTCAGTTTATACCTCCAGCTTCTACCACACTGAGACCTAGTATGGTGTGAGACATGTATGCATGGAACAGAGTTGTCACTTTGATGCGTATTTAAGTCTAAATGACAAATCAATCATATCTTATCTTGATTTTCCTGATTCTTTCCAGACTAAAATCTCTTGTCTTAAGAGAGCACTGATATGGTTTGGCTTTGTGTCCCCATTCAAATCTCATTTTGAATTGTAGTTCCCATAATCCCCACTCGCCATGGGAGGGACAAGGTGGAGATCATTGAATCATGGTGGTGATTTCACCCATCCTGTTCTCATGATAGTGAGCTAGTTCTCATGAGATCTGATGGTTTTATAAGGGGTTTCTCCCTTCATGCAGCACTCACTCTCTCTCCTGCTGCCATATGAAAAAAGACATGTTTGCTTCCCCTTCCACCATGATTATAAGTTTACGAGGCCTCCCCAGCCATGCAGAACTGTGAGTCAATTAAACCTCTTTCCTTTATAAATTACCCAGTCTCGAATATTTCTTCATAGCCACAGGAGAACGAACTAATACAAGCACACAAGATGCTCTCTATTAAAAATATGTATATGTCAGACACAAGGATCTAGGGAGGGCTAATTTCTGTGGTCTAGGGTGGCAGTAAGAGAATATCTATGCTGCTGCTCCTAGCAGCCACCTGGTGTACCAGCCAGTTGTATTATGGCCCATGCCATAGCATGGAAGATGCACAAAGCTGACAGGTTTTCCATTGGCAGGCTTTTAGGTATAAATGAAAAATGTGCAGAAAACAAGAACTAAAAAGCCCTGCTGTAGAAAATCTAGAGGGTAGTTTGAAAGCTCTTGCTACAGTGGTTTGGTCAGTTTTTGTATGATACAAAGCCACAGCAATATATTTTGTTTGGTAACCTTTTGTAATTTTGCAATAAATACTCTCAATAGCAGTAAACTCAAGAGATAGAAGTGCATGTTACTCAACAAAATTGACGAACATGTATTTTGCACAAAATGTTTGTCAGAGTCTATCATCCCTTGTGGAAGTAATAGTAATGTCCATGAGGATTTGAAAACTAGAAGATAAAAATCTGTTGAAGATGCATGAGGATTTGCTTTCAAAGACTGTGCCTGATGATAATGATTTAAAACACAACTATAGCAGGTGTGTTTACACGTCATTCTGTGAACCATGACTTTTCATTGAAATCAAAGGCAATTTTGTTCATTTTTTAATTTCAATTTTTTGTGTTCAAAAAGAATAAAGCAATACTTAGTAAAATATTGGTTCTAATAGCAAAAATAATATTTTGGACACAGTGAAATGGTGACAGTCATATAACATATCACTAAATGTTTCAAACAGAAAATCATTTAAGTTATTCCAATAATTTGATTTTTGCATTCAATTCAAAGTAAAGTGGTTGAAAGTTCATTCTGTCAGAGATAAAATATCTGACATTATTGTGAGTATTTAAATTCAGCTGGAAAACATCAACCTTAGAAACAACACTGTTTTGTTGTAGATGTATTTTGAGGGCGGTATTATATAAACTTAAAAGGTACATGTGTAATTTTCATTATGTGGATAGATTGTGTAGCAGTGAAATTGGGGCTTTTAGAGTATATATCACCTGAATAATTTGTACTAAGTAATTTTCAATCATCCATTCTGCTCTCACCACACCCACCCTTCCAAGTCCTCAATGTCTATCATTCCACAGTCTATGTCTATGTGTACACATTATTTATCTCCCATTTATAAGTAAGAACATTCAGTATTTGTCTTTCTGTGACTGACTTGCTTAGTTTAAGATAATGGCCTCCAGTTCCATCCATGTCACTGCAAAAGACATGACTTCATCCTTTTTATGGCTGAGTAGTATTCCTTTGTGTATATATACCACATTTTTAGTTCAGTCATATGTCAATGAACACTTAGGTTTATTCCATAGCTTTGTTTTTGTGAATAGTGCTGTGATAAACATATGAGTGCAGGCATATTTTTGATGTAAATATTTCTTTTCCTTTGGGTAGATATCCAGTAGTGGGATTGCTAGATCAAATGATAGTGCTATTTTTAGTTCTTTGAGAAATCTTCATATATTTTTCTAGAGGTTGTGCTAATTTACATTCACACTAATAGTGTATAAGCATTTCCTTTTCTCTGCACCCTTGCCAATATCTGTTATTTTTTGTCTTTTTTTTTTTTTTTTTTTTTTTTGAGATGAAGTCTCGCTCTGTCATCCAGGCTGGAGTGCAATGGTGTGATCTTGGCTCACTGCAACCTCCACCTCCCGGGTTCAAGCAATTCTCCTGCCTCAGCCTTCTGAGTAGCTGGGACTACAGGCACCCACCACCATGCCCAGCAAATTTTTTGTATTTTAAGTAGAGACAAGGTTTCACCGTGTTAGCCAGTACGGTCTCAATCTCCTGACCTCGTGATCTGCCTGCCTCGGTCTCCCAAAGTGTGCCTTTTTAATAGTGGCCATTCAGACTGGTATGAGACAATATTTGACTGTGGTTTTAATTTGCATTTCTCTGATGATTAGTGATGTTGAACATTTTTTCACATGCTTGTTGGTCATTTGTATGTTTTCCTTTGAAAAATGTCTGTTCAGGCTTTTAGCCCACTTTTTAATGGAATTATTTGGTATTTTTGTTGTTGTTGAGCTGTTTGAGTCCCTTGTAAATTCTGGATATTAGTCCTCTGTCAGATGCATAGTTTGTAAATATTTTAAATTCAAATTTCAGTGAAATATAACATCATGATAAAAAATATTTTTATTGAATTATGAAATCTATGAAATACATATATTTGGAATCAGTGTGGTATGCATAATTTTGAAGTGCATCTAAACAAGTTATGATTGTCTTTCCATCAAAATAGAAGCTATAATTGCTCAAATTTACAAACATTTTTAGAATAGACAGAGTTAGAGAAGTTGAGTTACCAAATTTTTTTATCAACATGAAATTAGATACAAAAAAAAACAAAAATAAACAATAAACCCTTCTGCAGGGCAGTGCTGCAACTCATTGTTGCTTTCCTGCCTCTAATCCACAGGACCGGAGAAGTGTTTAAGCTTTTAAAATATGACTCTGTAACTAACCTACAATAGTATTGAATCCACTCGTGAACATTTTCTCAAAATTCTAGTTGTATTTTCTTCAAAATCAGTTAGAAATCTTTAGTCTTTTGTCACAAATTGTGGTAAATAAAGCACAAAAACATTCAAATTTTGAAGACATTAGCAAATTCCAAATATTGAAAACTGATCTTGCAAACTGGAAAGCATCAAAATTTATCCCCTGTATAAAAAGGAGAAACGAAAAAAGAAGCAAAAGCAGTGCATGACATGTAATTCTGAAAATGCATAATTGTGGCTTAGAATATATCGACTTGTAGCAAGAAAACTGTATCTTTTGATATAGTTCCCAATTTTAATTGAATGAACTTATATTTTGAATTAAAATAAAATAGTTGATAGCAACAATCATTTTTTCATATCTAAATTTGATGAAACATTCAAAATATATATTATTATGTCTTATAAAATTAATGAAAAACATTCTAACTGGAAAGCAAAAAAATTGCACATCAAAAATACAGAAGCTGAAAATTTTTTACAGTTCAGTGTAAAAAAAAAAATTAGAATTAAGAATATCCTTCATTTAAAAAGCACTAAATGTGGAAAGGAAAAACTGGTACCAGCCGCTCTAAAAAACACACAAAAATATACGACACTATGAAGAAACTGCATTAACTAATGTGCAAAATAACCAGCTAGCATCATGATGACAGGGTCAAATTCACACATAACAATATTAACCTTAAATGTAAATGGGCTAAATGCCCCAATTAAGAGACACAGACTGGCAAATTGGATAAAGAGGCAAGACCCATTGGCGTGCTGTATTCAGGAGATCCATCTCACATGCAAAGAAACACATAGGCTCAAAATAAAGGGATGGAGGAATATTTACCAAGCAAATGGAAAGCAAAAAAAAAAAGGCAAGGGTTGCAATCCTAGTCTCTGATAGAACAGACTTTAAACCAAGAAAGATCAAAAAAGACAAAGAAGGGTATTACATAATGGTAAAGGGATCAATGCAACAAGAAGAGCAACTATCCTAAATACATATATGCACCCAATACAGGAGTACACAGATTCATAAAACAAGTCTTAGAGACATACAAAGAGACTTAGATTCTCATACAGTAATACTGGGAAACTTTAACACCTCACTGTCAATATTAGATCAATAAGACAGAAAATTAACAAGAATACTTAGGACTTGAACTCAGCTCTGCACCAAGAGGGCCTAATAGACATCTACAGAACTCTCCACCCCAAATCAACAGAATATACATTCTTCTCAGCATCACATTGCACATATTCAAAAATTGACCACATAATTAGAAGTAAAACACTCCTCAGTAAATGCAAAAGTGCAGAAATCATAACAAACAGTCTCTCAGACCACAGTACAACCAAATTAGAACTCAGGATTAAGAAAATCACTCAAAACCACACAACTACATGGAAATTGAACAACCTGCTCCTGAATGACTACTGGGGAAATAACAAAATTAAGGCAGAAACAAATAAGTTCTTTGAGACCAGTGAGAACAAAGAGACAACATACCAGAATCTCTGGAACACAGCCAAATTAGTGTTAAGAAGCGAATTTATAGCACTAAATGCCTACAACAGAAAGCTGGAAAGATCTAAAATCAATAGCCTAACATCACGATTAAAAGAACTAGAGAAGCAAGAGCAAACACATTCGAAAGCTAGCAGAAGGCAAGAAATAACTAAGATCAGAGCAGAACTGAAGGACACAGAGAAACAAAAAACCCTTCAAAAAATCAATGAATCCTGGAGCTTGTTTTTTTTAAAAAAAATTAACAAAATAGATGGACTACTCACTAGACTAATAAAGAAGAAAAAAGAGGAATCGAATAGACACAATGTAATATGATAAAGGGGATATCACCACCGATCCCACAGAAATACAAACTACCATCAGAGAATGCTATAAATACCTCTATGCAAATAAACTAGAAAATCTAGAAGAAATGGATAAATTCCTGGACACATACACCCTCCAAAGACTAAACCAGAAAGAAGTTGAATCCCTGAATAGACCAATAACAAGTTCTGAAATTCAGGCAGTAATTAATAGCCTACCAACGAAAAAATGCCCAGGACCAGATGGATTCACAACCAAATTCTACTAGAGGTACAAAAAGGAGCTGGTACCATTCCTTCTAAAACTATTCCAAACAATAGAAAAACAGGGACTCCTCCCTAACTCATTTTATGAGGCCAACATCATCCTGATACCAAAATCTGGACACACCACAAAAAAAGAAAATTTCAGGGCAATGTACCTGGTGAATATTGATGCAAAAATCTGCAATAAAATACTGGCAAACCAAATCCAGCAGCACATCAAAAAGCTTATCCACCACGATCAAGTCGACTTCATACCTGGGATGCAAGGCTGGTTCAACATATGCAAATCAATAAATGTAATCCATCACATAAACAGAACCAATGACAAAAACCAAATGATTACCTCAATAGAAGCAGATAAGGTCTTTGATAAAATTCAACACCCTTTATGCTAAAACACTCAGTAAACTAGGTATTGATGGAACGTATCTCAAAATAATAAGAGCTATTTATGACAAAACCACAGCCAATATCATACTGAATGGGCAAAAGCCGGAAGCATTCCCTTTGAAAACCGGCACAAGACAAGGATGCCCTCTCTCACCACTCCTATTCAACATAGTATTGAAAGTTCTGACCAGCGCAATCAGACAAGAGAAAGAAATAAGGGGTATTGAAATAGGAAGAGAGGAAGTTGAATTGTCTCTGTTTGCAGATGACATGATTGTATATTTAGAAAATCCCATGATCTCAGCCCAAAATCTCCTTAAGCTGATAAGTAACTTCAGCAAAGTCTCGGGATACAAAATCAATGTGCAAAAATCACAAACAATCCTATGCACAAATAATAGACAAACAGCCAAATCATAACTGAACTCCCATTCACAATTGCAACAAAGAGAATCAAATACCTAGGAACCCAACTTACAAAGGATGTGAAGGACTTTTTCAAGAACTACAAACCACTGCTCAAGGAAATAAGAGAGGACACAAACAAATGTAAAAACATTCCATGATCATGGATAGGAAGAATCAATATCACAACAATAGTCATACTGCCCAAAGTAATTTATAGATTCAGTGCTATCCCCATCAAGCAACAGTTGACTTTCTTCACAGAATTAGAAAAAAACTACTTTAAATTTCATATGGAACCAAAAAAGAGCCCACATAGCAAAGACAATCCTAAGCAAAAAGAACAAATCTGGAGGCATCATGCTGCCTGACTTCAAACTATACTACAAGGCTACAGTAATCAAAAAGCATGGTACTGGTACCAAAACAGATATATAGACCAATGGAACAGAACAGAGACCTTAGAATTAACACCATACATACACATCTACAGCCATCTGACCTTCGACAAACCCGACAAAAATCAAGCAATGGGGAAAGGATTCCCTATGTAATAAACGGTGCTGGGAAAACTGGCTAGCCATATGCAAAAAACTGAAACTGGATCCCTTTCTTACACCTTGTACAAAAATTAACTCAAGATAGATTAAAGACTTAAATGTAAAACCCAAAACCATAAAAACCCTAGAAGAAAACCTAGGCAATATTATTGAAGACATAGGCATGGGAAAAGACTTCAACGACTAAAACACTAAATCCAATTGCAACGGCTGGGCATGGTGGCTCACGCTTGTAATCCCAACACTTTGGGAAGCCGAGGTGGGTGAATCACCTGAGGTCAGGATTTCGAGATCAGTCTGGCCAACATGATGAAACCCCATCTCTACTAAAAATAAAAAAAATTAGCTGGGCCTGGTGACGGGCACCTGTAATCCCAGCTACTCAGGAGGATGAGGCAGGAGAATCGCTTGAACCCATGAGGTGGAGGTTGCAGTGAGCCAAGATCATGACATTGCATTCCAACCTGAGCAACAAGAGCGAAACTCCGTCTCAAAAACAAAAAAAAAGAAGCAATTGCAACAAAAGCCAAAATTGACAAATTGACAAATGGGATTTAATTAAACTAAAGAGCTTCTGCACAGCAAAAGAAAATATCATCAGAGTGAACAGGCAACCTACAGAATGAGAGAAAATTTTAGCAAGCTACCCTTCTGACAAAAGTCTGATATCCAGAATCCACAAGGAACATAAACAAATTTACAAGAAAAAAAACAAACAATCCCATCAAAAAGTGGGTGAAGGATATGAACAGACACTTCTCCAAAGAAGACACTTATGCGGCCAACAAACCTATAAACAAAAGCTCATCGTCACTGGTCATTGGAGAAATGCAAATCAAAACCACAATGAGATACCATCTCATTCCAGTTAGAATGGCAATTATTAAAAAGTCAGGAAACAACAGATGCTGGTGAGGCTGTGGAGAAATAGGAATGCTTTTACACTATTGATGGGACTGTAAATTAGTTCACCTATTATGGAAGACAGTGTGGCAATTCCTCAAGGATCTAGAACCAGAAATACCATTTGACCCAGCAATCCCATTACTGGGTATATACCCAAAGGATTATAAATCATTCTACTATAAAGACACATGCACACATATGTTTATTGCAGCACTATTTACAATAGGAAAGACTTGGAGCCAACCCAAATGCTCATCAATGATAGACTGCATTAAGAAAATGTGGCACATATACCCCATGGAATACTATGCAGCCATCAAAAAGAATGAGTTCATGTCAGGCCGGGTGCGGTGGCTCATGCCTGTACTCCCAGCACTTTGGGAGGCCAAGGCAGGTGGATCATTTGAGGTCAGGAGTTCGAAACCAGCCTGGCCTCTACAGGTGTGCCCCTGTAATCCCAGATACTCGGGAGGCTGAGGCACAAGAATTGCATGAACCCAGGAGGCAGAGGTTGCAGTGAACGAGATCACACCACTACACTCCAACCTAGGTAACAGAGTGAGACTCCATCTCAAAAAATAAAGAATGACTTCATGTCCTTTGTAGGGACATGGATGAAGCTGGAAGCTATCATTCTCAGCAAACACAGGAACAGAAAACCAAACAACACGTGTTCTCACTCATAAGTGGGAGTTGAACAATGAGAACATATGGACACAGGGAGGGGAACCTCACACACCGGGGCCTGTCAGGGGGTGGGGGGCAAGGGGAGGGAGAGCATTAGGACAAATAGCTAATGCATGCTGGGCTTAAAATCTAGATGACGAGTTGATGGGTGCAGCAAACCACCATGGCACATATATACCTATGTAACAAACCTGCACGTTCTGCACATGTATCCCAGAACTTAAAGTAAGATAAAAATTAATTAAGAAGAATATCCTTCGTTTCATTTAACAAAATATACTTAGAGCTTATTAAATACCTCTATGATGAGAAAGTAGTGCTTCCATTTTAAAATATAATAGTTTACTACAATCATCTGAATGAATCTCACTAACATAACATTGAGTGAGAGGAATTAGACACAAATGACTTCATACTGTATGATTCCAGGTATATAAAGGAAAAAAAGCAAGTAAACTAATCAATGCTATTAGTATTGGGGGAATAATCAGTGGAAGGGTGCACAAGAGAGGTTTCAGAGATTGATGATGTATTGAGTCTTGATTTAGATGCATTAAATTTGTAAAAATTCATATAGATATGAATTTTTCTGAATGTTATACTTCAAAAATGACATTTTTTATTTTTCTTGTCTGATAGTCTTTATTTTCAATTGATTAACAATAATTTATATATTATATATTTCTGGAGTACAATGTGGTGTTTTGATACATGTTTATGCTGCAGAATTATTAAACCAATCTAATGAACAAATTCATTCCCTCACATATTTTTCATCTTTGTGGTGAAATTTAAAATCTATTGTTAAAGCAATTTTGAAATCTATGATGCATTATTATTCATTATAGTCACCATTCTGTGCAATAGGTCACTAAATCTTATTCCTCCTAACTGAAATTTTGTACTCTTAAATCAATATCTCCCTTTTCCCCATTTACTCCCTTCTCCCAGCCTCTGATAATCACTATTCTACTCTCTATTTCTATGAATTTTACCTTTTTAGATTCCACATACAAATGTGGTATTTTTGTTTCTGTGCCTAGCTTATTTCACTTAGCATAAACGTCCTCAAGTTTCACTCATGTCGTCACAAATTTTAAATTATTTTTCTTTTTTAGGGCTGTATAGTATTCCATTGTATATATGTACCATATTTTCTGTATCCATTTATTTGATGATGGACACTTAGGTTGTTTCCATATCTGAGCTATTGTGAAGAATGATTCAATGAACATGGGATGGTAGATTTTTTTTAAGATACTGATTTCAATTCCTTTGGTTATATATCCAGAAATGAGATTGCTGGATTACATAGTAATTCTATTTTTCATTTTCTGAGAAACTTCTGATACTGTTTTCCATAATGGCTGTATTCATTTACGTTACCACCAACAGTGCACAAGGGGTCCCTTTCTCCAAACCCTCACCAAAACTCATCTTTTATCTTTTTAATATCTTTTCTAACAGGTGCGAGGTGATATTCCATTGTGGTTTCACTTTTTATTTACCTAATGATTAGCGATGATGAATATTTTTTCACATATCTGTTGGTCATTTGTATGTCTTCTTTTGAGAAATGTATATTTCGGTCCTTTGTCCATGTTTTAATTGGGTTATTTGGTTTTTTGCTATTGAGTTGAGTTCCTTATGTTTTTGGATATTATCTAGCCCTTGATATGATGTATGATTTGCAAATATTTTCTCCCAGTCTGTGTGTTGTCTGTCTGCCAAGGCATTAGTGTGCATGATTCCTCCTGAAGCTCTTGGTAAATTGTTTCAATAGCAGGTTCAAGACCAAACAGAGCTGTAGCCAAGCAAGTCTGCAACCTGGGTGTTGGTCTCCACTCAGACCATCCTAGGATCCACCAGGGCTTTATAACCTCCTACCTAAATTCCAAGGCTCCCACAGAAACACTTTTGCCTGTGGATGGGTGCGGGGTTCTTGTTATTGTGGGGGATACATGTGTTTGACCATCCATTCTTCCATCTTACTGATGTCATCCCAATGTCAATGACATTTTTAAAAATATTATGGTCTATAGTAAAGAGCCCATTGAAGATTATTAGTTTTATATTTATCAAACATAAAATCCAAATTTGAGGGAGAGTGCACATAATTTTTTAAAAAAGAATAAAAATAATACTACTTGATTTCACTTATATAAGATATCCAAAGTAGTCAAATTTATAGAAGCATAGAATAGAGAGGTATTTGCCCAGGTTTTGGGGGAGAGGAAATAAGGAGTTTTTGCTCAACGGGCATAAAGTTTCAGAAACAAGATGAATAACTTATAGAAATCTGCTGTACAAGAGAGTGGCTACAACTTAAAATATGATATTGGATATTTAAAATTTTGTTAAAAGAGTAGATTTTATGTTAAGGATTTTTACCATCAAAAAACAAAAAACTCTCACCAAGAGACAAAAGGAACTTTTGGAGATGATTAATACATTGATTGCCTTGATTGTGGTGATGGTCTCACAGGTATGTATATGTCAAACTCATCAAATACATTAAATAGTTTTTATTGTCTATTAATTATACCTCAACAAAGCTGTTTTCAGAAATAAGGCCATATAGAAAAATGTGTTATTCTGAAAAATTCTAACACAATATTAGAAGCAGGTGACTAAGAAACTGATTAAATAATTAAATTATAATTATGCTTAATAATCAGAGAATCAATACAAGGTGATTTGCTTTAACGTACATGGACTTACATTGTTTTATTTTTGAAAATAGTTTTTAGGGTTTTCTAAGTATAGAATCATATCATCAGTGAAGAGAGATAGTTTTACTTCTTCTTTTCCTGTTTGGATGCCTTTTACCTCTTTCTCTTGCCTGATTGCTCTGGCTAGGAATTCCAGTGCTGTGTTAAATAGGAATGGTGACAGTGGGCATCCTTATCTTGTTCCAGTTCTCAAGGGGAATGGTTCCAGCTTTTTCCCATTCAGTGTGATGTTGGCTGTGGGTTTGTTAAAGATGGCTCTTATTATTTTGAGGTATGTTCCTTTGATGCCTAGTCTGTCGAGGGTTTCTAACATGAAAGGATGTTGCATTTTATAGAAAGCTTTTTCTGCATCTATTGAGATGATCATATGATTTTTGCCTTTCATTCTGTTTATGTGATGAATCACATTTATTGATTTGTGTATGTTGAACCAGCCTTGCAACCCAGGAATAAAGCCTATTTGATCATGGTGTATTAACTTTTTGATGTGCTGCTGAATTCAGTTTGCTAGTATTTGCTTGAGGATTTATGCATGCATATTCATAGGGGATATTGGCCTGAAGTTTTCTTTTTCCCTTTAGTCTCTGTCAGATTTTGATATTAGGCTGATGCCAGCTTCATATAATCAGTTATGGAGGAGTCCCTCCTCCTCAATTTTTTAGAATAGCTTCAGCAGGATTGGTACCAGTTCTTTGCACATCTAAAGATGTACAAATGCTAATAGGACTGATAAACTATTTTAATAATGTTTCAAGATACAAAATGGATATACAAAAATCAGTAGCATGTCTAATAATATCCAGGCTAGGAGTCAAATTAAGAACATAATCCCATTTATAATAACCACAAAGAAAATGAAATACCAAGGAATACCGCTAATAAAGGAGGTGAAAGAGCTCTACAAATAGAACTACAAAACACTCCTGAAAGAAATTATAGATGACACAAATAAATGGAAAAACATTCTATGCTCATTGATTGGGAGAATCGATATCATTAAAGTGGCCATACAGCCCAAAGCGATCTACAGATCCAATGCTATTCTTATCAAACTATCAACATCATTCTTCACAGAATTAGAAAAACCTATTCTAAAATTCATATGGAAGAAAAAAGAGACCAAATGGTCAAAGCAATCATATGTAAAATGAACAAAGCTGGAGACATAACACTACCCAACTTCAAACTATGCCATTAGGCTATAGTAACCAAAACAGCATGGTACTGGTACAAAACCAGACACATAGACCAGTGGAACAGAATAGTGAACCCAGAAGTAAATCCACACACCTACAACCATGTGATCTTCAACAAAGTCGACAGAAACAAGCAATGAGGAAAAGATTCCCTGTTCGATAAATGGTGCTGGGATAACTGGCTAGCCACATGCAGAAGAATGAAACTGGACCCTTACCTTTCAGCATATACAAAATTAACTCAAGATGGATTAAAGACTTAAATGTAAGACCTTAAATTTAAGAAAAAAAAATCTAGAAGAGAACCTAGGAAATACCCTCTGGCCTTGGGAAAGAATTTATGACTCAGTCCTCAAAACAACTGCAATTAAACCAAAAATTGACAAGTGGGACCTAATTAAATGAAAGAGCTTCTGCTCAGCAAAAGAAACTATCTACACAGTAAACAGAAAACCTACAGAATGGGAGAAATACTCACAAATATACATCGACAAAGGGCTAATATTTAGAATTTATAAGGAACAGAAATCAACAAGCAGAAAACAAATAACCTCATTAAAAAATGGTCAAAGGCAAAAACAAGCAATGGGGAAAGGATTCCCTATTTAATAAATGGTGCTGGGAAAACTGGCTAGCCATATGCAGAAAACTGAAACTGGATCCCTTCCTTACACCATATACAAAAATTAAAGATGGATTAAAGACTTAAATGTAAGACTTAACTCCGTAAAAACTCTAGAAGAAAACCTAGGCGATACCATTCAGGACATAGGCATGGGCAAAGACTTCATGACTAAAACACCAAAAGCAATGGCAACAAAAGCCAAAATAGACAAATGGGATCTAATTAAACTAAAGAGCTTCTGCATAGCAAAAGAAACTATCATTACACTCTGGGGACTGTTGTGGGGTGGGGGAAGGGGGGAGGGATAGCTTTAGGAGATATACCTAATGCTAAATGACGAGTTAATGGGTGCAGCACACCAGCATGGCACATGTACACATATATAACTAACCTGCACATTGTGCACATATACCCTAAAACTTAAAGTATAATAATAATAAAATTTTAAAAAAAGAAGACCTAACTTTTTATTATTATTATTATTATTATTATTATTATACTTTAAGTTTTAGGGTACATGTGCACAATGTGCAGGTTAGTTACATATGCATACATGTGCCATGCTGGTGTGCTGCACCCATTAACTCGTCATTTAGCATTAGGTATATCTCCTAAAGCTATCCCTCCCCCCTCCCCCCACCCCACAACAGGCCCCAGAGTGTGATGATCCCCTTCCTGTGTCCATGTGTTCTCATTGTTCAATTCCCATCTGTGAGTGAGAACATGTGGTATTTGGTTTTTTGTCCTTGCGATAGTTTACTGAGGATGATGATTTCCAATTTCATCCATGTCCCTACAAAGGACATGAACTCATCATTTTTTATGGCTGCATAGTATTCCATGGTGTATATGTGCCTCATTTTCTTAATCCAGTCTATCATTGTTGGACATTTGGGTTGGCTCCAAATCTTTGCTATTGTAAATAGTGCCACAATAAACATACTTGTGCATGTGTCTTATAGTCCTTTGGGTATATTCCCAGTAATGGGATGGCTGGGTCAAATGCTATTTCTAGTTCTAGATCCCTGAGGAATTGCCACACCGACTTCCACAATGGTTGAACTAGTTTACAGTCCCACCAACAGTGTAAAAATGTTCCTATTTCTCCACATCCTCTCCAGCACCTGTTGTTTCCTGACTTTTTAATGATTGTCATTCTAACTGGTGTGAGATGGTATCTCATTGTGGTTTTGATTTGCATTTCTCTGATGGCCAGTGATGATGAGCATTTTTTCATGTGTCTTTTGGCTGCATAAATGAAGAAGACCTAACTTAACAATACAAAATGTTTCTTAAAAATGCCCTGATCATTTTATCTGATAGAAAGGTCAATTTAAGTCAACACTGTAACTAATATCTTAAGAAAGCCAATGTAAATGTTGACTACATTAATAGCATATTATTTAGATCAATAAAGTCAACAAAAGTAAAAAAAAAAAAAAAAAAGAAACTATCATCAGAGTGAACAGGCAACCTACAGAATGGGAAAAAATCTTTGCAATCTACCCATCTGACAAAGGGCTAATATCCAGAATCTACAAAGAACTTAGGCAAATTTACAAGAAAAAAACAAACAACCCCATCAAAAAGTAGGCAAAGGATATGAACAGACACTGCTCAAAAGAAGACATTTATGCAGCCAACAAACATATGAAAACAAGCTCATCATCACTGGTCATTAGAGAAATGCAAATCAAAACCACAATGAGATAACATCTCACACCAGTTAGAATGGTGATCATTAAAAACTCAAGGAACAACAGATGCTGGAGAGGACATGGAGAAATAGGAACACTTTTACACTGCTGGTGGGAGTGTAAATTAGTTCAATCACTGTGGAAGACAGTGTGGCGATTCCTCAAGGATCTAGAAGTAGAAATACCATTTCACCCAGCAATCCCATTACTGAGTATATACCCAAAGGATGATAAATCATGCTACTATAAAGACACATGCACATGTATGTTAATTGCAGCACTATTCACAATAGCAAAGACTTGGAACCAACCCAAATGTCTTTCAGTGATAGACTGGATTAAGAAAATGTGGCACATATACACCATGGAATACTATGCAGCCACAAAAAAGGATGAGTTCATGTCCTTTGTAGGGACATGGATGAAGCTGGAAACCATCATTCTAAGCAAACTATCACAAGGACAGAAAACCAAACACCACATGTTCTCATTCATAGGTGGGAGATGAACAACGAGAACACATGGACACAGGACGGGGAACATCACACACTGGGTCCTGTCGGGGGGTGGGGGACAAGGGGAGGGATAGCATTAGGAGAAATACCTAATGTAAATGACAAGTTGATGGGTGCAGCAAACCAACATGGCACATGTATACCTATGTGACAAACCTGCAGGTGGTGCACGTGTAACCGAACTTAAAGTATAATTTTTAAAAAATGGTCCAAGGACATGAGCCGACATTTCTCAGATGGACACATACGAGCAGTCAACAAACGTATGGAAAAATGCTAATCATCACTAATCATCAGAGAAATGCAAATCAAAAACCTCAATGTGATACCATCACACACCAGTCAGAATAGTTATTATTAAAAAGTCAAAAAACAACAAATGCCGGTGAGGCTGTGGAAAAAGGGAATGCTTATATGCGTTGGTGGAAATGTAAATTAGTTCAGCCACAGTGGAAAGCAGTTTGGAGATTTCTTAAGGAACTAAAAATAGAACTACCATTCAAGCCAGCAATCCCACTATTAGGTATCTACCCAAAAGAATATAAATTGTCCTACCAAAAAGACACATACACTCCTAAGTTCATTACAGCACTATGCACAATACAAAGACAGGAAATCAATGTGGGTGCCCATCAACAGTGAAGTGGATTTTTTTAATGTGGTACATATGCACCATGGAATCCTATGCAGCCCTAAGAAAGAATAAAATCATGTCCCTTGCCGCAACATGGATGCAGCAGGCAGCCATGATCCTAAGCAAATTAACACAGGAACAAAAAACTGAATACCACATATTCTCATGCATAAATGGGAGCTAAACATTGAGCACACATGGACATAAACAATGGAACAATAGACACTGCAGACTACTAGTGGGGGAAGGGAGGAGAGGGTGTGGGTTGAAAAACTACCTATTGGGTGCTATGCTCACTACCTGGGTGCAATATACCCATGTAACAAGCCTGCACATGTACCCCCGTATCTAAAATAAAAGTTGACATTTTAGAAAAAGAAAATCGTTTTTGTAGAACTAGGTATTTATTACTCTTTGCTGCGTAACTTAAAACTTAAAAAACAGTGGGTTTAACCAACAACCATTCACTTAACTCACTATTCTACAAGTCAGCAGTTTGTGTTGGCTCAGCTGGGCAGTTCTGGTCTGAGTGGGACTTGGCTGATATTGGTTGGATATGCTCATTTGCCTGTAGTTCTCTGCCAGGTATGAGCCTGAATTGTCAATATGTATGAGCCTGAATGGTCAATAATGACTTCATCTGGTACAACTGAGGCAACTGGGGCGCCTTTTCTCATGGTTTCCTGTTCTCCAGTAAGCTATCCAGGCTCATTCACATGGCATTCTCATGATTCCAAAAATGCAAAAACAGCAGGCTCAAAGCCTTTTGAGGCCTAGAGCTACAACTGGCATGACATCACTTCCACCACACTCTATCAAAGTAAGTCATGAGACCATACAGTTTCAAGAAATGGAGAGATAAATTCAGTCTTTCGATGAGAGTTGCTTCGAGGTATTGTGGCCACTTTTGCAATCTCCTACAAACTATTTTAGAGCTCTACCAATATAAAAATTCAATTTACTGATTAATGAATACTCTAAAAAGTATATAATTTTAATTTATTTTAGAATGCTTTTCATTCACTCACTACTTGGATAATAATGGATCTCCTCAAGCCATTCCATAACTCCTTCAGGAGCCCAAGGAATCTTTTTGCAAAGCCCTAAAATTGAGAGAAATGACACCAGCAAGATAAAAAAAAAAAAAGACTCAGAACTCAGAGTACAACTGAGTGATGGTTGCGGTGGTACACCAAAGCAAAGATCCTTGACTTCCTTCTGCTGTAGTCTCTAGGGCCTTCCTGATGTAGGACCTACCCTGCATCTTCAACCTCTGTGAAGCTGAAGTTTTCACATGCATTGACGTAGAATAAACACCCTTTACTTGAGTTCCTTGGGAAGTCTTTCCTCGAGTTCTCTATCACAAAACAGTCAAATGGTCTACAAGGATCAGTGCTGTCTCCTGGAAAAAGAAATGAGATTGAGTTAAAAGAATTCTGTTTCTGTCCTTGCTTCATCACTTGTAAGGTGAATGTCTTTGCCAAGTCTTTTCCAATTCTGAGATTCTCAGAGCCTGTCATCTTTGTGGAAGACTCCAGTTATGAGCCAACAGGTGGATTTTAACCAGGAACAATGCTCCATATCAGCTCCATTCGATGTTTTCAAAGAGAGGAGATGCTCAAGAGAAAATACCAATGATGGGTCTTCTAGAGGGCAACCATTTACTTTCTCGTTGAGATATGCCTAGGACATCCTCACAATAACTACTGTAGAAGAATAATACCTTGTCCACAGTTCTAGAGGTAATATTCTATTTCCAATCTCAGAGAGCAAGCAATAGTGAACCTACAACTGAAAAGAATCTCATCTCTATGAATGGGTTTATGAACTTCACTGATTACCCAGAGTTGGAAATGCCCTTGTTCTTAGTGTTTCTCAGTTGCTTCCTGGCCATTATTTTGAGAAATATGGAATGGGTCATTCTGACCCAAGTGAATGTGCATCTCTTCACCCTATATACTTCTTCCTAACAAATGTCACCCTTTGGGATACCTCAGTCATCATGCCTCAGATCCTGGCCATTCTGGCCACAGGCAAGACAACCATTTCCTATGGCCGCTAATAAAAGCAATGAGGTCCTTTTTCTTCATTTGTGTAGGAACTTAGTGTTTCCTGCCAACAGCAATGACCATAAGCAGCCCACTGCCCCACACTACAAGCCATGAACTTCAAGACATGTTGGGGTTTTTTTTTGGTGGGGATTTGTTGTTGTCGTCGTTGTTGTTTTTCTTTTTCAGAGTCTCATTCCATCACCCAGGCTGGAGTGCAGTGGCACGATCTCAGCTCACGGCAACCTCCACCTCCTGGGTTCAAGCGATTCTCGTTTCTCATGCCTCAGCCACCCAGGTAGCTGGAATTACAGGCATGCACCACCATGCCTGGCTAATTTTTGTATTTTCAGTAAAGATGAGGTTTTGCCATGTTGACCAGGCTGATCTCAAACTCCTGGCCTCAAATGATCTGCCCACCTCAGCCTCCTAAAGTCCTGGGATTACAGGCATGAGCCACCATGCCTGGCTGACATGCTGGGTTTTGATGGTGAACGTGGTGAATGCCTACACCTGAGGACTATCAGGAGCCACTTTCAACACCATCTGCACATTTGCCCGCTTCTTCTGTGATGACAATTAGATCAAATTCTGTCACATCCTGCCCCTGCTGAAGCTCATTTGAAATACTTCAGGAAACAGCAAGATAATTATTGTGATCTTTGACAGCTTTTATGATTATAGCTGGCACTAGGGTCATCCTGATCTCTTACCTGCTAATCATCAGGGCTTTGAGGATGAAATCATCGAGTGGCAAAGCCAATAATTTTATCCATCCACTTGTGCCTCCCACCTAACTGCTATGACCTTCCTTTGGGATCCCCATCTTCAGACATGTGAAGTACCTCAGATAAATCACTGACAGAAGACAAGTTGGCATCATGACTTGCACCATCTTTATTCCTATGCTAGAACTTTTGATCCAAAGTCTAAAGAAGGATATACAAGTTGCCTTCAAAAAGGCCATAGGTAACTTCTGGGTTTTTGAGAGGCTGTAACTCTAGCTGAAACTTCTTGACCAGTCTCCTCTTAAAGTCCTTAAGCTATTGAAGGAGGAGCAGGATGTGACTTCCCCAGTAGCTCCTTGACAAACTTGCAAGATCAGTTGTTTCCCATTTGTGAACATCCTGCTCCTCCACCTGATTCATGTCTGCCTTTTTTAATCTATTCTCTATCCCAAGCCTCTCAGAACCTTCCTGGAACCTGTTTTCCAAGAGTTATAGAAATCTCAACATTGGAAGTGACTTTTAAAGTCATCTTGTCCACCCTACTCCACTACTCCTCTCCAAGTCCAAACATCCTTACCTAATGTTTCCAGAACTACTGTTTTTCCCTTCCCATCTCTTCTCTTGTCAGAACTGTCATTCTCTTTATCCTGAAAATTTTCACTAAGTGTTAAAAGGGGAAGATTTCAATTATTTTATTTGCATAACTCAAGATTTGGGATCTGTAGGGATTCACATATATTCATTTATTCTATAGTGAAAAAGTCAGTTTAGTAAGCTAAAATTATAACATTTCCTAAAATTATTGTTTCATTGATTTTAAAACTGTTCTTAGGCTAGGCATGGTGTCTCATGCCTGTAATCCCAGCACTTTGGGAGGCCAAGGGAGGAGAATCACTTGAGCCCAAGAGTTCAAGACCAGCCTTGGCAATAAAGTGAGACCTCGTCTCTATAAAAAAGAAATAATAATAATTAAAAACTATTCTAAAGTTATATATTGGGTGGGTATCTCAAAGTTCTGTCATTATCTCACCTTTAGAATATAAGCCAAAAGTCAGTGAGCCCATAAAAGAGATTTGAAGCAGAAGACACATTCTCCTGCTTGTCTTGAAGGAGTAAGCTGCCTTGTTGTGAGAGATGTGGCCACATGGCAAGGACCTAATGGTGGCTTCTAAGTCAGTCCCTGGCTGACAGCTAGCCAGGAAATGGGCACCACAGCTATGCAAACAGCAGGCAAATGAATTCAACCAACAACCTGAAAGAGTTTGGAGGAGGACCTTGAGCCTCAGATGAGATTGAAGCCCCACACAACAACCTGATTTCAGTCATGAAAGACCATGAGCAGATAACCTCTATGCTGACTCTTGACTCATGGAAATTATAAGATTTGTGTTGCTTTGAGCTGCTAAATGTAGTAATTTGTTATTCAGCAACAAAAAATTACTTGTAAACTAAAAGTTAGGTTTAAAGCAGAGGCCAAAAAGTTTTCTCCATAAAGGGCCAGAGAGTAAACATTTTAGGCTTTTCAGGCCAAATGATCTTTCTCACAGGTACTCATGTCTGCCATTCTAGTGAGAAAGCAGCCACGGGGCAACACATAAACAAACGAGTGTGACTGTATTGCAATAGACTTATAACAGGCAGCAGGCTAGATTTGTACTATGAGTCATAGATTGTTGATCCCTGAGTTAATGCATATCCAGTACTTGGTACAGAGGTTGGCACATAGTAAGTGATGATTCCTTTAGTAATCATAATTATTAAAAGAAGAGACTGGATCACACTGATTCTGGCCCATGATCATTGGATGCAATTACCTGCATCCCATGCCATCACTTGTCTTAGCCTCTTTAGGCTGCTGTAACAAAATGCCATAAACTGGGTGGCTTTTAAACAACAGAAGTTTACTTCTAATAGTTCTGAAGTCTAGGAAGTCAAAGATCAAGGTGCTAGCAGATTCCATGTCTGGTGAAGGCCCACTTTCTTGTTCATAGGTGGCACCTTCTCGCTGTGCCTTCAAGTCAAAGAAAGAGACCAGCAGCTCCCTGAAGCCTCTTTCAGAAAGGAACTAATTCCATTCATCAAGGTTCTGCTATCATGACCTAAGCACCTCCCAAAATTTCCACCTCCTAACACCATCACGTTGGTGATCAGGTTTCAATGTATGGATTTGGGGGGCACAGCTGCCGTGCACCCTAAACAGGTGTCTGCTGCTCATGGCAGCTCCTGAAGTTCTGTCTGCTTTAATAAAGTCTTCGCTAGAGAATAAAATCCCTAGGAATACAACTTACAAGGGACATGAAGGACCTCTTCAAGGAGAACTAAAAACCACTGCTCAAGGAAATGACAGAGGACACAAACAAATGGAAAAACATTCTATGCTCCTGGATAGGAAGAATCAATATCATGAAAATGGCCATACTGCCCAAGGTAATTTATAGAATCATTGCTACTCCCATCAAGCTACCATTGACTTTCTTCACAGAATTAGAAAAAAACTACTTTAAATTTCATATGGAAGCAAAAAATATCCCGTAGAGCCAAGACAATCTTAAGCAAAAAGAACAAAGCCAGAGGCATCATGCTACCTGACTTCAAACTATACTACAAGGCTACAGTAACCAAAACAGCATGGTACTGGTACCAAAACAGATATACAGACCAAAGGAACAGAACAGAGGCCTCAGAAATAACACCACACATCTAAAACCATCTGATCTTTGACAAACCTGACAAAAACAAGAAATGGAGAAAGGATTCCCCATTAAATAAATAGTGTTGGGAAAACTGGTTAACCATATGCAGAAAACTGAAACTGGACCCCTTCCTTACACCTTATACAAAAATTAACTAAGATGGATTAAAGACTTCAATGCAAAACCTAAAACCATAAAAAATCCTAGAAGAAAACCTAGGCAATACCACTCAGGACATAGGCATGGGCAAAGACTTCATAACTAAAACACCGAAAGCAATTGTAACAAAAGCCAAAATTGATAAATGGGACCTAATTAAACTAAAGAACTTCTGCACAGCAAAGGAAAATATCATCAGAGTGAAAAGGCAAACTACAGAATGGGAGAAAATTGTTGCAATCTATCCATCCGACAAAAGTCTAATATCCAGAATCTACAAGGAACTTAAACAAATTTACAAGAAAAAAAAACAACTCCATCAAAAAGTGGGCAAAGGATATGAACACACTTCTCAAAAGAAGATATTTATGTGGCCAACAAACATATGAAAACAAGCTCATCATCACTGGTCATTAGAGAAATGCAAATCAAAACCACAATGAGATACCATCTCATACCAATTAGAATGGTAATCATTAAAAAGTCAGGAAACAACAGATACTGGAGAGGAAGTGGAGAGTGTGGTGATTCCTCAAGGATCTAGAACTAGAAATACCATTTGACTCAACAATCCCATTACTGTGTATATACCCAAAGGATGATAAATCATTCTACTTTAAAGACACATGCACACATATGTTTATTGCAGCACTATTTATAATAGCAAAGACTATTGCAACACAATTTACAATAGCAAACCCAAATGCCCATCAATGATAGACTAGATAAAGAAAATGTGGCACATATACACCATGGACTACTATGCAGCCATAAAAAAGAATGAGTTCATGTCCTTTGCGAGGACATGGATGAAGCTGGAAGACATCATTCTCAGCAAACTAACACAGGAATAGAAAACCAAACACTGCATGTTCTCACTCATAAGTAGGTGTTGAACAATGAGAACACATGGACACAGGGAGGGAAACATCACACACCAGGGCCTGTAAGGGCATGGGGGGCAAGGGGAGGGATAGCATTAGGAGAAATACCTAATATATGAGGGGCTTAAAATCTAGATGACAGGTTGGTGGGTGCAGCAAACCACCATGGCACATGTACACCTATGTAACAAACCTGCATGTTCTGCACATGTATCCCAGAACTTAAAGTATAATAAAAAATAAAATAAAAACAAAGTCTTCGCTATCATTTTTTGGAGGTCAGTTCACCTGCAGACAGGAAACTTACAGAAAGTCGCCATTTTGGATTCTTAGCATTCTTTCTGAAGGTATTGCAAGAAATGTAACGAAACGTACAGTGTGTGCTAAGTTCTATTTGTATATTCATACTCTGTGTATAAAATAAAGATTCACACATGTAATAAAACATTGACATAAGAAGAAAAAGTCAAATGAATAAAGCAGTTGGATTTCTGCCATTTAAATTCTGTAAATTTAAAGATGCCACAACATATATTCTATATTTTGGAGAATTATGGTTTGGACCCAAACTGCATCCCTAAGAATTCGCATAATATTTATTTTAGTAGATAGATCACAGATGGACAGAGAGAGCTTATTGAGTCATACACTGTCAAAATGAGACACTTTATTGGAAATACAAGCATGGATGCCGGTTTGTCATTCATTGTGACTAATTATGGAAAAGAGAAAATGATACTGATTTTGATCCATTTGCTGGAACAGGAGGCCTCCTGATAGCATCTGCTCATTTCGATGCATATGTATATGAGACAGGCATCAACTACAACACAGTTTATGGCTCAGGAAAGGCAGGTAAGAAAAACCAGAAATGGAGAGGACCAGATGAAAACATTAGGGCAAATCTTTGTCAGTATGGTTTAGAGAAGGTAATACTTTCTCTAATACATTTTGACAAATATGATTGACCATATTAAATGTCCTGGTTTCAGATACATCTAAACTTTCCTGGAGAATGGCACATATTTTAATGCAGTAATCACTGATCCTCCATATGGTATTAAAGCATCTGCAAGAAGAATAGGTTCACAGAAGGAAATATCAAAGGGGATAGAAAAATGTCCAGGAAGCCACATTCCTGTTTCCTTGAGTTATCATCCGAGTAATATGCTTTTTGACCTGCTAAACTTTGCAGCTGAGACTCTCATGTTATTTGGAAGACTAATCTATTGGTTACCAGTATATACAGCAGAATACACTGAAGAGATGACAACCCCACACCCGTCTGAAGCTCATTAGCAACTGTAAGCAGAAGCTTTTCAGCCACACATCAAGGTGCTTGATTACAACAGAAAATGTGAAGAAATGTGAAAACCAGGACCAGCATTCACATCTGCTAAGTGATCATTTTCTGACATACTAAGGTCATAATTTCTTCCATGAGAAATATAGTAAAGGGGTAACAAAAAGTATTGCTAAAGAAGAAAAATCCAGCCAGAAATGAAAATTAAGATTTGACACTGAAGAAAGAATAATGATTTAATAGAATAGACATCTAGATGTGAATTTCATGTATCCAAAAATACATGGATACAAATACTATTTTAAAATGTGTTACATGAAAAAAATAAACACTACGAAGTAAATTGAGCAATTCTTTTAAAGTTGTCTTTGTTTTATAGATGTTTTTGTTGTATGTATTATAAGTCTTTTGAACCTCATTTAATAAATATTTGTACTTTAAGTATTAATGGAGATTGACTCAAAACTGTTATATTTTTACAATTAACCTACAAGAAAAGTAATTTTTTTAACTTTTATTTTAAGTGCAATTGTACATGTGAAGTTTTGTTACATAGGTAAACTCATGTCGTAAGGGTCTGTTGTACTGATTATTTCATCACCCAGGAATTAGACCCAGTACCCAATAGTTATCTTTTCTGCTTCTCTCCCTCCTCCTACCCTCCACCCTCAAAAAATTAATATTGTTGACATTTTAAACATCTCTGCCAGATATGTTATAAGCAAGTAGTAATGGTTATGAATTTATTTATTAGATAGATTTGTCTAATTTTGTTTTGGATTGTAGTTTATTTACATTGCCACTAGTGAATCTTACTAAAAATCTCTAAATAAATAAGTAAATAAATTTGGGTGGCATGCAAACATTCAGACCATAACACCACTCATATCTGGAGAAGTTTGTTCTCGTAGTATGTTGTTGTGAGGCTCATCCACAGCCCTTGGTCATTTCCCTCTTCTTATCCCAGTCCTTTTACGCCATTGGCCCTTTGCAGGGTAGATTTAATCAAAGGAATGCAAACTCTACTTCGCTAGGCTCTTTCCCCTAGGAGAAACACAAGTCTGGCTGGCTTCTTTATTTTTATTTTATTTTTTTTTTAATGCTCTGTCTTCTTCCAGGCTGGAGTGCAGTGGCGTCATCTCTGCTCACTGCAACCTCTGCCTCCCAGATTCAAGCAATTCTCCTGCCTCAGCCTCTGAAGTAGCAGGGACTACAGGCATGCACCACCACGCCTGGCTAATTTTTGTATTTTTAGTAGAGATGGGGTTTTACCATGTTGGCAAGGCTGGTCTCAAACTCCTGGCCTCAAGTGATCTGCCTGCCTTGGCCTCCAAAAGTGCTGGGATTACAGGCGTGAGCCAACAGGCCCAGCCCCTGTCTGGCTTCTTGAAAAATTAAGTGTCTTAGGAAATACATATGCAGCCCATTTGGGAACAAGGCAAGGGCAGACCTTAGAGAGAGAAGAGTTTCTCTTCTCCCAATTGCTGCTGGATATAAAGCATCTTAGGCCCCTGGAAATAAAAGAAGTTCACTTCTCCTTGTTTGGATCAGAAAGTCTGTGGAGCTGAACTGAGGAAACCCTGTGATCCCTGCCTGACAAGATCAACCCATGACTTCTAGGCCAGCGTCAGCCATGAGACTAGGGACATCTGTGGGTAGCAGAAGGGAATGGGCTGGACTGGTTCTTTGACACAGAGGGAACTGGTTAGCATTCTTCTCTCAAGAGGCCCAGAGGACAAACAAAGTAACCTACTGTCCACCCAGATGGAATGTGAGGCAGGCACATCCTGTCTCTTAGCCCCTCAACTAACCCAGTGCCCAATCATCTATGGCTAGAGCTTGATAGTGAAGACACTGTGGCCATGGCTCAGTGCCTGTACAGGGCAAGAGATGACTCA
The DNA here is from genome assembly GCF_000001405.40 of Homo sapiens. NCBI lineage: Eukaryota > Metazoa > Chordata > Mammalia > Primates > Hominidae > Homo > Homo sapiens. Next base: position 58,070,680 of record NC_000011.10, on the reverse strand, counting down.
TGTGCTCTACTATCTGTGTTGAGTGGTTCAAGGGCCACCATGTCCACAGAATTTATGCCATTGAAGTCTGAAGTTCCAATGTTAGTGCTGCCTTTCTTTGTTAAATAGTAGGGTGGTCCTGGAGGAGCCTGCGGGAAACCAACCACATGAGACCAGTGAGTTCCAATTTGCATAAATTGATGTGCATGAGCATTGGGACCTCAAGGTAGGATGGGGGAGATTTTTGCTCAGACACCTAGGAGTGTGTGGGGTGGTGGGTGACACGGTGTACACGCCAGGACTACTTTTAAGCTTCTATTAGAGGGGGGAAAAGTATAATGTACATCTGAAGTGATTGTTTTCAAGAGTTTTAAGAGTGATACTGGAGCCAGACATGGTGGTTCACACCTGTAATCCCAGCACTTTGGGAGGCCAAGGCGAGCAGATCACTTGAGGTCAGGAGTTCAAGACCAGCCTGGCCAACATGGTGAAACCCCCACCCATCACCACTAAAAAAAAAAAAAATACAAAAATTATGCAGGCATGGTGGCGTACACCTGTAGTCCCAGCTACTCGGGAGGCTGAGGCAGGAGAATAGTTTGAACCTGGGAGGTGGAGGTTGCAGTGAGCCGAGATGGCACCACTGCACTCCAGCCTGGGTGACAGAGCAAGATGCCATCTCAAATCAAAATAAAAATAATAATTAAAAAAAGAGTGATGCTGGGACACACAGCTCTGCTGCAAGGCCCAGCTAATAAAACAAGACCCAGAGTTTGGAGAGAGAGGTGTTTTGTTTTGTTTTGGTTTGGTTTGGTTTGGTTTTTTGTTGTTTGAGATAGGGTCTCACTCTGTCACACAGGCTGGAATGCAGTGGAGCCATCTTGACTCACTGCAGCCTCAACCTCCTGGGCTCAAGCGATCTCCCACCTCAGCTTCCCCCGTAGCTAGGACTACAGGCATGTACCACTGCACCCTAATTTTTTAGTTTTTCACAGAGACAAGATCTCACCATGTTGCCAAGGCTGGTCTCAAACTCCTGGGCTCAAGCAATTCTCGTGCTTCAGCCTCCCAGAGTGCTGGGATTATAAGCATGAGCCATGGCGCCCAGCCTGAGGAGAAAGTTTGTATAGCCCTTTCTTCAGGGGACATAGCAGAGCCCAAATGCAGTGAGGACTGAAACTAAGAAAAGATCCTTCTCACATCTTGCAGATTTAGGTAGCCTTGTACTCAGGGCAAGGAACCAGTACTCAGGGCAAGAGAGCCACAATCCAAGCAGAACCAGCCTCCTCAGGTGTAGCTGAGAAAGAGAATATGCCTCCTTCCAGAGGTTTGCACACTGCAGGTGTCACAGGCAGAGAGGAAGGGGACAGTGAACTCATTCCATCCACATATGAAACACCCACTGGGGCCTCCCAGACAGTTTAGAGGCTACGAGACTGGCCCTCAAGTCTGCTATGAAGCTGGCAAGGACAATAGGGCCACAAATCCAGGGTGTTAACTCCAGGTGAGGCATGGAGTCTCCCATGTGTGAGGCATGGAGTCTCCCATGTGTGAGGCATGGACTCACTTGAGTAACAGTCACAAAGCAAATCCCTGTGAGTGGACACCCCCAGGTAACCTTCAAGCAGCCATTAGAGGCACTGGACTGTCACTCACAGGCGGAGACAGTCCCCACATGGCTGAACTAACAAGCAGAATTTCCCCTGGGCCATTTGCTCTCCCTTTCTGAGGTTCCTGAACATGTTCTCGGGGCTGGCATGGGCAGAATAATGTGTTGGACAATTTATATTCATGGATGCGAATCTCCAGCGCTGCACTTTTCCCGCTCCCTGGTGCTCCCTTCAGGCCAACCAGTGTATAGTCCCTGCCCATAATCTCCCCACTTGCCCCCCACCAAACTGCTCTCTGGAGTGCCCCTGAGAGCCGCTATTCACACCACTATGCTGTTGTTACTGAATTACCAATCCTGGAATAACCACCTCTTATTATTCACAGCACTTGAAAATTGGAAAAGCTCTTTTGATGACCTAAATGATCACACTGAAGCTTCTCAACAGCCAAGTGGGCAGGGAAGGCAATCACTCCCATTTTATGTGAGATAAAGGTGAGACCCACAGATGTTAAATATCTGGCCCTGGGTCAGGATTTGAATCCTGGGGACTATTTTTGGTGTAACTTGGGAAGTGTCTGAGGGTTCATGCTAAGACGATCTTCCTACATGGCATGGGCTCATTCCCGTGGGCTGTTGGAGGGTTGCTGTGTAACAGAGGAATTTCAGGCTTCAGCCACCAACCTGGCATGGAAACCATGGCATTGGGTTTCCCGGGCCTTTTTTTTCTTTTTTTTTTTTCTTTTTGAGACAGAGTCTCACTCTGTCACCCAGACTGGAGTGCAATGACAACCTCAGCTCACTACAGCCTCCACCTCCCAGGTTCAAGTGATTCTCCTGCCTCAGTCTCCTGAGTAGCTGGATTTACAGGCACCTACCATCATGTCCAGCTAATTTTTTTTTTTTTTTTGTATTTTTGTAGAGACAGGGTTTAACATGTTGATCAGGCTGGTCTTGAACTCCTGAACTCAGGTAATCCACCCACCTCGGCCTCCCAAAGTCCTGGGATTACAGGCGTGAGCCACCATGCCCGGCTGGGTGTCCTGGGCTTTATTGGAGCTCATGGCAGGTTGTCTCTCTTGCTCTGTGAGGCAGCGTGGGTGAGAAAGGACATGGTGCATGGTCCTCCTACCCTCCCCCATAGGGAAATACTTCAAAACACTCAGCAGCCCAGCTGCATCAATGCCTCATCCAGCAAGTTGGCAGGTGGCCCTTGCAGAGCATGCCCTTCCCCGTTTCTGCAGGGCCACCTTATAAGTCAGTGCAGGTCTGGGGCAGGATCCAGGAGACTCGAGTCCTTTTTACTGCCTGTGTGACCTGGAGCAAATCACCCCACCTCTCCACACTTCCATTTCCCACTTGTAAAATGAGAAAGAGCATTCCTGCTGTATGTGGACTATCATGAGGACCAAATAGGAAAGTAGGTTGGAGGAGGCTTTGTACACTGTACCACTGTTACAATCCCAATACTGGCCTTCTGAGGCCCTGGCACCAGCCCTCCTCTTACTGCCCTCAGGTGCTCAACTGGACCTTTCTGGAACCTTGACTGTGTTTGTCTCAGAGTCCATTATTTCAATCCACACTGTACAGTATGTTATGAAAGGGTTTTGCCATTGAAATAGAGTTTGCAAACAGTTGAATCCAATATTTTCCCATCACAGAGAGGGAAACTGAGGCCCAAAAAGAGAAGGTGATTTGCCCAAGATCACTCCGAGAATTCGCAGCAGATTTGGGAATAGAATTCAAGCCAAAAACAGGACCGGGCTTGGTGGCGCATGCCTATAATCCCAACACTTTGGGAGGCCGAGGTGGGCGGATCATGGGGTCAGGAGATGGAGACCACCCGGGCTAACACGGTGAAACCCTGTCTCTACTAAAAACACACACAAAAAAATTAGCCAGGCATGGTGGCAGGCGCCTGTAGTCCCAGCTACTCGGGAGGCTGAGGCAGGAGAATGGCGTGAACCCGGGAGATGGAACTTGCAGTGAGCTTGGATCACGCCACTGCACTCCAGCCTGGGCGACAGAACGAGACTCTGTCTCAAAAAAAAAAAAAAGAATTCAAGCCAAAAACAAATTACAGCTGAACCCTGCAGCCAGCCCTCCCTTAGCCTGTGCCCCACTGTGGACACGATGGACAGCACACACTCCCCAGTGCCGGTGAGACTGAGAGGGGGCCTTCAGCCACAGACTCGGGAAACCTGCTTTGCTGGCTTGTTTTACAGCCTCTCCCTGGAGACCCCCGGCCTCTCCTGTGCATCACCGGATTATTTCTGACTTTGAAGATGATGGGGTGTGGGCCCAGGAGGCCCAGGGACAGGAAGTCTGACTTCTTCATAAACACAGACCCTGGTGCAGGGTCACCAGAAGAACAGAGGTGTGGATGGGAAGGGCATCCTTCCCACTCCTATACCCTGGGGCTGTCTCTGCCAGTCAACTTCGGCCTGAAAGTAAGGAAAATTAGTAGTTGACAGGGTGCTAGAGGCAAGGATGGGGGCTGCTGGGGGTCCAGGGAAATAAGAAAGTCTCGGAGACCTGGAGAACGCTGAAGATATCACCATGTAAGGCAAAGGCTGAGAGCTCAACTACAGTCAATTTCCTTCTTTTTGGGGTCCCATGGAAGCCCCAGCAGGTGTGCCTAGATCCTCGCAAACGAAGCAGGCACAGACGCTCTGACAACAAAGGACCCCCAGCCAAAGGCCCACAGAGAAGGACAATCCACATGTCCTATCCTGCGGTCCTTGTGGTCTTGCTCTCACAGTGTCCATGGTGGACACTATCTGGACCCCCAGCTACCTGCCAACGTCCAGACCTGCAGACACCTTCTCCACCAAAGGAGATATGTTCATCCGGGCTGCGACCCCTTACACACAGCGCTGGACCAGACAGAAGTCAAGTTCCAGCAGCCTCCGGAGCAGCCACTATGCTGACAGTGGGTCATGCTTTTTAATCCCTGGAGAGGGAGAGAGGGAGAGAAGGAGGGAGGGAGGGAGGGGAGGGAGCCACCTTCCCAATCACTGTAGGCAGCTGGGGACTCCAGACCTGTCATACCCACTACAGGGCTCCTGACAGGGAGACCCTTGGCCAGGACAGCGCCCCTCTCCGTGAGTTCCCTCAGAGTCTTTGGGGGTTGGGTGAGAAGTAAGTTGGTGGAAGCCACAGTGAGGGACTGAATCCACACTAGGCTGTGTGTCTTCAAGACATTGTCACAGGTGCCAAGACCCGGCAGTAGGAACACGCACCTGAGCATTAGAGGGTCTGTTCTAGTCCTAGTTCTCTCTGAGCAGCTGAGCAACTGCAAGCAAGGCCTTTTCTCTCTCTGGGTCTCAATGCCCCCCTTTGCACAATGCTAACACTCCTTAAATTTGCTGGACAGCAGAGCCCAGCAACTTCTGCCTGGGCGTGTTTTCAAAATCACGGCAACTAAAGCCATGAGAGGCAAGATGTATCTTCATGGGCACATTCACAGAGAAGGTAGCCCCAGACCCACCCTTGTCAGCAACATGAGCCCACAAATTCAGCTTTCATGCATATCTGAACTGTTTCCAAGGCTTAACTAGTTTTGAACCAGACTTCAATCTGTGAGCCAGCAGTTCCTCTCCAAAAAGATGCCCAGGAAGTATTTAGCTAGACTCCTACATCACCTGCCCCACGTCTGTCTTATTTCTTCCTGAGTTTTTGTCAAAGGCATGCCTGAGTTTTTGTCAAAGGCATGTGCTGTGTGTCTTTTGCCTCTACTCATCACTCTCTGCTTCTGTCTGTCTATGCAGATATCTGCCTGTCTGCCTAGGCCTGCACCCATCTGTCTGCCTGTGTATGTGACTACCAGTCTCTCTATGTGTCTGTGTCACCTGTGTCCTTATCTCTTCTACATCAGAGTGCCTGTCTCTGTGTGTATCTGACTGTTTCTGCATCTGAATAACCTATCCCAGTCCATGTGTCTTCCTGTTTACGTGTCCCGTCCACTCCATAGCCCCTCTGTCAGGTGTCTGCCTGAGTTTGTAGAGCCGATGCTGTTTATGTGCCTCCATTGCTGTCAGCCTCTCTTTGCACTACAATGAGTCTGTGTGTGTCTATCTGCCCACCTGTCACTCTGTGTGTCTCCTTGTCCAACTCTAGGAAACTGCAGCCTTTCTCTAAGTCTATCTGCTTGTGTGCGTGTGTGTTGTGTGTGTGTATGTGTCTAAATCTCTAGAATTCTCCCCTACCCCAATGCTTCTTTAAGCAAATGTACATCTACATTCAGTCCCACCTCTCCTTTGCTCCTCCCAAGGAGGGACTCCCTGGGGCTGTTTTTTGTGGCTCTTTAGAATGCTACTGGCCAAATCTAACTCCTTCTGTCCTTGACCCTCTCTAAGATTCAAAGTCCTCCTTTTCCTGAATGCCCTGAGTCCCCTCTCTTTGCTGTGGCTGAGGCAGAAGGGGCTGCCCGACATCACTGTGGGACTGCAGATTTATGACTCCTGCATCTCAGGGATCCAGGCTCTGGGGAGCACCCTGGCCCTGCTGTCCAATCAGCTTCCACCCACAACCAACTATGCTTGTGGCTCCCAGCAACATCTCCTGGGCGTGGTTGGAGGGATGACCTTCCTGGAGTCAGAGCCCATGTCTGAGCTGCTCTCCATCTACAGAGTCCCTCAGGTGAGAGACATGCCTGGAAAGAGAAAACCACTTAAATACTCTGGCTGGGCACACAATGACAAAGTGCAGCCTGGTAGAAAGATCAGAGCTATGACCTCAAAAAGGTTACTTCCCTGGGCCTGGGATTCTCCCTTTCTACAAAACGGGAGACGAGTATTGGACTAGAACATTTCTGAATGCTGGTCCATGGACTAGTGCTGGTTTGCGGCTATCTTTCTCTGATTTGCAACAGAATGACAAAGAAATGACACAGTGTATGCGCATGTTGGTGTGAGGTCACCAACCCTCCTTAGATGGTGGTTTTATCACTAACTTTTTGTGGCAAAATAAAAATTTGGCAAACTTAGGCTAAACTCCCATAATTGTCCTATCGATGTCTTAAACAGGCTGGAATCCCCAGGATTAATAATCCCTGGAGGCCCTGCACTCGCCAACCAACCATGATCTGAGGGCTGATGACAGCATCTAAGATTTATAACCCAGGCTAGGATCATCTCATTCCTCCTTTGCAGCCTTCCCAGAAATTTGGAAAGTTGAACAAGTGACAAACCATTCCACTGGATTTCTTGATGTTTCTTTGAAACATTTGCCTAGATTTCAGTATGATCTTCAGTATATATTAAATCTGTTAGGCAGGGAGGCAATGTTTATGAAATTATTTCCCAGGTGAAGAATATTTATTTCCCTTGGCATGCCTGAACGGTACCTGACTGCCTGATTGTGACCTTTAAAACTCACCCCCCCAAAAATTAAATATCTTCCCTTGTAAATTCCACTGAGGCTTCAAATGCCACAATTAAAAATATCCAGTTAGATGCAAACACTTTATTCTCTAGGAGGAGTGATATGTACCTATCGTCAGTCAGTCACACCCTAGTAGAAATGAGTTTATCACATGCTTTTTTTCTTCTGCAATATTGGCTGAGAGTAACTCTAATAATAACTATATCTATCATTTACTGGATATTTACTAGTAGAAAGGTGATTTTTAGATCCTTTGCATGTGTTCAAATCCTTAAGATTAAATAAATTAATACATGTAAAACATTTAGAAAAATGCCTGGCTTATAGTAAGTGCAATATCAGTATTTCCTATTGCTATTATCTTCTTTTATTATCTCATTTAATCTTCACAACCCTATGAAATAGATACTATAATTAGTCCCATTTTGCAGATGATGACATTGAACCTGAGAAGAAATGTTACTTGTCCAAAGTCACATAGCTAATAAATAGTATTTTGAGATTAAAACCCAGGGACCTTGATTCCAGGGGAAAAAGAAAGTACAGAAGCAAATAGTAGGGAAACTGCCCTATATGAAACTGCTCCCTCTTTTTGTACTGGTTACTATTTCCAAATGTTTACTGAGCACACCACCACCAGTGGTGTAGAGAATTGTGCTATAGCCACATGTACCATGAGGCACGTGTGAGGCCATAGCCCTATCCTCAGGGATGCTCGCACTCTGGAAGAGAAGGCAAGCATGAACTCATATAACCATAACTCCAGGGCACCCACATGGCTCTCAAAAGGCCTATCTTGAGAGAACTCAGGGCAGAACAACGCAGCCTCAAGCCTCCAAATTAGAATGTTAGGTTACAGTGGCTTAGAATGATGTCTTCTAAGTCAAACCTCAAGACATCTAATTGACAGGATTGCTTTTTCTAGTTTTTTGTTTACATGAAAAGTCTTACAAAGGCATGAAAATAAGTTACTTTTTTAAGATCTTGATTGCCTTAACTAAAAAAGCTGAAGTGCATGAAATTAGTACAATCCCCATGCCTGCAGGCTGCTTTGAGTTCTCATTCAGCACAGCAGGTAGTATTAGACCCAAGACCATTCTCCCCACAGTGCTAGAGAGAAGATGCCTACATCCTAAGTGAGTTCAATTTTTAGGGGATCTAGACCTAGGAGTGTGTGACCTCCAAGGCTGATCCTTAGGAAAACGAATTTAGATTGCCTGAGGTTAACCTCTTCACAAAGGACCCTTGGGCTTGATGCTGGGGAGATGTGGGAGGTGAGCCAGGCATATCCTTAGGACTGGAATGTAACTAAGGGAGTCTCTCTCCTAGATAGATGATAACCCAATCAACTAAAAAGTGGCTCAACCTACGTGGGTGTTTCCGTCCTTTATAAGGGAGAGGATGTCTCAGCCGAGCTAAACTCTGTTTGTCTAGGCAGGTCTGACTTCAGAGCCACAATGGTCCAGTTATTTCTTTGTGCCACAATGCTAGGCTTATGGATAATCCTTCTGAGAATAATTTGGCTTCAGATAGACACTTTCTGTAGGGAGAGAATACACTGACCAGCCAACACAATGTTGGTCACGTTGAAAGTTACATTTCTCACTCTTAGTAAGTGGTGTCTGGTCTTGGCAATGATTTTGGGAAGCCTGCACCATTCCTACCTATACTAGTCATTTCTGGGTGAGTTCCCCTTTCTTGAAACTATGACATCATCTTGTTGCTCACGTACCACTCACCAGGAGATCTTTGAGATTGGCAAGTAGGTTTTGCTCATATTAGTATACGAACTGGCATGTAGCTGTTGTTCAGATCGCATCTGTTGAATGGGTGTGAACCGAGACATTTCTGAAGCTACAGAGCAGATTGTAACCACCGCTGGCACCTCAATGCTTAACATATGCTAAGTGCTACCTTTAACTTGCTAAAAATCCAAGGGAGCTCCAAATGTGTTACATCTTAAGAAATTCTTGAGCATTTTGCAATAGCCCTTGCTGTTGCCGACTCTGGTTTTCCAAAACCCCAGAGTCCCTAAAAATCAAAGGACCCACCTCATTTCATACAACTCACCAACAGAGATCACTGGACAGAGGTGGGCTGGGAAGCCGAAGAGCTAGAAACAATGAAGGGCACTGGCTTGACAGTCAGCAAACCTGGATCTTACAAACGCTAGTTACTGATTATGTGACCTTGACAAATTGAGTCATCTGTCTGAGCTTCACATTCCTCATCTACAAAACGAAGGTAACAAAGGTTAATGATAATGTATTTGCCTCTTAGAGTCATTGTGGATATTAACAATGGAATAACCAGGGCCTGGTACTTAAACCCTCAATGACTGTTAGTTGGAATTGCTATTAGTGATAATGATGATACAATGCAAGCCTGGAAGGAGCAGTTAACTTTGGAGAAAAGCTGGCTCCCACGTCCTCTGTGTAATTTTGCCCAATATAGGGCCAAAGACTCACCAAAAACTTTGAAGTAAAAGAACTTGTCTGCACATATCTGGTAGGACAGCTTCCTTATGGTAGGCTGGGAAAAGTCTGACAGTGAGCCCCTGCACTGACCTGAGGAGCCTGTAGGGGAAGGAAAGCAGGAAGAAGATGAGCAGGAGAGAAGAGAAAAGAACAGGCATTCACTCATGCACTCAACAACTAAGATAAATTGAATGGATCCTGCTTAGAATCTGATTGGAGAGGAAAAGGCATGAACTCGAACAGTCTGAAGTAGAAAGAGTTCAGCAATGATGTGACAAAGGCGATGATCCCAGGGCTGGCATGAACCAAGAATTAAGAACTAGATCTCAGCTTGAGGAGCAGGGATCAGGGAAGGCTGTACGGCAGGTTTGGGACTCCTCAATAAACAGGCCACACTGTGTTTTGTTCTTATCCTCCTCTATCAAAAAAAAAAAAGTGCTCTCTTAATTTCATGACTCTTTCTTAAGTTTAATATTCAACTGACCATAGCACAGCCTTCCAAGTAACTGGAATTACAAGCATGAGCCACCACACCCCCCTACTTTTTGTACTTTTAGCAGAGACAGGGTTTCGCCATGCTGGCCAGGCTAGTCTCGAACTCCTGACCATAGCTCCTGAAATATTTTTTGCTGATAAACAGGTTAAAGAAAACTTAATACATCATATGGGCACCCACTAGGTCTGCCCACCAGAAATCACACTCTACACTGACAACCCCTTCCCCTCTGCTCCAAAAGCCTCCCAGCTTTCCTTAGGCAGGAGGGCTGGAGAGCCTCCAGGTCAAGTGGACTCACCTAAGATTTTTATGTTACCCATCCCCTGATATTAGATTTTCTTGTTATTTTGCTTTACTTGTGTTTCTTCTAAATAGCAAATAACCGGCTTGATTTTTATCCAGTTTGAAAATTTCCCATCTATTATAGTCAAAATCTTTACTCAGCTGCCCCATGACAGGAGAGCTCAATTCTCCCCTCTTTACCTTTGAAAAGGAAAAACCCAGATGAAGGGGCTGCTTTCAAAGGAGTGGGAAGGGATAATGGTGAAACACCTGAAGGACAGCCACAGTCGGAAGCTGTTTCCATCCTTGGGAGAGGAAGCAGAGCTGAGGAAGGCAGCCACTGCCCACCCATGGCTAAGCAGGGAGAAATGAATACCTCAACCTCACTTTCCCCCTACCCCAAGTCTCCCAGCAAGTCTCCTACCAGAAGGCAGAGGGCAGGGCAGCTCTTTGACACAATCCACAAAGATCAGCCCTTCTGGAGCTCAGAGCTATTACAGAGAAGCCTGGAGAGTGTGTCAAGACAGGCAAGTAGAGAATACAGCACGCTCTTCGTAAGTAGGGTAATGTAACCTATCATTTAAGCTGACTGCTGATATGGTTTGATGGTATTCTGCCATCTTATATAATTTCTATTTATTATGCTGGGTCATTGCTTTCTGTTAATAAAACTATAATAATAGAAATAATAGAGATTTTTATTTAGTTTTCTAGTTCTTATGCTTTCTCCCTTTCCTTTTTTTTTTTTTTTTTTTTTTTTTTTTTGAGACAGAGCCTCACTCAGTCACCCAGGCAGGAGTGCAGTGGTGCAATCTTGACTCACTGCAACCTCTGTCTCCCGGGTTCAAGCAATTCTTCTGCCTCAAGTAACTGGAATTACAGGCATGCGCCACCACACCCGGCTAATTTTTGTACTTTTAGTAGAGACAGGGTTTCACCATGCTGGCCAGGCTGGTCTCGAACTCCTGACCTCAATTGATCTGCCCGCCTCAGCCTCCCAAAGTGCTGGGATTACAGGCATGAGCCACTGTGCCCGGCCCTGAATTTTTTTTAATTTGATCATTTTTTCCAATTATTTTCCTTCTGCTGCTTTGGAATTTATATATCTTGTTTTTATTCTATTAACAATTATACAGCTTTTAATTCACTTGAGCCTTTATCTTTCAAATAATGCCAAGAATTATACAATGTATAGAGAGAAACAAAGCCGTTAGCACATCTTTACCTCTCTGCTTCTCCCACCCCCACTGGAAGATATGTTGGCATTCTTTAGTCCGCTGCATTCCTTTCTAAAAACGTCAGTTGGTTTCTTAGGCCTGAGCCCACAGGCTTTCGAAGGACCTGGAAACAGCATATATCAAAGGCCAGTGAGATAATAATTAGAAATAAAAGCCAGAGAGGGAAAAATGAGGCCAAGTTACAAGGCTGGTGAGAACATTTGTGGATCCTGAGCAAGTGTGTTCAGGCCAGGAATGTACAGCTCTGTTCCTTTCCCCCAGATCAGCCATGGATCTCAGCGCCCCCAGTTTTCCAACTGTTTCCAGTTCCCATCCTTCCTCCGCACAGTGCCCAGCAGCACCCACCAGCCTTGAGTCCTGGCCAAGCTCTTGAGTTACTTTAACTGGACCTGAGTAGGCCTGGTCAGTTATGACAACAGCAACTTTGAGTGGCTGGATCAGCAGCTGCAGAAGCAGATCGGGGGCGAGGGTGGCTGCATGGCCTTCTCAAAGATCAGCAGTGTAGATGACAGCATCAACAGCATGGCCACCGTCATTGCCTAAACCCCTGCTGCCACCGTCATTGTCTGTGACTGCTACCATTTTCACTTCAGACTCCTGGCGGGGGCCCTTCAGGAGAACAATGTGAATGGGAGGATGTGGATCTTTTCCACCTCCTTCACATATAACCCCTCGGTGCTGGGTCCCAAAGCCCACGAGTTGCTGAATGGCAGCTTGAGCCTGACCATACACTTAGGAATAATACCTGCCTTTAAGGACTTCCTGTTGGCGCTGCGCCCAGCCGTGTAGCCAGGCAACAGTCTGATGAGGAAGCTGTGGGAGGAGTGCAGGGATACAGGTGGTCTGGATTAGGGGCTTCCATCCAAAGTGCCAGAGAAGGGGCTTGGCATCGCACAGGGCTGGAGAACATGACCACTGCCCACCTGTCTGCCTTCAAACTTCCTGATCTAACTGCCACTTACCAAGCCTACCTGGCAGCCAAAGCCCTGTGGGTTGCCTATCAGAACTTGATGTCCTGCTCTGAGAGAGAGGGACCATTCCTGGGAGGCACGTATGCCAATGCATGGGAAGCCAGGCTTTCTCAGGTGAGTGGCCAAGAAGCCTTTCCCAGTCCCTGTCCATTCCAGCTTTCTGTGAGCTTTAGACTAGCAGAGAGGCAGTGTGGCCTAATGAAAGGAGCATCAAATTTAGAACAAAAGTGATATGGGCTCAAATCTCAATATGGGATTTCTCTGCGGCCTAGTCACTTACCTTTCCTGAGCTTCAGTTCTCTCCTATGTAGATTGAGTATAATAATATATACGTGGTAGGTTGTTATGAAAATAAGAGATCATGCATACAAATGCTGGCTGGTGATTAATGCATGTTATGGGCTACAGCTTTTCTCCAGGTGGTGTGACGCTGCTGCTAATAATGGTGATGACATCAAAACTGCCAAGGGCCTTAGAAATCTGCTGGTCCAGCACGAAGCAGGGAGATCACCAAAAAGGGGAGGCAGAGCTGGAAGAGAACACAGCTGTCCTGCCATCCAGGTCACTACATGCCAATGCTGATATGCAACAAAAACCATATGAGATTCACAGTAGGAAAGAGTTAACCACAAAGTTAGAAAACTGGTAAATCTGCAATGTAAAACATCCAATCCAGCACAGACACCCATTCTTCATGGGCTGCTCAGGGATAAGGACAGGAAGGGAAGGGAGGTGGTGTTTTCCTCGTAGTCAGAGAGGTAATGCTAGAACAAGCTCAAAGAGATGAAATAGAGTTCAGAGGACAAAGGCCTCAACCAACAACACCAAGAGAAGAACACTAGGTTTTCAGCTAGAGGAAGAGCTGAGTCTGAGTGCTTGGCCTAGTCATCAGCCTTCTCTGTGTTCGAGGTCTTTTTTCCTCTCTGGTCATTAGGTACTTTAATCAAAAAGACCTTGGGCTGGGCACAGTGGCTCATACCTGTAATCCCAGCACTTTGGGAAGCAGGTGGATCACTTAGCGTCAGGAGTTCAAGACCAGCCTGGCCAACATGGTAAAACTCTGTCTCTACTAAAAATACAAAAATTAACCAGGTGTAATGGCGTTGTCTATAGTCCCAGCTACTCAGGAGGCTGAGGCATGAGAATCACTTGAACCTGGGAGGCAGGGTTGCAGTGAGCCAAGATGGCACCACTGCACTCCAGCTTGGGTGACAGAGTGAGACTCCATCTCAAAAAAAAAAAAAAAAAAAAAAAAACCTGAATTGTATAACCATGGAAGCCTTAGGAAAGTGGGTACAGATCAGTAATTTTTACAGTGTGCTTCTTGGAGCCTTAGAGTTCTACAGGGAGCCTTAGGTGCCCCCACTGATGGAACACTTCTTCAGGCAGTGAGAGGCTTGGGGATGGGGCTCTGGACCCCATAGCTGCCTACACCAACCAGAGATGCTCTATTTTCTCTGCCTAATATATTAGTGTGAAGCATAAGATTTTTCTTGAAAAGTAGCAACTAATGGACTAGATAAGGGGTCAAAAATTTTCTCAGTAAAGAGCCAGATAGTAAATGTTTTCAGATTTTCAAACCATGCAGCCTCTATCACAACTACTCAACTCTGCTGTTGTAGTGCAAATGCAGCCATAGAAAATCCACAAACAAATCAATCTGACTGTGTTCAACAAAACTTTATTTATGAACACTGAAATAGGAGTTTCATGTATTTTCCATATATCATAAAGTATTACTCTTCTTTTAATTTTTTTCAACTACTTAAAAATGTAAAAGTCATTATTAATTCACACATCACACAGAAAAACAGGTGCCAGACTAACTTTAGTCTACAGGCAGTAGTTTGCCTACCTGTGGACTAGAAAATCTCCAGCAGAAGGAAGGGAGATGATGACAGCTGCCTCTTAATAGCATTCATAAGACTCTTATTAAAGATACCAGAGGTCTAGGTCCAACAGAGAGAACTGGCTCTGACAGCGAAGGTCAACTGTTAAATTTTCAGGAATTGTGCAAGTCATTGTTAAACCACTGGTAGCTTCAATCTAGCCATAGTGGGAGTATTTACACCAGGGAAATCAGCAAACACCAAAAAGACTGGCTTCCTTTCTTAGAGAGCCAGTTGTTAAACATTAAGTACATATTGCAAATAGCCATGCAAAGTTTTAGAAATAAAGTCAAAGTAGAGCAAAAATCCTTTTAATATTAAAAGAAGGTTGTCTTAGTCCATTTGTGCTGCTATAACAAAGTAGCACAGACTGGGTAACTTATAAATAATAGAAATATATTGCTTACAGTTCAGGAGGCTGGGAAGTCCAAGATCAAGGCACCAGCATGCAGTGTCTGGTAAGGGTCTTCTTGGTGCTTACATGGCTGAAGATAGAAGGTAGAAGGGCAAAAGGGGCCTAAGTTAGTAGTTGCCTCCAGCATTTTTTTTTTTTTAGAGATAGAGTCTCGCTCGGTTGCCCAGGCTGGAGTACAGTGGTACGATCATGGCTCACTGCAGCCTCTACCTCCCAGGCTCAGGCAATCCTCCTACCTCAGCCTCCTGAGTAGCTGGGACTACAGGCACATGCCACCATGCCTGGCTACATTTTTGTATTTTCTGCAAACATGGGGTTTCACTATGGTGCCCAGACTAGTCTCAAACTCCTGGTCTCAAGTGATCCTTCTGCCTCAGCCTCCCAAAGTGCTGGGATTACAGACGTAAGCCACCACATCCAGCCTCCTCCAGCCCTTTTACAAAGAACTAATTCATTCATAAGGGTGACTTAATCACCTCTGAAACTGCCCCACCTCTTAGTACCACCACAATGATAATTAAGTTTCAACATGAATTTTAGAGGAGACACAAACATCCAAACCATAGCAAAGATCTTCAAACTAGGCTCAGCTTCTTTAAGAAGGCTTTTAGGTAATTTCATCGGTGCTTATGTAGTATAAGTTCTTAAGGGCTCTAAGAAAAATAACAGTAAACACCTTTTTAGTGTTTTTTATGTTGAGTTATATGCTAAGCACTTTTATGTATTAATGCATTTAATTTTCAAGATAATCCTATGGTGTAGGTCCCCTTTTTACAGATGAGAAGGTTAAGATCTACAAAGAGCAAGATCTACAAAGTCACATCACTGATTCAGATAGAGTGAGGAATGTCACCAGGAATCTTGGCTCAGGACTCTAGAACCAGTTCCTCCCAACCAAGTCATTTGCTCAAACTTCATCCTCTAGTTCTTATGAATTTTCATAGCCCAGTTCAACACACACACATATATTTGACTGGTGCAAAAATAATTGTGTTTTGTTGTTCTTGTTGTTGTTTGAGACAAAGTCTTGCTCTGTCGCCCAGGCTGGAGTGCAGTGGTGCGATCTTGGCTCACTGCAACCTCCACCTCCTGGGTTCAAGTGATTCTTCTGCCTCAGCCTCCCAAGTAACTGGGACTTCAGGCACGCACCACCATGCCTGGCGAATTTTTGTATTTTTAGTAGAGATGGGGTTTTACCATGTTGCCCAGGCTGGTCTCAAAACTTCTGACCTCAAGTGATCCGCCCACCTCGGCCTGGGATCACAGGCATGAGCCGCCACACCTGGCCTCAACGCATGCATTTTTATGCCACAAGTATTTACTAAGCACTTGTATTTTCATGCACTTTACATACTAAGCACAAGTATTTTCATGCACTTGGAGTAATGAGGGATACAGAAATGTACAAAATGTGTGCTTGCCTCAAGATGTTTATATTGTAGTTGAAAGAGTAATAAATATGCAAAAATATTGGTATTGGTATTGGTAAAAATGGCACTTGCAGGAGTGGGAAAGTGATATAGCTAATTCAAAGCATGGGATGGCCAATGGAAAAGAACAGTAGAAGGAAAGGTTGGAAAGGCGGGTAGGAGCTCTATTATAAAGAACCTCAAATGTCTTCTTAAAGAGTTCCAGGTTTCTGGAAAAGATGACCACCTCTTTTCCTAATTACAAAATCAAAGCCAATCCCACCTTTTCCAAAGATGTTTGAAGATCAAACCACTGGATCTAAAGTCACTAGAGGGATTCCTGAAGGCACTCTGCTTATCTTCCTTTTTCTACTATTTCTTTTTCAGCTTTATTCAGGTATAATTAACAAATAAAAATTGTATGTATTCATGGGGCACAATGTGATGATTTGATAGGCATATACATTGTGTAATGGTTACCATAATAAAACTAATTAACACATCCATCACCACCCATAGTCACCATTTGTGTGGGAGGGTGAGGGGAAATAAGGACACTCAAAATCTGCTTTCTTATCAAATTTCAAGTAAACAATACTGTATTATTAACTACAGTCACTATGGTGGATATTAGATCCCCAGAACTGGTGGTTGGGATGGGGGATGGAGGATGAAGGAGATGGGGAAATATTGGTGCAAACTCCCTTTTCTGCTTTTTAAGCTGTTCCGAAAAAGAATGTTGACAGGGTTTTGATAGTCACATAATCCAAGAGTGTCTCAGCCATGAAGAGTTAGAATACACTGAAAAGATACTTCTTAGTTTATATCCGCTTTACTGTGAATTAAATATTTTTATTTTATATATATATTTTATATATATATAATTTATATATATATATATTTTATATATATATATATTTTTTAATTTTATTATTATACTTTAAGTTTTAGGGTACATGTGCACAATGTGCAGGTTAGTGACATATGTATACATGTGCCATGCTGGTGTGCTGCACCCATTAACTCGTCATTTAGCATTAGGTATATCTCCTAATGCTATCCCTCCCCCCTCCCCCCACCCCACAACAGGCCCCAGAGTGTGATGTGCCCCTTCCTGTGTCCATGTGTTCTCATTGTTCAATTCCCACCTATGAGTGAGAACATGTGGTGTTTGGTTTTTTGTCCTTGCGATAGTTTACTGAGAATGATGATTTCCAATTTCATCCATGTCCCTGCAAAGTACATGAACTCATCATTTTTTATGGCTACATAGTATTCCACGGTGAATATGTGCCACATTTTCTTAATCCAGTCTATCATTGTTGGACATTTGGGTTGGTTCCAAGTCTTTGCTATTGTGAATAGTGCCACAATAGCATACGTGTGCATGTGTCTTTATAGCAGCATGATTTATAGTCCTTTGGGTATATACCCAGTAATGGGATAGCTGGGTCAAATGGTATTTCTAGTTCTAGATCCCTGAGGAATCGCCACACTGACTTCCACAATGGTTGAACTAGTTTACAGGCCCACCAACAGTGTAAAAGTGTTCCTATTTCTCCACATCCTCTCCAGCACCTGTTGTTTCCTGACTTTTTAATGATTGCCATTCTAACTAGTGTGAGATGGTATCTCATTGTGGTTTTGATTTGCATTTCTCTGATGGCCAGTGATGGTGAGCATTTTTTCATGTGTTTTTTGGCTGCATAAATGTCTTCTTTTGAGAAGTGTCTGTTCATGTCCTTCGCCCACTATTTGATGGGGTTGTTTGTTTTTTTCTCCTAAATTTGTTTGAGTTCATTGTAGATTCTGGATATTAGCCCTTTGTCAGATGAGTAGGTTGTGAAAATTTTCTCCCATTTTGTAGGTTGCTTGTTCACTCTGATGGTAGTTTCTTTTTTTTTTTTTTTTCCTTTTTTTCTTTTTTTTTATTATTATTATACTTTAAGTTTTAGGGTACATGTGCACATTGTGCAGGTTAGTTACATATATATACATGTGCCATGCTGGTGCGCTGCACCCACTAACTCGTCATCTAGCATTAGGTATATCTCCCAATGCTATCCCTCCCCCCTCCCCCGACCCCACCACAGTCCCCAGAGTGTGATATTCCCCTTCCTGTGTCCATGTGATCTCATTGTTCAATTCCCACCTATGAGTGAGAATATGCGGTGTTTGGTTTTTTGTTCTTGCGATAGTTTACTGAGAATGATGGTTTCCAATTTCATCCATGTCCCTACAAAGGACATGAACTCATCATTTTTTATGGCTGCATAGTATTCCATGGTGTATATGTGCCACATTTTCTTAATCCAGTCTATCATTGTTGGACATTTGGTTCCAAGTCTTTGCTATTGTGAATAATGCCGCAATAAACATACGTGTGCATGTGTCTTTATAGCAGCATGATTTATAGTCATTTGGGTATATACCCAGTAATGGGATGGCTGGGTCAAATGGTATTTCTAGTTCTAGATCCCTGAGGAATCGCCACACTGACTTCCACAATGGTTGAACTAGTTTACAGTCCCACCAACAGTGTAAAAGTGTTCCTATTTCTCCACATCCTCTCCAGCACCTGTTGTTTCCTGACTTTTTAATGATTGCCATTCTAACTGGTGTGAGATGATATCTCATAGTGGTTTTGATTTGCATTTCTCTGATGGCCAGTGATGATGAGCATTTTTTCATGTGTTTTTTGGCTGCATAAATGTCTTCTTTTGAGAAGTGTCTGTTCATGTCCTTCGCCCACTATTTGATGGGGTTGTTTGTTTTTTTCTCCTAAATTTGTTTGAGTTCATTGTAGATTCTGGATATTAGCCCTTTGTCAGATGAGTAGGTTGTGAAAATTTTCTCCCATTTTGTAGGTTGCTTGTTCACTCTGATGGTAGTTTCTTTTTTTTTTTTTTTTCCTTTTTTTCTTTTTTTTTATTATTATTATACTTTAAGTTTTAGGGTACATGTGCACATTGTGCAGGTTAGTTACATATATATACATGTGCCATGCTGGTGCGCTGCACCCACTAACTCGTCATCTAGCATTAGGTATATCTCCCAATGCTATCCCTCCCCTCTCCCCCGACCCCACCACAGTCCCCAGAGTGTGATATTCCCCTTCCTGTGTCCATGTGATCTCATTGTTCAATTCCCACCTATGAGTGAGAATATGCGGTGTTTGGTTTTTTGTTCTTGCGATAGTTTACTGAGAATGATGGTTTCCAATTTCATCCATGTCCCTACAAAGGACATGAACTCATCATTTTTTATGGCTGCATAGTATTCCATGGTGTATATGTGCCACATTTTCTTAATCCAGTCTATCATTGTTGGACATTTGGTTCCAAGTCTTTGCTATTGTGAATAATGCCGCAATAAACATACGTGTGCATGTGTCTTTATAGCAGCATGATTTATAGTCATTTGGGTATATACCCAGTAATGGGATGGCTGGGTCAAATGGTATTTCTAGTTCTAGATCCCTGAGGAATCGCCACACTGACTTCCACAATGGTTGAACTAGTTTACAGTCCCACCAACAGTGTAAAAGTGTTCCTATTTCTCCACATCCTCTCCAGCACCTGTTGTTTCCTGACTTTTTAATGATTGCCATTCTAACTGGTGTGAGATGATATCTCATAGTGGTTTTGATTTGCATTTCTCTGATGGCCAGTGATGATGAGCATTTTTTCATGTGTTTTTTGGCTGCATAAATGTCTTCTTTTGAGAAGTGTCTGTTCATGTCCTTCACCCACTTTTTGATGGGGTTGTTTGTTTTTTTCTTGTAAATTTGTTTGAGTTCATTGTAGATTCTGGATGTTAGCCCTTTGTCAGATGAGTAGGTTGCGAAAATTTTCTACCATGTTGTAGGTTGCCTGTTCACTCTGACGGTAGTTTCTTTTGCTGTGCAGAAGCTCTTTAGTTTAATTAGATCCCATTTGTCAATTTTGGCTTTTGTTGCCATTGCTTTTGGTGTTTTGGACATGAAGTCCTTGCCCACGCCTATGTCCTGAATGGTAATGCCTAGGTTTTCTTCTAGGGTTTTTATGGTTTTAGGTCTAACGTTTAAATCTTTAATCCATCTTGAATTGATTTTTGTATAAGGTGTAAGGAAGGGATCCAGTTTCAGCTTTCTACATATCGCTAGCCAGTTTTCCCAGCACCATTTATTAAATAGGGAATCCTTTCCCCATTGCTTGTTTTTCTCAGGTTTGTCAAAGATCAGATAGTTGTAGATATGCGGCATTATTTCTGAGGGCTCTGTTCCGTTCCATTGATCTATATCTCTGTTTTGGTACCAGCACCATGCTGTTTTGGTTACTGTAGCCTTGTAGTATAGTTTGAAGTCAGGTAGTGTGATGCCTCCAGCTTTGTTCTTTTGGCTTAGGATTGACTTGGCGATGCGGGCTCTCTTTTGGTTCCATATGAACTTTAAAGTAGTTTTTTCCAATTCTGTGAAGAAAGTCATTGGTAGCTTGATGGGGATGGCATTGAATCTGTAAATTACCTTGGGCAGTATGGCCATTTTCACGATACTGATTCTTCCTACCCATGAGCATGGAATGTTCTTCCATTTGTTTGTGTCCTCTTTTATTTCCTTGAGCAGTGGTTTGTAGTTCTCCTTGAAGAGGTCCTTCACATCCCTTGTAAGTTGGATTCCTAGGTATTTTATTCTCTTTGAAGCAATTGTGAATGGGAGTTCACTCATGATTTGGCTCTCTGTTTGTCTGTTGTTGGTGTATAAGAATGCTTGTGATTTTTGTACATTGATTTTGTATCCTGAGACTTTGCTGAAGTTGCTTATCAGCTTAAGGAGATTTTGGGCTGAGACGATGGGGTTTTCTAGATAAACAATCATGTCGTCTGCAAACAGGGACAATTTGACTTTCTCTTTTCCTAATTGAATACCCTTTATTTCCTTCTCCTGCCTGATTGCCCTGGCCAGAACTTCCAACACTATGTTGAATAGGAGTGGTGAGAGAGGGCATCCCTGTCTTGTGCCAGTTTTCAAAGGGAATGCTTCCAGTTTTTGCCCATTCAGTATAATATTGGCTGTGGGTTTGTCATAGATAGCTCTTATTATTTTGAAATACGTCCCATCAATACCTAATTTATTGAGAGTTTTTAGCATGAAGGGTTGTTGAATTTTGTCAAAGGCTTTTTCTGCATCTATTGAGATAATCATGTGGTTTTTGTCTTTGGCTCTGTTTATATGCTGGATTACATTTATTGATTTGCGTATATTGAACCAGCCTTGCATCCCAGGGATGAAGCCCACTTGATCATGGTGGATAAGCTTTTTGATGTGCTGCTGGATTCGGTTTGCCAGTATTTTATTGAGGATTTTTGCATCAATGTTCATCAAGGATATTGGTCTAAAATTCTCTTTTTTGGTTGTGTCTCTGCCCGGCTTTGGTATCAGAATGATGCTGGCCTCATAAAATGAGTTAGGGAGGATTCCCTCTTTTTCTATTGATTGGAATAGTTTCAGAAGGAATGGTACCAGTTCCTCCTTGTACCTCTGGTAGAATTCGGCTGTGAATCCATCTGGTCCTGGACTCTTTTTGGTTGGTAAACTATTGATTATTGCCACAATTTCAGAGCCTGTTATTGGTCTATTCAGAGATTCAACTTCTTCCTGGTTTAGTCTTGGGAGAGTGTATGTGTCGAGGAATGTATCCATTTCTTCTAGATTTTCTAGTTTATTTGCGTAGAGGTGTTTGTAGTATTCTCTGATGGCAGTTTGTATTTCTGTGGGATCGGTGGTGATATCCCCTTTATCATTTTTTATTGTGTCTATTTGATTCTTCTCTCTTTTTTTATTAGTCTTGCTAAAAAATATATATATATATATTTTTTTTTTTAAGATGGAGTCCTTGCTCTATTGCCCAGGCTGGAGTGCAGTGGTGCGATCTCAGCTGACTGCAACCTCCACCTCCTGAGTTCAAGGGTTCAAGCAATTCTTCTGTCTCAGCCTCCCAAGTAGCTGGGGCTACAGCATGTGCCACCATGCCCGGCTATTTTTTTTTTTTTTTTTGTATTTTTAGTAGAGGTGGGGTTTCACCATGTTGGCCACGCTGGTCTCAAACTCCTGATCTCGGCCTGCTAAAGTGCTGGGATTACAGGCGTGAGCCACCATGGCCAGCCTAATTGATATATTGAAATAATCATTCATATTCATGAGATACAGTGTGATATTTCAGTACATGTATACAATATGTAATGATCAAATCAGGGTAATTCGCAAATCCATATCTGCTTTTAGTCAAAACACATTTTTTTATCAGCCACACTTCTTTGTGCCTTGAAGGCAGGACTGAGTTTTTCTATCCTAGGTACCAATCCTAACTGGCACAAAGAAGGATGCTAAGTAATTCGTATGGATGGATTGTAAAAAACTGGATAGGTTCCTATTCATAAGACCAGCCTATCTGTGAAGCAGTCTTAGGCAAGATCTAGTGTTTCAGATCCCCATTATCTTGTCTTTCACTTCCCTACCCTGGCCCCTATAGATTAACACAAACTTGGAACATGAGAAAACAGAGCTCTTTTTTCATAAAGTGTGCAGAGATAAGATGCCTCCCTCCAAGGCACAAACAAGCATAGATATGGGAGAACTGTCCAGTGATGTGGAGGAAGGGCTCCTAATGTGAGACGGAGTCTCTCTCTGTCACCAGGCTGGGGTGCAGTGGTGAGATCTTGGCTCACCGCAACCTCCGCCTTCTGAGTTCAAGCGATTCTTCTGCCTCAGCCTCCTGAGTAGCTGAGATTACTTGTGCCCACCATCACGGCAAGCTAATTTTTTTTTTTTTTTTTGTATCATTAGTAGAGATGAGGTTTCACCATGTTGGCCAGGCTGGTCTGAAACTCCTGACCCCGTGATCTGCCTGCCTCTGCCTCCCAAAGTGCTGGGATTACAGGTATGAGTGACTGTGCCCAGCTGCTCTTAATCAATTTTTTACTGTTATCTTCCATCCCTCTTTCAGGTGCTCCATTATGCCTGAAAGGTTAACTTCACCACCAAAGCCCAAGAAGAGGTTTTCTTCGCCAAAGATGGGGAAGTGCTGACAACGTTTGACATTAAAAACATCTATGTTCTCCCAGACCTGTCAGGACAGACAGCCATTGTTGGACACTTTGACTTCAGAGCACCTTCTGGAAAAGAGCTTCTGTTGGATGACAGCGCAATTGTCTGGGCAGAAGGACCCTTAAAGATTAGAGCTGAGAGAACCCTAAGAACCAAGACCACACAGCACCTCTCACATCCCAAGCTCCAGGAGTATTTGTCATATTGAACTCACTTAGGATACTGGGTCAAAAAGGGGTGGATTATTGACTTACACAACTTTGAGGCTGTTCAGTAAATAAAACCTTCCAAACTCCCTGGCTCCCAAAATTAGGGACCTTGCTAAAGGCAAAGATAACTAATGAGCAAATGGGAAAACAAATTAGATACAATTGTCAATTCAAGTTTACCCTGAGATGGTCAACTCCAGATACCTAGAGATACTACTGATTTAGCCTTGCAGACTTATGTCAAGAAATAGGCAATCGATGCTGAGCTTTTTTAAGCAGTGGAAAATAACCCATGGAATCCCATTAGTCCTTTCCCAGACCCCTAAGTATCTAAGGTCACCAGAGGGAGAAATTCTTTTTTTTTCTTTTTTTTTAAGATGGAGTTTCCCTCTTGTTGCCCAGGCTGGAATGCAATGGCGTGATCTCAGCTCACTGCAACCTCTGCCTCCCAGGTTCAAGTGATTCTCCTGCCTCAGCCTCCAGAGTAGCTGGGATTACATGCACCCACTACCACGCCCAGCTAACTTTTTGTATTTTTAGTAGAGACGGGGTTTCACCATGTTGGCCAGGTCGGTCTCAAACTCCTGACCTCAGACGATCCACCCGCCTCAGCCTCCCAAAGTGCTGGAATTACAGGTGTGAGCCACCACGATCAGCTGAGAAATTCTAATTTAAGTGCAGTTACATCTCAACTATCATCATGCCTCCTGCAGTTTCCTTTAACTTGTGTAGGCAGGGTTAAACACTCCCTTCACTGAGCAACAATAGCATTTTTCACATACCTCTATGATAAGAGTAAGAAAATGACTATAACTGGTATAATATGTTCTATAATACGTTCTATCTCTTTTCTCCGTGATTTCAAACTTGTTCCCACTGGTCTCACCTTAGTCAGGCATATGGTTTTTTATTCCCATGACTATCACACCTCAATGTCCAAATCATCCCACCCTGAGAGGAGGGAACAAAGTTGCTTATGAACAAGGAAGCAGAATAGAGTTCCAGGGAAGAAATTAGCATTGTCGCCCCACAGGCAAGGGGCTGACCCCACCTGTTGAGATCTTCACTCAGTACTGTTTCAGGTATCTCGCAGCCCAGGTACTTATCTTCTCTCTTGCTTCTCCTTCCTCAGACCACAGAATCCATGCATCAGACCTTTCTAAGGAAATTCATTCTGCAAGCATGATCTGAATCTCAGTTGCTCCCAACTTGGAGTGATTTTGCCTCTCATGGGACAATGACAATGTATGGAGACAGTTTTGGTTGTCACAACTTGAGGGAGTGCTGCTGGCATCCAGTGGGGCAGGGGCCAAGGTTGCTGCTAAATGCCCTAAGATGCACAGGACAGTTCTCCATAACAAAGAATTATCCAGCCCCTGTGTCAGTAGTGCTGAGGTTTAGACACCCTGGACTCAAGGAACCCTAGAGTGGTGCTGAGGCTTAGGTAGTGTTTGTAGTCTTTGTTTCTGATTCACTGTGGATGACCCAGTTCTGTTGGGGCTAGGGGAAAATTAGTCCCTTAAATATAAACAAAGGGATTTGATGAGCCTAGAGTGAAAGACAGACTCTTCAGTTAACACTTCGGAATATGATCCCAGCTCACTAGCACTTGTCATGCACTCATGATTCTGGTCACTATGATATGGACTTCACTTACATTGTCTTATTTAATCCCAACACCACCTTCAAAGCACATATC
This sequence comes from Homo sapiens, assembly GCF_000001405.40. Classification (NCBI taxonomy): domain Eukaryota; kingdom Metazoa; phylum Chordata; class Mammalia; order Primates; family Hominidae; genus Homo; species Homo sapiens. Next base: position 58,045,538 of record NC_000011.10, on the reverse strand, counting down.
ATTATGGCCAGGCGTGGTGGCTCACGTCTGTGATCTCAGCACTTTTGGAGGCCAAGACAGATGGATCATTTGAGGTCAGGAGTTCGAGACCAGCCTGGCCAATATGGTGAAACCCTGTCTCTACTAAAAATACAAAAATTGGCCCGGCGGTAGTGGCACGCATCTGTAATCCCAGCTACTTGGGAGGCTGAGGCAGGAGAATCGCTTGAACCCGGGAGGCGGAGGTTGCAGTGAGCCAAGATTGTGCCACTGAACTCCAGCCTGGGTGACAGAGTGAGGTCCTGTCTCAAAAAAACAAACAAACAAAAAATACATATTATTACTACAACTTGAGTATCCCTTATCCGAATTGCTTGGGACCAGAAGTGTTTTGGATTTCAGATTTTTTCAGATTTTGAAATATTTGCATATGCATAAGGAAATATCTTGGGGATAGGATCCAAGTCTAAATATGAAATTCATTTATGTTTCATATACCACTTATACACATAGTCTGAAGGTAATTTTTTACAATATTTTTAACTATATCATGCATGAAACAAAGTTTGTTTATGTCAAGTCAGGTGTGGAATTTTCCACTTGAGGCATCATGTTGGCACTCAAAAAGTTTTGGATTTTGGAGCATTCCAGATTTCAGATTTTCAAATTAGGGATGCCCCATCTATATCTCCATTTTATTGAAGAGGAATCTGAAGCTTAGAGATGTTAAGCCCAAGGCACGCAAACCATAAAGGGCAGAACCAGAATTCCAACCATCAAGATGTCTTGTTTTCCCACCACACTCGAAATCCGGAAGAGCTTATTCTTACCTATCACTGTTTCCCTAACACCCTGTACAGTACCTGATATACGGAACACATTTTTAATTATCTGAGCAAGAAATGGAGAAAGAGGAAAATGAAAGAGAGTAGAAAAGGAAAACGTGATAAAGAGGGGTTTAATAAAGGAAGGAGTAAGAGAAAGAAAGAGAGAGAGGGACCTAGTAAGTGAAAACGATGAGGCTTATTCCTCCACGACCTGACTGCACAGATGTCGCTCAATTCCCCCTGCAGTCTCCCCAGCACTCTCTCCCCTCCACTCTCCCACCTCTTGTGTGTAGGTCCCTTCCTCTGTCTGCAACGAAAAACGTCCTGTGGAAACCAGGAAGTCAACCCTATTTGAGAAGTCAAAATGCTGCTACAAAAGCCTTCCCTGACCCAGAAGAGAAATCGCAATGTCACCAGGTAAGGAGGGAGGCTGGTTCTTGGTCAGAGGGTGGCCAGCCATCAGCCAGAGTAGACTTCAGATGAAAGCTGTGTCCACATCAAGGAAATTCCTTCAATGGAAAAGTCCAGGGAAGTCGAGACCAAAAAGAAGATGTCAATGTGACCTTCCTAGATGCTACATTAAAGCCATTTGAGGCTATTAAATTCATTCTTTCTTTTATCAACCATGAGTTTGTTCAAATCCTGTACTTAGTTTAACATTTGCCATATGGTAGGCATTTCATAAATGTTTAAAAAGAATTACCCTAATGACATAATCTTTATTTTACTAAGATGTCATTCATTCAACAGATATCAACTGGCACCAACCATATACAACCACTGTGCTGGGTGCAAGGGTACCAACAACAAATAAGCCATGGTCCTGGACCCACAGAGCTCAGGATATATTAAAAGAGAATGATACTGGACCCCTACACCTAGCACAGCTCATCTCTCAATAAAGAAACTAGACTATAAAGTGAAGTCAATACTGTAATAAATAAATAAATATTCAAGCATCGAGCTGTGAAAGCACGTTGGAACAATTAATTCTAACAAATAGGCAGGGAGACTTGGCAATGCAAGGGGTGGCATGTGACACAGGCCTTAAACAACAAGCAAGGTTTCAAAGGCAATGAAGCATAATAAGGATATTCCAGGCCAAGGAGGAAGTTATTATAGTAAAGGCATGAAAGCAATAAGGAGCTGAGAGTGGTTTCAGCATCAATTGTGATGCAAGATATAGGAAGCAGGTGGTCAGATCATAGAGGACTTTACCTGCTGGACTCTGGAGCATGGACTCTATTCTATAGAAAATGGGGAGGAGCCTCTGAACTACTTCAGTATAAAAGCAATGTGTATTTCAGTGTGTGTCTTGGGGAAATGAATAGACAAATAGACAAAGGAGGGAGATTGGAGCAGGAAGACCAGGTTCAGAATCCAGGTAATTGTTGAAGCCACAGGTTTGGATGAAGTCTCTTCAAAACTCTCCCTGGGAAAGTAGAGACTTTGGAAATACCTTTTGCCCTTTTGAAGAGAAAGTTTCCACCGAATGAAGCTGAGAAGGAACCACCAGGTGCTGAAGAGAGGATGACACAAATGAGAAATCCTTGAACTTAGACACTAGGAAGACATGGAATCAAAGTATCTAGGACCCTACAAATATATCCAAATCAAGGAAAGAGATCAAATTGTCCCTATTTGCAGACGACATGATTGTATATCTAGAAAACCCCATTGTCTCAGCCCAAAATCTCCTTAAGCTGATAAGCAACTTCAGCAAAGTCTCAGGATATAAAATCAATGTACAAAAATCACAAGCATTCTCACACACCAATAACAGACAAACAGAGAGCCAAATCATGAGTGAACTCCCATTTACAATTGCTTCAAAGAGAATAAAATACCTAGGAATCCAACTTACAAGGGATGTGAAGGACCTCTTCAAGGAGAACTACAAACCACTGCTCAAGGAAATAAAAGAGGATACAAACGAATGGAAGAACATTCCATGCTAATGGGTAGGAAGAATCAATATCGTGAAAATGGCCATACTGCCCAAGGTCATTTATAGATTCAATGCCATCCCCATCAAGCTACCAATGACTTTCTTCACAGAATTGGAAAAAACTACTTGAAAGTTCATATGGAAACAAAAAAGAGCCCGCATCGCCAAGTCAATCCTAAGCCAAAAGAACAAAGCTGGAGGCATCACACTACCTGACTTCAAACTATACTACAAGGCTACAGTCACCAAAACAGCATGGTACTGGTACCAAAACAGTGATATAGATCAATGGAACGGAACAGAGCCATCAGAAATAACGCCGCATATCTACAACTATCTGATCTTTGACAAACCTGAGAAAAACAAGCAATGGGGAAAGGATTCCCTATTTAATAAATGGTGCTGGGAAAACTGGCTAGCCATATGTAGAAAGCTGAACCTGGATCCCTTCCTTACACCTTATACAAAAATTAATTCAAGATGGATTAAAGACTTAAACGTTAGACCTAAAACCATAAAAACCCTAGAAGAAAACCTAGGCATTACCATCCAGGAAAGAGATCAAATAAGAATAAATGACTATTCCAGGGCTCAGGCCACAAAATACATCCTTAAAATCACTATGGAATACAAAACTGTTAAGTTTTGTTAATATTGTTATTTAGAGAAGGGTAGCACGGTTTAAAAAGAGAATCTGTGTACATACTAAGCACTCCATAAACATTCCTTAAACTAAATTGGCTGATGCCTGAATAAATCTGTAAATTAATTAGCTGTGGCTATGAATTACAACATTACCACAATGGTTGGTCAATTTAAAGGGATCCTAGACAGGAGTTGGAGCTTCCATAGGTGGTTGTCTCAGTGTTATTTCATGATAGTCTGATGCATGATAAGCAGCTGCTGTCAGGATTTCTGCCATCTGTGTCTTTGGCCCTGAATCCGAGGACATCAGACAATCTGGAAGGCCCATCCAATTGAGACTGAAATGCACCAAAGCCTGCTAGATAAGCCATCACAAGTTGTAGAACTGCTTGACCACGGAAAAATTTCCAAAAGCTTCCCCACTCTGTTGTCTGACCCAGTTTCTCTTTCTCCCTTCAGATAGTGTTGCATGTCAGAAGTGCTCTGACAACCAGTGGCCCAATGTGCAGAAGGGCGAGTGCATCCCCAAAACCCTTGACTTCTTGTTCTATCACAAGCCCCTTGACACAGCGTTGGCTGTCTGCACAGCCCTGCTCTTTCTCCTTGCCCTGGCCATCTTAGGCATCTTCGTCTGACACCACCACACTCCCATCATCCGAGCCAACAACTGCCAGCTCAGCTATCTCCTGCTGTCCTCCTTGGCCCTCAGCTTCCTCTGCCCCTTCATGTTCATTGGCCACCCAGACCCCATCACTTGTGCTGTGCACCAGGCAGATTTTGGGGTCACCTTCATGGTCTGCACATCCACTGTGCTGGCCAAGACCATCGTGGTGGTGGCAGCCTTCCATGCCACCCAGGCAGACACCCAGCTTAGGGGGTGGGCGGGGACAGTCCTCCTCAGCACCATCCTCACTGTTCCCTGACCCAGGCAGCCTTGTGTGCACTCTGGGTGACCAGATGGCCCCCTCAGCCTGTGAAACTCTACAGAACCCTGGCCCACAGTGACTGTAAAGTGTGATAAAGGCTCCTTGGAACTTCTCTTGGAACTGGGCTACTTGAGTTTGCTAGATCTGGTCAGCTTGCTGGTGACCTTCCCCACCTGCCGGCTGCCTGACACCTTCAATGAAGCAAAGCATATCACTCTCAGCATGTTGTCTGCTCCTGTGTCTGGGTGTCCTTCATACCTGCCCACATGCATGCCCACAGCAAAGACACCATGGCCATGGAGGTCTTTGTCATCTTGGCATCAGCAGGAGGCCTCATGTCCTCCCTCTTCTTTTCCAAATGCTACATCATCCTTCTCCATCCTGAAAAGAACACAAAAGACCAAATGTTTGGCCGGCATCATCGCAAGTGGGAAAAACTGAAGTGAACCATAGGGAGCGTGGCTTTCTCAGGGATGCCTTCCTGAACTCCCCACCAGGAGGACGAGCCTTCTTCTGAGCCCCATCACACAGGTCTGAACCCCTCCCTGTCCCTGAGCTGCTTCTATTTTATATTTCATTCTATCAAGGGGAGAGAAGACATGTTTGCAAATAATATTGTCCTTGATAGAAGCATCTGGTCTAATTCATTCTATGGCCTCTCAGCACCCAGCCAGCACCTCATACAGTGAGGAGACAGAATACGTGATTGGTAAATGAATGAATCAACTTATGCAAAATTAGCATTGGAAAAGGTCTTTGAGAGGAGACAGGTAGAGTGGTTGAGTGGAGCCAGCCAGACCTGGTTCATGTCCTCCTGCTGTCATAGCTATATAAACCTCAGCATGTTACCTCACCTCTCTGAGCCTCAGTTTGCTGCAATGTAAAATGAGACTAAGACTTCATCTTCGGGTTGTTGTGATAAAACAAGAAACTGTATGAAACATCTCAGCACATGATAAACATTCAAAAGGTAGATATTTAAAGTCACCCAGTCCACTCTGTCCTTTTACAGATAAGGGAACTGATGCCAGGAGAGGGAACCAATTTACTCAGGGTATCACTGTACAGAGGTTAAGAGTCAATGAACAGGTTTCAAGCCCTAGCTCTGCCACCTACTTTGCTGGGTGACTTTGGACAAGTTACTTAGCTTCTCTGTCCCTCAGTTTTCTCCTCTATAAAGAAGGATAATAATAGCACTGACTTCATGATATTATCAATGAGGTGTTAATAAATTTAGGAGTAATAAATTTAGTAAAACATTTAGGAAAGTACCTGGCACAGAACAAACACTAAACAAGCATTTGTTAAATAAATCAATAAAATCATACCCAGTGGCAAAACCTTTACCTTGATTTATTGCCAAATAACTGAAAGTTTTACAGGACACTTGCTCTAAGCTATGTCCTGGAAGGGACCTTCAGAGAGGCTAAACTATAATCCTTATTAGCAAAGAGTTTGTGATCTGCCATCACCAACCTAACCTGAGTGGAGTGGACTAAACATATCTATTGTGAAACTGTTTTATAAGTAAATAACCTGTAGCTGCTTGCCTTGGAGTAAATGAGGACAGGTGACTGTCACAGACCCAGTGAAGTGACCACCTATGCAAAGTCTGCTCTAAAGGAAGCCTCTCCACTTCCATGAGAGTGTGAGGATGCTAAAGAAGCCCACAAAATACTGGGCATCAACTGATTAAATGAAAGTGCTCCTGGGTTGCTCCCTGGGGAGAAACAGAGCTTTACTCTCGTTACACAAAATATCTCAACGTATCAAGGCAACCACATTTCTGGGCAATGAGATTCATTTTAAGTTCCTACCAAAAGGTGCTGAAAATCCTACCTTGACAAGGCTGGCCAAAGATGTTATTGGAACCAATGAGAATGAAGCCACCAAAGAAAGCAAGGATATGAAGAAGATTCCATTTAGGCCGGGCGCAGTGGCTCACGCTAGTAATCCCAGAACTTGGGGAGGCCAAGGCGGGTGGATCACCTGAGGTCACAAGTTTGAGAGCAGCCTGGCCAAATGGTGAAAGCCCATCTCTACTAAAAATACAAAAATTAGGTGGGTGAGGTGGTGTGCTTCTATAGTCCCAGTTACTTGGGAGGCTGAGGCAGGAGAATCACTTGAAACTGGGAGGCAGAGATTGCAGTGAGCCAAGATTGTGCCACTGCACTCCAGCCTGGGCATCAGAGTGAGACCCTGTCTCAAAATAAATAAATAAATAAATAATTTAAAAATAAAGAAGAAGATTCAATTTAGAGGAACAAAGCTGTAGCATTCCACAGCCAAAGCCAACATTTTGACAGACACACCCTAAAAATCAGTTGCTAAGGACTTGGCATGTAAAAATGGAAAAATAAGAGACTAACTAAAAAGACTAAGAACCCTGAAAAACGAAATAGAAATCCCAGCACAGGTACAAGGGACAAGAAAAACATGGAGCCATAAAAGAGAGACCAGAAGAATGTCAGTGAAGGAGAGTTATACCAGAGCTTTTGACAATGGTGATGTAATGGCTCACAGAAAACTGTAGGGTTCTGATTTCAAAGTGTAGATCCAGTCATTCTCACCAAGTCCCAAGTCAAAGGACCTTCCCAAGGGTGGTTACCAGGTAGTTTCTACCTAACAAATCAGTATCCTAATACCCAGAATGGTCAGAGTAAGACAAGCATCACTCCTTACTGAATTCCATCTTAATAAGTCTTATTTGTCCAGAATTACTCCCTGTGACATTCTCTGAGTAACAGTGGAGTAGTATCTATGCTAGGTTAATCCTTCATATGACAATGTTTCACTCTATAATAGATATATCCCCAAAGAAGAAACTATATTTTTAGAAACTCCCTATTTACAAAAATGTGCATTTCCTACAACATGATTGTATAGCTTATCTCATTGCAGATTGATCTGCCATTAGTAGTGGCTTTAAAAATTTAGCTATCAATACCTGCACATATCATGCACCTCAAATTCTTGTAGGTAGGACTGGTTTTTAAGGGAGTTATTGTTTTAATTTGTAATGTAAATAATCACATTCACAAAACTGGGTTTTTCCCAGTTTCATTACTTGTATCAAGTTTTATTAAAGCAATATTCACGTTAATATGTTTAGGATCCTTTCTATGGGTATGCATCAGACTTTTTACCGTTTTATGTAATTTATCTCAAAAATATAGTTATTCTGGCCGGGCGCGGTAGCTCATGCCTGTAATCCCAGCACTTTGGGAGGCCGAGGCAGGCGGATCATGAGGTCAGGAGTTCGAGACCATCCTGGCTAACATGGTAAAACCCCGTCTCTACTAAAAAAAAAAAAAAAAAACAAAAAAAATTAGCCAGGCGTGGTGGCAGCCACCTGTAGTCCCAGCTACTCGGGAGGCTGAGGCAGGAGAATGGCATGAACCCAGAAGGCAGAGCTTGCAGTGAGCCGAGATCGCGCCACTGCATCCCAGCCTGGGCGACTGAGTGAGACTCCGTCTCAAAAAAAAAAAAAAAAAAAAAAAAAAAAAAAAAAAAAAAAAAAAAAATATATATATATATATATATATATATATATATATATAGTTATTCTTTAAGAAGCTCAAAATGGTAAACTTTACTGACACTTCCCATATAGTTATCCTTAGAGTAGTTCTCAAAATTCAGAAAACATTCCCTGTGTTGGAATTTGAATTTTTTCTGCTACAATAAATGAAAACTACATAACCCAGTATGTTTTGCTTTCTTTTCATCTTTCCATTTTGTTCGGAAACCTAAAAGTCTAACTCATTTTGTGTTCATATCTACTCAGGTCAGGTGCCTGAAAGTCTACAGGCATACCCCAGACATATTGTGGGTTTGGTTTCAGATCACAGAAATAAGTGAATAAAGCAAGCTCTCACACAAATTTTTAGTTTCCCAGTGCATACAAAAGTATGTTTACACTATAGTGTAGTCTATTAAGTGTGCAATAGCATTATGTCTAAGAAAATGTACATACCTTAATTTTAAAAATACTTTATTGCTAAAAAAAATGCTAACAATAATCTGAGCCTTCAGAGAATCTTAATCTTTTTGCTTATAGAGGGACTTGCCTCAATATCGATGGCTGCTGTCCAATCAGGGTGGTGGTTGCTGATGATTGAGGTGGCTTTATTAAAACAAGACAACAATGAAGTTTGCTGTATTGATTGACTCTTCTTTTTGTGAAAAATTTCTCTGTAACACATGATGCTAATTAACACTATTTTACCCACAGTAGAACTTTTAAAATTCAAGTCAATTCTTTCAAGCCCTGATGGTGTTTTATCAACTAAGTTTATGGAATATTCTAAATCCTTTTATTGTAATTTCAACAATGTTCACAGCATCTTCACCAGGAGTAGAGTCCATCTCAAGAAACTACTTTCTTTGCTCACCCATAAGAAGCAACTCTTCATCCATTCGTTTTGTCATGAGATTGCAGCAATTCAGTCACATCTTCAGGCTCCACTTCTAATTCTAATTCTCTTGATGTTTCCACCACATCTGCCATTACTTCCTCCACTAAAGTCTTGAACCCCTCAAAGTCATCCATAAGGGTTGGAATCAACTTATTCCAAACTCCTGATCATGTTGATATTTTGACCTCCTCCCATGAGTCATGAGTGCTCTTAATGGCACCTAGAATGATCAATCCTTTCCAGAAGATTTTGAATTTACTTTGTCCAGATCCATCAGAGAAATCACTATCTATGGCAGCTATAGCCTTACCAAATGTATGTCCTAAATAAGACTTGAAATCAAAAACTACTTGTACCATGGGCTATGGAATGGATGTTATGTTAGGAGGTATGAAAACAACATGAATCTCCTTGTACATTTCCATCAGAACTCTCGTGTCATCAGGTGCATTGTCAATGAGCAGTAATATTTTGGAAGAACTATTCTTTCCCGAGCAGTAGGTCTCAATAGTAGGCTGAAAATATTCAGTAAACCATGCTGTAAACAGCATGAGACAGGAAAATGTTTACTCAGTGAAGCAGTCGGAACACACATATTTATCAGTTAAGTTCACTGTCCTATATGTGCACAGTTCATAGCTCCCCAAAACAATGACAATAGTGACATCAAAAATCACTACTCATAGATCATTATGACACATATAATAATAACAGTAAAGTTTAAAATGTTGCGAGAATTACTAAAATGTGACACAAAGAAGCAAAGTGAGCACATGCTATTGAAAAAATGGCACTAATAGACTTAACACAGAATTGCTACAAATCTTCAATTTGTAAAAAAAAAAAAAAACCAGTACCAGTGAAGCACAATAACACAAAACATAATAAAATAAAGTATGTTCATATACTACTTGTATTTCATTCACATGGATTATTATATTTGATCTGGAAAGGTTCTCACCTCTGCATTGTTTTTGCATCTTGCTGTCATCCAAAAGAATCTAAAGCACATTCTTGATACAATAGTCAATAAATGAAATGATTTTCAAAATGTGCCCTTCCTGTTAACTTTGGAAAATGCGATAGGTCAGACCCTATTCAGGGAGACTGTGACAATGAGGGGCACCATATTGCAATATGCTCATTACTGGCCCCTAAGGAAAATATGTCTTTCCCCCAATTCAGTCCCAAGCTCAACATTTTCCTCTTCCATATTCTATAGTTTCTGGAATCCACATTGAAATGATTATTATAAATGTCTTTTTAAGTGCATCTACCTACATGTAAAGAAATACCTGAATTATAATTGTCTTTTTAAGCCTTACTTCAAAAGAGTTGACACTGCCATAAAGAGCTCCTTCAATTTCCAAAATACCAACTGACATAGGGGAGCAGTCTATATATCAAATAAGCAAATATAGATACAAAAAATGATTAAGTGCATGGACCACATGAAAAATCAGCTTTTATTCTGGGGACTTAGTTTGTGCCAAAAACTGTGGATTGTCTACCACAATTTGTTTTTTTTCTTTTTCTGCAATAATTAAATGGTGACTGGGCATCTGGCTACCTAACTATGGACTATTTTTACTACCCTTGCAATTAGATTTGACCTAAGGCTCACTTCTCACCAAAGAGGTGAGAGGAAGTGATGACTGCTACATCTAATCAAGAAATCTTAATTCATTCCTGTAGTCCCAATACTTTGGGAGGCCAAGGTGGCAGATCGCTTGAGCCCAGGAGTTTGAGATCAGCCTGGAAAATAACCTGGCGAAACCCATCTCTACAAGAAATTTAAAAATTAGCCAGGTTTGATGCTGTGCACCTGTAGTCCCAGCTACTCAGGAGGCCGAGGTGGCAGGATTACCTAAGTCCAAGAGGTGGAGGTTGCAATGAGCCAAGATCGCACCACCACACTCCAGCCTGGGTGACAGAGTGAGACCCTAAAAAAAAAAAATGAAGGAAGGAAGCAAGGAAGGAAGGAAGGAAGGAAGGAAGGAAGGGAGAAAGGAGGGAGGGAAGGAAGAAGGAAGGAAGGAAGGAAGGAAGGAAGGAAGGAAAGAAAGAAACCTTAAGACAGACAGTGTGTCTCCTCCATGCTCTATCTTCACCCTTCTTTCCCACTGGGACCCAGTATTGACCATGTAAATAACAAGAAGGCTCTAGACAAGGGTTGGCAAATGGTTTCTGCCACAACTACTGCCATTGTAGCACAAAAGCAACCACCGATGATACATATAGGTGTGACTATGTTCTAATTAAGCTTGATTTATGGGCGCTGAAATTTGAATTTTATAAAATTCAAATGTTTGTGTGTCATGAAATATTATTCTTCTTTCAATTTGTCTTCAACCATTTAAAAATGTAAAAATCATTATTAGTTCACAGGCAATTAAAAAAGCAAGTGCTGGCCGGGTGCAGTGGCTCAAGCCTGTAATCCCAGCACTTTGGGAGGCCGAGGTGGGCAGATCACGAGGTCAGAAGATCGAGACCATCCTGGCTAATACGGTGAAGCCTCATTTCTACTAAAAATATAAAAAAAATTAGCCAGGCATGGTGGCGGGCCCCTGTAGTCCTAGCTACTCGGGAGACTGAAGCAGGAGAATGGCATGAACCTGGGAGGCGGAGCTTGCAGTGAGCCGAGATCACGCCACCGCACTCCCTCTAGCCTGGCCGACAGAGCAAGACTCTGTCTAAAAAAAAAAAAAAAAAAAAAAAAAAGCAAGTGCTGAGCTGGATTTGGCCAGCAGAACTTTCTTAGCCAACATCCTAGGGGATGTTGATCCTGCAAGATAGAATAAACTTGCATCCTTAAAGTTGAACAGAGCCACCACCAGGCTGGAACACTCACTGTGGACTCTTGCCAGAAAAAGAAAATCTCCTTCATTCTTTAAGCTACACTATAGTTAAGTCTCTCTTGTTATAGAGACTTAGCATTTTACTTTATCTAATATATAGTCCATAACTCCTGACTATTCAGACCATAGCTCCCTTCCATAGTCCTCACCACTGTCCTTTTATTTTTTTAATTTCCATTTTTATTTTAGATTCAGGGGGTACATGTGCAGATTTGTCACAAGGATATATTGTGGGATGGTAAGGTTTGGACTCTATTCATTCTGTCACCTAGATGGGAACATAGTACCCAACAGGCAGTTTTTCAGCCATTGCCCCCTCCCCTCTCTCCCTCCTTTTGAGGTCCCCAGTATCTCTTATTCCCATCTTTATGTTCATGTGTACCCAAGATTTAGCTCCTACTTACAAGTGAGAAAACAAAATATTTGATTTTCAGTTTCTGCATTAATTTGCTTAGGATAATGGCCTCCCACTACATCCATGTTGCTGCATATAATACAATTTCATTCTTTTTCATGTCTGCATAGTATTCCATGGTGTATATGTATTGCATTTTCTTTATCCAATCTACCATTGATAGACACCTAGACTGATTCCATCTCTTTGTTATTGCAAATAGTGTCATGATGAACATACAAGTGCATGTGTCATTTTGATAGAACGATTATTTTACTTTGAGTATATACCTAGTAATGGGATTGCTGGCTTGAATAGCAGTTCTATTTTTCATTCTTTGAGAAATCTTCAAACTGCTTTCCATGTGGCTGAACTAATTTGCACTCTCACCAACAGTGCATAAGCATTCCCTTTTCTCTGCAACCTCTCCAACATCTGTTATTTTTTGACTCTTTGATAATAGCCATTCTAACTGGCATGAGATGATATCTCATTATGTTTTCATTTGCACTTCTCTGATGGTTAGTGATGATGAGAATTTTTTCATATGGTTGTTTACAACTTGGATATCTTCTTTTGATAAGTGTCTGTTCATGTCCTCTACCCACTTTTTAATGGGATTAATTGTTTTTTTCTTGTTGATTTAAGTCCCTTATAGATTCTGGATATTAAACCTTTGTCAGATGCATAGTTTGCGAATATTTTCTTTTATTTGGTAGTTTACCTGTTTGTCATGTCAACAGTTTATTTTACTGTGCAGAAGCTATTTAATTAAGTCCCACTTGTTAATTTTTGTTTTCATTGCAATTGCTTTTGAGAACTTAGTAATAAATTCTTTCCCAAGACCAATGTCCAGAAGGGTATTTCCTAGGTCTTCTTCCAGGATTTTTTTATAGTTTGAGGTCTTATATTTAAGTCTTTAATCCATCTTAATTTTTGAATATGGTGATAAGTAGAGGTTCAGTTTCAGTCTTCTGCATATGGCTAGCCAGTTTTCCCAGCACCATTTATTGAGTAGGGAATCTTTTCTCCATTGCTTATTTTTGTCAGCTTTTTCAAAGATCAGTTGGTAGCAATGTACAGTTTTATTTCTGGGTTTTCTATTCTGTCCCATTGGTCTATGTGTCTGTTTCTGTACTAGCACCATGCTGTTTTGGTTACTGTAGCCTTATAGTATAGTTTTAAGTCAGATAATATAATGCCTCCAGATTTATTTTTTTGGTTTTTTTTGCTTAGGATTGCTTTGGCAATTTGGGCTCCTTTTTTGCTTTCATATGAATTTTAGAATTGTTTTTTCTAATTCTGTGAAAAATGACATTGATAGTTTGATAGGAATAGCATTGAATCTGCGGATTGCTTTGGGCAGTGTGACCATTTTAATGATATTGATTCTTCCAATCTGTGAGCATGGGATGTTTTTTCATTTGTTTGTGTCATCTCTGATTTCTTTTAGCAGTGTTTTGTGGTTCCCCTTATAAATATCTTTCACTTCCTTGGTTAGTTGTATTCCTAGGTATTGTATTTTTTGTGGCTGTTATAAATGGAACTGCATTCTTGATTTGGTCTCAGCTTAAATGTTATTGACTAACCTGTTTTTAAATATCCAAGGCAAGGAAACTGGGTTCCCACCTGCCTCCTCACTGTCCCTTCCAAAAGTTGAGAGAAAAGACTCGACCCAGAGCTCCCTTCACTTCCTTGTTCCTAAGACTGTAGATGAGAGGATTGAGCATGGGCGTGACAACAGAGTAGAAGACAGATACCACCTTGTTGAAGTTGATGGAGGAGGTCACCTTGGTCTGGACATACATAAAGAAAAGAGTGCCATAGAAGAGGCTCACCACAGTCAGGTGAGCTGCACAGGTAGAGAAGGCCTTCCAGCGCTCAGCAGCTGAGCGGATGTGCAGCAGTGTCCAGACGATGTTGCCATAGGACACAGCAATGACCATAGAGGAGGCCAGTAGCACAGCCAGAGACACCAGGAAATCCACAGTCTCCTTCCAAGTGACATCTGAGCACGACAAGGCTAGCAAGGGTGAGGCATCACAGGAGAAATGGTCAATGACATTTGGGCCATAAAATGTTAGCTGAGACAAGAGGTAGATTGGCAAGATGGGTGTGAGGAAACCTACCAGCCAACAGGCAGCTGCCAGACGGATGCAGGTGCCCCAGGACACAAAAGCCCCATAGTGGAGAGGCATACAAATGGCCACATAACGATCATAGGCCATGGCAGCCAGTAGGAAACACTCAGTTGCCCCAAGAAAGGTGAAGATGAAGAGCTGGGATAGGCAATCAGCATAAGAGATATTCTTGCCACCATCCACCCCAATAAAACCAGCCAGCATCTTGGGCACTGTAACAGAAGTGTACCAGATTTCAAGGCAGGACAAGTGTGTCAGGAAGAAATACATGGGTCTCCGTAGTCGGTGGTCCAAACCCACCACTAAAATGATGGCCAAATTCTCCACCAAGGTGAACAGGTACATGGTGAGGAAGAGTATGAAGAAGAGGAGGTGTGCTTCATGGATGCCAGCAAAGCCCATCATGACAAATTCAGTTACCTGGGTCCAGTTTTTGGTATATGGTTGCATATGTGGCAGTGAGAGCTCAGCAAACTCATAGCCTCATAGACAATGAGAGCTCAAAGAGAACCTGTGAGGTTGGAGGATGTTGTACTAAAATGCCTTTCACTTCAGAAGAGAAACATGATGTCAACACACTGTTCTTACCCTCAAAGAATTCACAGTTCATGAGGGACATGAGAAAACAAATAATATTAGTACAAAATGAAATGCACTGGCTAAGAATAAGGCAGGATACTATGAGCAGAAATATCAGGGAAGCTCAACCAGTCTTGAGAAATCTTCCTGGAGGGAAGACTGTCTATAGCTGAACCTGAAAAGGAAGTATAAGTTAGTGAGACAAAAGGTAGAGATAGAGAGAAGACATCACAAGTATAAAATTCCAGACATCAGAGAGGAGATTGTGCATTGGGGAAACTTCAAGTAGAGACAGTTTACCATGGAGTTCAAGAGCTTGATTTCCCAAGCAAGCATACCTAGATTCAAATAAAAGAGAACCTAACAGATTTGTTGTGAAAATGTAAGTTAGATAATTCCTGTAAAGCACTTAGCATCATGTTTGAGTCAATAAATGTCAAGGGGGAAATCTACATGTTGACATCTCCTGGAATAAGATACAGAGAGAAAATGACTGTTTCTGAGCCTGAGGAGTAGGCTGGGACACCATGAAGGGCTAGCAACCAAATTAAGGGAAAGGAAAAAGCTGAGCTTCAGTCTAAAGGTCACAGGGAGACTTTAAGAATTATAAGCAGAGAAGCAATGCTATTCTTTTTACCCCTTAGAAGGGGCAGGTTTGGAGGGGAACAAGATAAGAGCCAGAGGCCGGGCCCGGTGGCTCATATGTGTAATCCCAGCACTTTGGGAGTCTAAGGCAGGCAGCTCACCTGAGGTTGGGTGTTCAAGATCAGCCTGGCCAACATTGTGAAACCCTGTCTCTATTAAAAGTACAAAAGTTAGCCCAGCGTGGTGGTGGGCACCTGTAATCCCAGCTACTCAAGAGGCTGAGGCAGGAGAATCACTTGAATCCAGGAGGCAGAGGTTGCAGTGAGCTGAGATTATGCCACTGCACTCTAGCCTGGGCAACAGAGCAAGACTTAATGTCAAAAAAAAAAAAAAAAGGAGGAGGCAGGAAGGCTGGGTTAGGAGGTTGTTGCAAGTATAGCATGGAGTGATGGTGACTTTAACTGCAGAAATGCCAGTAGGAGACTGAATATGACTATTAAGAGATAGAATCAACATAATTGGGTTTGAATCCACACTGGGTTTGAATTTAAGCTCCAATATCAACTTGAAATATGTGACCATGAGTGAATCACTAAATAATCCCATTTTTTAAAAAACAGATAATACAAGAGTTCCAAAGAGATTACTTCCTATCTCATTTTAGAATTAAATGAGAAAATATAATATCTCCATTTTTGTGCCAGTTTTAAAATACAGCCCCAAATTCTTGAACACTCTTCCCATCCAAAAGTGAGGTCTATGGCTATTCCCATTGAATCTGGGTTCTGTGACTGCTTAACAACAGAATAAGGGGGAAGTGATGCTGTGCCAGGTTCCAGGCCCGGGACTTGGAAACCCCAGTTTCCTCTTCTTGCTTCTTGAAACCCAGTGACAGTAGTGTGAGGAAGCCTATCCAGCCTGTGGAAAGGCCTAGGTGGAGAGGAACTAAGTCCCTCAGGCCTCAGCCTGGC
Organism: Homo sapiens; assembly: GCF_000001405.40. Classification (NCBI taxonomy): domain Eukaryota; kingdom Metazoa; phylum Chordata; class Mammalia; order Primates; family Hominidae; genus Homo; species Homo sapiens. The sequence continues at coordinate 58,029,267 of NC_000011.10, read as the reverse complement.
CAAGCTTCCACTGACAGCCAGCAGCAGCGTACCAGCCGGATGAATAAGCTGTCTGAGAAATAGATCATTCAGCCCCCAGTTGAGCTGGCCAAGCTGACACCAGCCTTCCCTTCTGAGCCCTCCCCAAATTAAAAATCTGTGAGCTAAATAACTGATTGCTGTTTAAACCACTAAGTTTTAGGCTGCTTTGTTATGCAGTAACATAAATAAAGCAGTTATACCCTAGTTGTGTAACTTGGGCAAATTATTCACTATTTCTGACCCTTTGGAGAAAAAGAAATAGTGTTTTGCTACAGTCACAGATTCCTGAACTGGAATTTGAATCCAGGTTTGCCAAGGTCTAAAGCCCTTGCTCTTTCCCCTATAAATAATTAGCAAGTTCCTTCTGGCTTCAGAATTCCTGGCAATGAAAGCATGTAGAGATAAAAAATCAGAAATAAACAAGTCCAAAGTTTTCAGATTTCTGCGTGCGTCTTCGCCATGCCTAACATCCCCACAGTGGGAAGTCTATAAACATTGGCTTCCTCTCACATAATTGCATTGCAGCCCCAGACACTTCATGCTTCTGTTGGCTCAAGGAAATTTCAGGATGCAATTTCCACCCATTTATCTCGTTTGCAACCTCACTTACAATGTAGCAGCCTCCAAACAATGATCACCCTTCCCAGTGGAGATACTGCACACAGATGCTCTAGAAGTTTGACTTGACTTACGGTGTTAGACAGTTTCACAGTCAAATTCTCTGAAAAATTCATTATTTTTCATAGTCATGGAGAGGATGAGATTTAGAGTCAAACAGCTCTGGGATCAAGCCCTGGGTCTGCAATTTACTAGCTCTCTTGTGTCATCTATAAATTCTTACTATTTTTCTAAATCTTACCTGTCCTTTCATCTGTGACTCAGGTTTGATAGTCCTGTCTTCACTAGGAAGGCTTTTTCCTTATCTCATTCCTCCAAACTTGTATGCAGGTCAAGCAAACAAATGCAGAGGGCACCTGCTCTGACCTAGGAACCACGGTGGAGGGTACAGATGCCCCCAGCATCTACCCCAGGGTCTGGTACAAAGCAGGTACCCCCAACATCCATCCTGAGGCCTGATGCAGAGCAGGTGCCCCCAGCATCCACCCTGGGGCCTGGTACAGACCAGGTTTCTCCAGCATCACCATGGGGCCTGGCACAGAGCAGATTCTCCCACCATCTGCCCCAGGGCCTGGTACAAAGCAAGGGCCACAAGCATCTATCTCAGGGCCTGGTACAGAGCAGGTGCCCCAGCATCCACCCTGGGGCCTGGTACAGATGCCCCCCCGACATCCACCCTGGGGCCTGGTACAGAGCAGGTATTATTTTTTAATACTTTCAGCTCTCTGATCCATGGCTTAGAGAGAGAGTGCCAGAACCTGTGGCCTTTGTATCAGGCCCAGATTAGCTACATTGAAAGGATCTGCTCTTGTTTCTCAAAAGCTGAAGGAGGGGTAAAGAAGTAGGATATAAGAGAGAAGGAGAGAGGGACAGCCGACGGCTTTTTATCCCCTTGCATCTAGGCAATGAGGCATTTCACCTGTGGGCTGAGATTTTTTTAAGAAGCAGGAGCAGTTTCCCCACTATCTCTTTCCCCATCATAGAGCCAACAGCTGGCAGGATCCTAGATCCCTGAAGAAAACGACTCACTTCTTCCTGGAGCAGGGATTACCCAATATTTTCTGTAAAGGATCAGATTTAAATAGTTTAAGCTTTATGAGCCACAGGCAGTTTCCGCCACATATTCTTCTCTGTGGGTTTATTTTGTTTGTTTTTGCAACTCTTTAAAACGTAAAACCCTTTCTTAGCTCATGGTCCATACACAAACAGGCTACAAGCTGGATTTGGACCATGGGCTGTAATTTGCCAATCCCTGCCCTAGACTCACACAGGACTGTTACATGAGCGAAAAAGAACACCACTTTACTGTGTCAAGCAGTAGTTACCCTACTTTATGGACACACATACCACCTCTGCCACCACCAAGCAGCCAAACTGTCCTCAAATTATCTGTTGTCTCTTGTTCTGCAGAGAAATGGGAGACGGGGGACAACTGATACCCAGGGTTTGGTTGGGCATGCGTGGGCAATTGCACCTGCACAGAAGCCCAGTGAGTCCTTACTGCTCCCCCTACCCTAATGCTAATTAACAAACTGCAAGGGAAGCTTTTCTTGAATTCCAAATCAGAAACCCAAAATCTAAACTGAATGATTCTAGAAAAATGCTTGAATCGCCATCAGTTCTTCCTCTACTGCCTGACACCAAATTGCATTCTTTGAGAGACTCAAGAAATGAATTCAAGTTGTCAAATAGATTGGATTGATATATGGAGAACAACATTCAAAGAGTTAAAAGAATAAAATAATTTTTAAATGTCTCATTACTTCTTTCTCTAGTGTATATTAATTCACACTGATTCATTAAAAAGATTAAGATAGTACTCACTTCGGCATCATATATACTAAAATTGGAATGACACGGAGAAGATTAGCATGGCCCCTGAACAAGAATGACACACAAATTTGTGAAGCATTCCATATCTTTTTTTTTTTTTTTTTTTTTTTTTTGGTTACAGAGTCTTGCTTTGTTGCCCAGGCTGGAGTGCAGTGGTGCAATCTCGGCTCACTGCAACCTCCGCCTCCTAGGTTCAAGTGATTCTCCTCCCTCAGCCTCCCAAGTAGCTGGGATTTCAGGCACGCATCACCATATCCAGCTAATTTTTGTATTTTTAATAGAGACACGGTTTCACCATATTGGCCAGGCTGGTCTCGAACTCCTGACCTCAAATGATCCACTCACCTCGACCTCCCACAGTGCTGGGATTACAGGCATGAGCCACCATGCCCAGCCATGTTCCATATTTTTAACAAGCCTGCACATGTACCATTGAATATAAAAGTTGGGAAAAAATAAAAAGGTTGAGAGACAGAATTTCACAACTATCTAACTCCTGGAAATTTTTGAACCTATTAATTTGTTAACTCAGTGAAGTGGTTTACTCACAGTTCTATGCCTGCCAGTTCCTCATTCAAGCATTCATCAAGGAGACCCTGAGTTCTAGGCATGGTACCAGGCATCAGGCCTCTAACCCAAAATGAGTTGCAAGTCCTGCCTTTTAAGAACTGTGTCTTTTAGGAAAGATAGAGAAGTACTCAAGGGTTAGAACAGAGATGTGATGAGCTAATTGCAATGTGTCTGGTAGAACAAAGTAGGGGGCAGTGAAGTTGGCATACAAGGAAGACAGGACAGGTAAGATCAAGAAACAATTTCCCAATTAAATCACACTGAGGGTGGGGGACGGTGGAAAGAAGGCAATCCTTAACTGACAAAACCAAGTGCAGTAGAGGGAGGGGGAGGCACCCCAGCAAGCCAGGGGAGAGACAGGTGGAAGTAGGTAATATGCCCAGAGGAATTGTTAGAAGAGGTTGTGAGGTCCACGGAGAGAGTCAGGAGAGCACAGTGGTTAAGGCTACATTCAGGCATTAGACCACCTGATGCCTTCAAATCTCAGCTCCACCACCTTCTAACTGAAATCAAATGAAAGCAACCTAGATGGGAGGCAATGCCTAACCCAACGGAATGAATATCTGATGGAATCATTGAAGTCATCAGAGACAAGTCTAATGAGAAACTCTTTCTGAGCGAGAGTTCCAGAGCATCCAAATTCTACTCCTCTTCCCCCCTGCCCCAACACGTCTTCGGGTCATGTGTTGGTAGGAAGATGAGCTTCTCTCCAAAAAGGGAGAAAGGAGGCCGGGCGCAGTGGCTCACGCCTGCAATCCCAACACCTTGGGAGGCTGAGCGGGCGGATCACAAGGTCAAGAAATCAAGACCATCCTGGCCAACACGGTGAAACCCCGTCTCTACCAAAAATACAAAAAGTAGCTGGTCATGGTGGCGTGCGCCTGTAGGACACACCCTATAGTAGCACGGCGGGCACCCCAGCTACTCAGGAGGCTGAGGCAGGAGAATCTCTTGAACCCGGGAGGCGGAGGTTGCAGTGAGCTGAGATCGCGCCACTGCACTCCAGCCTGGCGACAGGGCAAGACTCCGTCTCAAAAAGAAAGGGTCATTTACGGAGCCCCTCCCATGGGCTAGATTCTGATGGGCTGATACCATCTGGCTTAATCCCCACAATATTGTACTATGATCCTATGAACTATTCTTGATATAGAGGTGTTATTTGTCTTGGTTTTCACGCAATTGAAATCACTGAAGGCTCAGAGAGACAGTAAGTAAACTTGGGCAAGATCAAAGAACTACATGGCACAGAGAAGAGCCAAACCCCAGAGCTTCTGACAAAAAAAGCCTCCACACCGTGCCATTTTCCTCTGCCATCTCATTTCACCCAATGACAACGTGCCTGCAACCCTGGCTCCCTGCCCTGACTCTGAGGTTAATTTCCCTGCAGCTCGGAGCCCCGCCAAGGCTGGAGGAATATCCCACAGGCTCCAGTGAGCTGCAAAGCACAGTCACACTCCCAGGGCTATTAACAGCATCCGCTTCCTCTCCAAGGTTCAGGGAACTTTATCCACCAAGTGCCATGCAGGAAAAAAGAGGTCAGCCAGAGAGGAGAGGGTCACACGGGGCAATCACTAAATAAGGAGAAAGGCCGCACAGGAACTTGGCCCAATTTGGTGTCCTCAAAAGACGGTGCTCCCTGGCCAAGATTTTCCCTAACAAATATGGAAAAACAGTTTGAGGCCCATGCACGAAAATTGAAACTTGGTTCCTGTAGCTATTTGCTTGTGTAGCTACGTGACAAGCCTGGTGAGAAACGCTGGATTTCTCCCTCTTTCAGTTCTCTCCACCTGGCATCTGGGGGCCTAGTCCCAAAAAGTGAAAGGAACTGGAAAATAAACTTACTAAGATCCAGGAAATGATTTCAAAAAAAAACAGCCAACAAACCGAGGTGAGCAGGCGCAGTGGGTGGGTGTTATGAGACAGACAGCGGGGCTAGGAGATGCCCAGGATGAAGCCCGGAGACCTGCTCTCTGATTCCTCTTGGGTCTAGCTCATCACAGCCTGCTTCCCCACTCCCACTGCAACGTGACAGCAACAGCACATCTCACTTTCCAACATGCAGACAGCCCCCTGTGTTAACAGCACCGTCTCTGAAATCAGTGGAGCTGCATTTGACCCTACCTCCGTCAGGCCGTAGCTGTGAGTTTGGGAAAGGCGTTTGATCTTTCTGAGCCTCAGTGTCTTCATCTTCAAACGGGAAGGATAACATGTACATTGCTGGGCTGGACTAAAGATGGAAGGAGACATCATTAAGGGAAAGTTAGGGCCTTTGCTCCTTTCGCTCCCTCTACCATCTCTGTGTGGCATCCTCCTGCACTTCTTCAATTCCCTGCACAAGGGCCACCTTAACAGAGAGGCCCTTTCTGACCACCTATCTGAAAACGCAGTTCCTTTCACTCTCTGACCCTCTTCTCAGTTTGATTTTTTGGGTCACAGCTTCATTGCCATCTGGTAGATATTTATTTGTTTGTCTATAACATCACGCACACACACACACACACACACACAAAAGGAAGCTCCTTGAAGATAGTGCCTTTGTTTGTTTGTTCATTACTGTGTTGCTAATGCCAAAGTCACTGACATGTAGTCTACATGCAATAAATATATACTGATGTAATAAAAGGGTGGCTGCATGCTCCTGATTGTACGTTGGCAGCGTACTTAGTTTCCTTTCCATTTCTAGCTACCTGTTTTTAAGGAAATTTAAGGAAAAGGAAGTTCAACAATACTTACAGAAAAGTCAATCAATTTGGGTGTTGTCCATGCAATTACTGTCAACGGACTACAAGACTGACAATGCCTGCAGGAATGATGTCTTGTATATCTGGAGCAGCCTGCTCTCATGGCCTTGGGTGGGAGGCAAATTGAATTGATTTCTACATATAATTTCTTTTTCTTAGCTACAGAATTTAATTCTAAATTTCCCGGAAAGCTGTACTCTATCAGCTGTTTTCAAACTCTGTTCCACCAAGCCCTAGGTTTGCTTAGTTGCCAGGTAGCTGGGAAGAGGAAAGGACCTAGTATGTGGGGCTCTCAAAATCCCTGCTTCAACCAGCTAGTAAGTGACAGAGTCCAGATGAGAATCCAGCCCAGTCTGACTCCAGAGCCCACCATCTTTCCATCATACCACCTCCCCAGGGAGGGTGATATTCCTAAAATAAAATCTGATCAATTAACTGGGCGCTTCTCTCATTATTCCAGGACTTCAATACTGAGCAGATACAATCTGTTCCTCAAAGCTACTGACATATAGTCTGCCTATGATGGGAACAAATGGGAAACTGAGGTATAAGAAAATAAGTGGGAGGCTTCTCCAGCCATATATGTGACAGAGACCCCAGACCCAAACCAAGCCAGAGAGTCCACTATAGCAGACAGGAACCAAGGTGAGAATCAAGCTTTCTGAGCTTCTAGCTCTTAATCTCTAGGCAGCAATAATATCTATTCTTGTTGTCTCTCAGAACATTCTGTGAATTGATGAGATAGTGGATGTGCGGGTTCTTTGAAACTTTAAAGGTACACTCTGGTAAAACCTGCTTACTCTTTTGCTTCTATTGCTTATGGACTATGCGATGACCACAGAATTTCAATAAAGGGACAGCATGGGAATGGCCATCTGGTGGGACTCTGGGAATGGTCATGAAGCTGCCCTGGAATAACAAAAGCAAATTGATTTTGTTTAGATTGTAGGTTTGAGGTGGCTTGAGGAGGCAGATGGAGATGAAGGAGAACTAAAACCCCACAAAGTCCCTCGGCACCCCTACTCTATAAGAGCTTAAGCAAATCAGTTGAATTCTGTGTGCCTCCATTTTCTCACTTGAAAACTGAATTGATATTTAAAACCACAATGACTCTGTAAAAGAGCTTTTGGGCCGGGTGTGGTGGCTCATACCTGTAACCCCAGCACTTTGGGAGGCCGAGGTGGGTGGATCACTTGAGGTCAGGAGTTCGAGACCAGCCTGGCCAACATGGTGAAACCCTGTCTCTACTAAAAATACCAAAACTAGCCAGGCATGATGGCATACACATGGTAATCCCAGCTACTCAGGAGGCTGAGGCAGAATTGCTTGAACCCAGGAGGTGGAGGTTGCAGTGAGCCGATATCACACCACTGCACTCCAGCCTGGGTGACAGAATGAGACTCTGACTCAAAAATAAATAAAATAAATAATTTTTTTTAAAAAAAAAAAAGAGGTTTTGAACAACAAAAAATGAGATTACAAACTGGGAAAACTCTGAAGAAAAGATTGGGCTATACCAAAGTCAGGAATCATACCTCTAGATTTGGTATCCATTTGATTGATAACATTCCTTCCATACACCACGCCTTGCATGCTCTTTGGATATAGGCCTCTAGAGGAGCCACGTACCTGCCTCCCACTGCTTCTCTAGTTTCCTAGTGTCTTCTCTGGGTGAAACACCAAGGCCAAGCATGCCCAGAACCTTGGAACTGGTGGCCAGGACAGGTTATTGAATCCCACTGAAGAACAGAGACCCCAAATTCAAGGAGCACAGTTTCTCTGAACCAAAGGTAGAGGGCACAGATCTGCCACTGGCTGAACTGGAAAGAGAAGTAACAAGAATTGTAGCTGGCTATAAGATGCCTCATACTCCACGTATGTGCCTGTAACTCTCCCAGGGGTGACCCATGGGACCATTTCTCCATGGAGGTTTAAAGCTCTCAGACAACAAAGAAAAGAAAATAATAAATTATGAAAAACTTTGTCCCAGAGGGTATGCAGAAGCTACGTGGGAGTTCCAAATCTGTAGATTAGGACGACGGATGCCTCAGAGTGGAGGATGAGGGGCCAACCAGGGAAGATTCCGTGACAGCTAGACTCTTTGCCAAGGTCTCTGACTCCAAACTACTCTAGAATATGGTGACACGAAATCTATAGAGTTCAGATTTATCACAGATGCAGTGAGGCCTTCCTCAATAGAGTGGGTCAGATATCACCATCCACCTACCTGCCCCCTATCCCCCACTTCTGGAAAATAATCTGCAATGATAACACCAGACATTACTGAGTAGCCACTCTGGGCCAGGCTCTGTGCAATATAGATGTGAAGTACCAGCTTCAACCCTTAAGGAGCTCACAATTCCATAGAGGCTGTGACTTAGGGTCACTTTTAACCTGAATGTTGCTGTGCCAAATTGCCTTCCTTTCAAAGAGTTAATCTGGGGCATTTGATGATTGTTTACAGGCTGGGCAATTGTTTTCTCCAAAAGGGAAATACAGTGTTATTTCAATATAAAGCAAAAAGAACATCAAGGATGGTGAGTATCCACTGTGTTTGATCACAGAAGGCAGCTGGACCAAAGCTGGCAAAGCCCAAAGGCAATATAGATGACTTGTTCTTTAACACATCTTCAACGCATAGGATCATTTTCTTTGATTTTGTATGACTTGGGTCCAGCCTTAATGTATCAGGTGCAAATATCTTGTCTTCCCAACTAAACAATAAAGATCTTTTACCACAGGGCCATGTCTTATATTTTCTGCATTCCCAAAAAGCCTAGTGCAGTACTGCTCAGTGTAAAACATCACAGACTTGTGATAAAAGAAAAACTTTAGCTGAATTAAATTTAAAGGAGTTTAGTTGAGCAATGAACAATTCGTGGATTGGGTAGCCCCCAGAATCACAGCAGATTCACAGAGACTCTAGGGGTGCCTCGTGATCAGAACAAATGTATAGACAAAAAAGGTAAAGTGATATACAGAAATCGGAAGTGAGAAACAGTGAGATTGGTTACAGCTGGACGTTTGCCTTATTTGAAGGCAGTAATATTCAACAGTCTGTGAGTGGTTGAAGTATGGCCGCTAGGATTAGCCAACACGCAGCTATTGTTACAGGTGCACACTAGTAAGTTAGGTTTTCAATTTTATATATTATGATGATGAGGTCTACAAAATTGTATATAATTGTTGTTCCACTGTAATCTATTACGCTAGGTTACAGCTCATCCACGAGGACTCAGCTATAGAAGTACAGAGTCCTTCTCAGGCCATATTTAGTTTGCTTTAACACTTGGACTTGAATCCTACATAAGCCTCTTCATAGACCTGCTACCTTTCTAAAATTAGGAAAATAAAACTACATGACAAGGATGTACTTAGAGATAAATAAGGAAACAAAGTTGAGGGCTTTGTCCACCTGACAGTAGACATAAGATCATTATACCACGACACTTCAGGCTGCTCTAGGCAGGAAGGATGTTGAACCGTGCCGTATCTGCATTCCCACTCAATGGAAAAACCTCTTTGCAGCTCTGACCCAATCTGTCAATGACTCTCACTCTGCAAATCTAAAAAATAAAAAAAATTTAAAAATTAAAAAATCCTCTTCTGCATTCACATGTAAGGCTGATCAAAAGCAACTAGGAAGAACACCATGTCTTCAGGCCAAGGACATTCAGAGGGAAACAGCCACCTGGAGAACAAAGGAAATAGAGGCAAACTCCAAACCTCTGCTCTCCAGCCCAGGCCCCACTGGTTCCTGCCTTTCTCCTCTCCTTTCTGGAACACTATGTCTTTCTGGCTTTACAGTGTAAACCAGTACAGCCTTGATAGCTCCTTGAGTTTTGCCACTCTATCTGTTGTCCCAGTTTCACATCACAAAAGTTCAGAAACTGAGCAATTAAAGGCAGAATTCTCCTGTGTGTGTGAAAGTAATAAAAGAGGCTTTGAATGATCATATTCCTATTATTTTCCTCTTGCCCGAGGAATCAAATATCCCAACCTCCAATGTTGGGGCTACAGAACCCCACTGGCAAAGGAAGTGGGGCTACAGAACCAACACTGGCAAAGGAAGAACACAGACTAGAACAAAAAGCCAAGAACCTTCACCACCCCTCTGAGAAGAGATTTGAAATCATTCACTGTACTTCCAATTTTAATATATTATGATGATGATGATGAGGTCTACAAGATCATATATAAATCTCATTCCACAGTAGAGGCTCAATCTCAACATGTTGTTTTTCAGCCTTAACAGCATTCAGAAACAGAGTCTGGCACAGTATTTTTTGCAGGCATTTCTTTTCATTGTATTTTTATCATGAAATAATCAACTTTATACACAAGAAGGAACATAATATAATGTTTACTGCTATCCAGCTTTATCAATTATTAACTTTTGGCAATAATTATTCCACATCCTTTTTTTGTAAAAATATGATTGATAGACTGAGAGAAACAAAGACATATATATATTAATAGATGATGATGATCATGATTATAATGGTGAAGATAGATAGATAAATCGATGATAGACAGATAAAAATGTAGATACAGTTGAGGCCTTCTGTTTGTTTTCAGTCCCATCACCCTTGCACCCTCCCCTCCTCCTCAAAATTAACCAATATGGTAAATTCAGTATTTATCATGCTCACAAATGATTCATACTATTTGTCATCCATGAACATTATTTTATTTTATTTTGCATATTTTAAAATAGGCATAGTGGATTAACCTCTACACTTTGCAATTTGCTTTCTTCTTAGAGCGTTGTTTTTAATATTTTTATGTTGATACTTGCAGCTCTAGCTCATTCATTTTAATTTCCATGTATCTTCTGTTGTATTTTTTAAAACTGTATACTTATTCATTCTCTCATTAATAGGCATTGAAGATGTGTCTAATTTTCTACTATTCCTCACAATAAACATTCTCATGACTCGTCTTATTGTGCGCATCTGCAAAAGGCTGTCTAAAGGAGTGGTTCTCAAAGTGTGGTCGCCTGCAGCAGCAGCATCACCTGGGAACATGTTGGAAATGCAAATCCACTCCTTCCTCGGACCTACTGAACCAGAAACTCTAGGAGTGGGGTCTAGCAATACATGCTTTAACAAGCCCTCCGGGTGATGCTGAATCAAGCTAAAGTTTGAGAACTGCTGCTTGAGGGTGACCTAAATGGACACATCTCACATCACTAAACAATGCTGAATTACTCTCCAAAGGGGTTGCCCCAACTATATTCCCACCAGCAGTGTTTGAGAGTTACCAATTTCTCATACAAAACCAGCACGATGTAATTACAACCCTCTGACAGTTTCCGCCATCTGTGGGTTAGGCATCTTGTCAAATGTTTATTGGCCAAATGGATTCCCGTTCTTATGCACTTTCAGTTTTCTATTCAGTAGTTTTTAACCATTTTTTAATAATTTGTAGACATTATTTGTGTTTTCTAAAAACTCATACTTTGTTTTATAATCAATATGTTCCCAGTCTTTTAACTTTGTTTATATTGAGTTTGCTGTTGTTGTTGTTTTCATTTAACATCTTTAAGTTTTATGTAGTAAAATGTACAAATCTTTTCCTGTATGGCTTGTGCTTTTGCGCCTTGACTAAAATGTATTCTAAAAAATGCTTGGATTTTGATTTTTATACTTAGTCTTTAATGTAACTGGACTTGATCTTTGTGTATGCTATGAAGTAGACATTTAAATTTAGGGGCTTTTTTCATATTGATAATATCCTTCTCCATCAATTGGTAATGCCACCTCTCATAAATCCAGATATTCAAGATATTTAAGATCCTGTGTGTTGACCAAGCTTTTGTTCTTAATATTACTTACCCATATATCTTTTCTTATTTAGTGGTAAATCTTGCTAGGGTTTGCCTATTTTATTGTTTTCCTTTTTTCCAAAAACAAACTTTGGTTTTCTATCTTATTTTCTATTTCATTAATTCTTGCTCTTATATTTATTATTTCCCTCCTTCCACCTTCATAGATTGCTTCATTATTCTTTTAAAGCTATTTTTAATATAATACCATACATTTATTTTCATTTTTTGTTTATAATAAATGCAATTAAGCTATATATTTACCTGTAGACATCACTTTAATTAGATCAAATATTTATATATTATTGTTATAAATGTTATTAATATGGTATTTATTTCTTCTTTAATTCATGAGTTATTCAGAGTGTCATTCTTCAGTTTCCTGATAAGTAAGAAGAGAAAGAGAGTAGGATTGCTAAACTACTTTTTATCATTTAAATTATTTTTAATTTAATTGTGTGGTAAGATATTGTGATCAGTAGGATAGCAATTCTTTGAAAGTTGTTGAGATTTCCTCTTTGCCTTCATGTTCAAATTTTACAAAGGTTCTGTCTATACTTGAAAATAACATATGCACTTGAGTGTAAAGTTTTTAGATATATACATATACATATATCACACTGGCTAATTTTATTATTCAAAGCTGCTATTGCCATTCTAATTTTTGTCTGCTGGATTTGTAAGTTGTGTTTATCTCCTACTATGGTTTTTTGACCTTCTCCTTATAATTCTGTCAACGTTTACTTCATTTCTTTCAGTGTTGCAATGTATGATAATTGTATTAGAAGCATGTAATTTCATTATTGTTATATCTTCTTGATCTGTGGTTACATTTGTGTGTGTGTGGTTTCTCTCTTTATTCCTGAAATGTTTTTTGCCTTAAGAACTATTTTGTCCTATGTTAATTTTGCTACATTAACTTTTTTGTTAGTATTTGTGTTATACACGAATGCATGGTTTTCTTTTTTACTATTCCTTTTAAATGTTTTTATAATTTCAACTTTTTTTTTAGTTTCAGGGGTACACATGCAGGTTTGTTACATGAGTATATTGGATAATGCAGAGGTTCGGAGTACAATTTATCCCCCACCCAGGTAGTGAGCATAGTATCAAATAGTTTTGCAACCCTTTATCCCTCCTCCATGCCTCCCTTCTTTAGTAGTCACCAGTGTCTATTATCGCCATCTTTATGTCCATGAATACCCATTGTTTAGCTTACACTTAAAAGTGACGATATGCAGTATTCCTGTTCCGGTGTTAATTTGCTTAGGATAATAGCTTCCAGCTGCATCCATGTTGCTACAAAGGACATGATTTCATTCTTTTGTATAGCTGTGTAGTATTCCACGGTGCATGTGTATCACATTTTCTTTATTCAATCCACTGTTGTTGGGTACCTAGGTTGATTCCATGTCTCTGCTATTGTGAATACTGCCATGATAGAATTATTTCTTTTCTTTTGCTTTCTGTTTTGTTTTGTGGGGTTTTTTTTTTGTGTGTGTGTGTGGTTTTTTTCAGGAGATAGAGTCTTGCTCTGTCACCCAGGCTGGAGTGCAATAACACAATCTCTGCTTACTGCAACCTCCACCTCCCGGTTCAAGCGATTCTCCTGCCTCAGCCTCCCGAGTAGCTGATACTACAGGCATGCGCCACCACTCCCAGATAATTTTTGTGTAGAGATGGGGTTTCACCATGTTGGCCAGGCTGGTCTCGAACTCCTGACCTCAAGTGATCTGCCCACCTCGGCTTCTCAAATTGCTGGGATTACAGACGTGAGCCACCATGCCCAGCCATTTCTTTTCTTTTGGATATATACTCAGTAATGGGATTGCTGCATCAAATGACAATTCTTTTTTTAGTTCTGTGAAAAATCTCCAAACTGCTTTCCACAGTGGCTGAACTAATTTACATTCCCACCAGCAGTGTATAAATGTTTCCTTTTCTCCATAGCCTCATCAGCATCTGTTATTTTTTGACTTTTTAATATTAGTAGTGGCAAAAACCACAACTACTTTTGCACCAACCTAGTATTAGCTATTCTAACTGGTATGAGATGGTATCTTATCAGGGGTTTGGGAGGTTTCTGGTTTTGGTGTTTTTGTTGTTGTTGTTGTTGTTTTGAGACAAGGTCTTACTCTGTCACATAGGCTGGAGTGCAGTGGTGTGATCATGATTCACTGCAGCCTCAAACTCCTGGCGTCAAGCGATCCTCCCATCTCAGCCTCCCAAGTACCTGGGACTACAGGTAGATGCCATTACACCTGGTTAATTTTTTTAAAAAATTTTTTGTAAAGATGAATTCTTCCTATGGTGCCCAGCCTGGTCTCTAACTTCCTGCCTCAGCCTCCCAAAGTGCTGAAATTATAGGCATGAGCTCCTGAACCTGGCCTCACTGTGGTTTTGATTTGCTTCTGTCTGTTGGTTAGTGATGTTGAACATTTTTTTATATGTTTACTGGCCACTTGTATGTATTCTTCTGATAAGTGTCTGTTCATGTCTTGTGCCCACTGTTTTTATTTTTTTGACACAGTCTCGCTGTGTCACCCAGGCTGGAGTGCAGTGGCGTGAACTCGGCTCACTACAACCTCCGCCTCCCGGGTTCAAGAAATTATCTTCCTCAGCCTCCCAAGTAGCTGGGATTACAGGCGCCCACCACCATGCCCAGCTAATTTTTGTATTTTTAGTAGAGACGGGGTTTCACCATCTTGGCCAGGCTGGTCTTGAACTCCTGACCTCGTGATCCACCCACCTCAGCCTCCCAAAGTGCTGGGATTACAGGTGTGAGCCACCACGCCCAGCCTGTGCCCACATTTGATGGGGTTATTTGTTTTTTGCTTGTTGAATTAAATTCCTTGTAGGCTCTGAATATTAGACCTTTGTTGAATGCATAGTTTCCAAAAATTTCCTCTCATTCTGTAGGTTGTGGGTTTATTCTGCCTGATAGTTTGTTTTGCTGTGCTCTTTAATTAGGTCCCACTTACCAATTTTTATTTTTATTGCAATTGCTTTTCATGATTGAGCCATAAATTCTTTCCCAAGGCCGATGTCCAGAATGGTGTTTTCCGGGTTTTCTTCTAGGATTCTTATAGTTTGAGGTGTCATATTAAATCTTGGATTCATCTTGAGATAATTTTTGTATGTGGCAAAAGGTAAGGATCCAGTTTCATTCTTCTGCATGTGGCTAGCCAGCTATCCTAGCACCATTTATTGAATAGGAAGTCCTTTCTCCTTAGCTTATTTTTGTCAATTTGTTGATGATCAGATGGCTGAAGACGTATGGCTTTATTTCCAGTTTTTTATTCTGTTCATTGGTGTGTGATATGGTTTGCATTTGTGTCTCCGCCCAAATTTCATGTCAAATTGTAATCCCCAAGGTTGGAGGTGGGGCCTGGTGGGAGGTAACTGGATCCTGGGGGTAGATTCCCCCCCTTGCTGTCCTCATGATAGTGAGTGAGTATCTCAGGAGATCTGGTTGTTTAAAAGTGTGTGGCAATGTCCCCCTCTCTTTCCCTTCTGCTCCAGCCATGTAGGATATGCCTGCTTTCCTTTCACCTTCCACCATGATTATAAGTTTCCTGAGGCCTCCCCAGCCATGCTTCCTATACAGCCTGCAGAACCATACACCAATTAAACCTCTTTTCTTTATAAATTACCCAGTCACAGATAGGTCTTTATAGAAGTGCAAGAACAGACTAATACAATGTATGTGTCCGTTTTTGTACCAGTACTATGCTGTTTGGGTTACCATAGCCTTGTAGTATAGTCTGAAGTCAGGTAATGTGATGCCTCTAGCTTTGTTCTTTTTGCTTAGTATTGCTTTGGTTACTCAGGCTCTTTTTTGGCTCCATATGAACTATTTTAGTTTTTTCTAATTCTGTGAAATATGACACTGGTGGTTTGATAGAAATCGTACTGAATCTGTAGATTGCTTTGGGCAGTATGGACATTTTAACAATATTGATTCTTCCAACTCAAAAGCATTAAATGTTTTTCCATTTGTGTATATCACCTATGATTTCTTTCAGCTGGAGTTTGTAGTTCTCCTTGTAGAGATCTTTCATCTCCTTGGTTAAATGTATTCCTAAGTATTTGTGTGTGTGTGTGTGTGTGTGACTACTGTAAATAGTATTATGTTCTTGACTTGACTCTCAGGTTGAATGTTATTGGTGTATAGAAATGCTGCTGATTTTTTGTACACTGATTTTGTATCCTGAAACTTTACTGAAGTTATGTATCCATTCTAGGATGAGCCTTTTGGCAGAGTCTTTAAAGTTTTCGAAGGGTGGAATATCATCAGTGAAAGATAGGTTGACTTCTTCTTTTCCTATTTCAATATATTTTATTTCTTTCTCATGCTTGTTTGCTCTGGCTAGGACTTCCCATCATTTTCCATTTTTTTATATTCAGCCCATATGTGTGTATGTGTGTGCGTTCATTCTGTGTCTTGTAGAAAGCATAGAGTTGCATTTTTTTGTTCATTTGATTGCTTCTTTTAATAGATAAATCTGATCCATTTACACTTTTTTAATGTAGTCGTTTATTTAGACTTAATCACAGTACCATATTTTGTGTTTTCTATTTACCATCCTGTGTTTTTCCTCTTTTCTACCTTCTTTTGTTTGATAATGTGTATTCCATTCTGATTTGGAAGCCATAACTTTTATTTCTATTATTTTAATAGCCACACTGAATTTTTTAAATGACATACTTAACTAAAAATTTTTCTGTCAATGTTTACAGACATTTAATTTCTTCCAACTGCAGTAAGATCTTTACTGCGCTTTAAGTGCCCCCCTACCTTGAACAACTTCTCCACTGCATTATTATTGTTTTTTAAGTTATAATTCTTAGGCTCTAATCATTAATTAAGATTTCCAACACTTTTCATCAATCTCTGTGTTCACTAGAACAACTCCACTGTTTTGGAGGTGAGAGAGAAGTTTGCTTCTTGTATTCCACATCTTCTGCAGGCTTCTGTTTCTGAAACAAATTTTAATAGTCTTATAGTCTTATACTGTGTAGTGACAAATCTTTTAGTATTTGTATGTCTAAAGATGATTTTATTTAACCCTCTTTCTTGAATAATAGTTTAGCTGATGGCAAAATTCTAGGTTGACAGCTTTTTCCTTCAGTATTTCAAAGTGAATATTCCATTATCTTCTAATATATGTTATTATGATAAGAAGTGTGCTGTCAGTCTGTCATTCCCCTGCTGTACCTCCTCTCGCATAGTTTTCATTTTTCTACACTCTGTATTGCATTCTCAGTGAGTTCTTATATTCTTCCTTCCAATTCTCTAATTATTTATTTTCCTGTGTCTGATGTTGAGTTCATCCCATTCATTATGTATTTTAAAACTTATTTATTTATTTATTTATTTATTTGAGATGGAGTCTTGCTCTGTCACCCAGGTTGAAGCGTAGTGGTGCGATCTCGGCTCACTGCAATGTCCACCTCCCAGGTTCAAGCAATTCTCCTGCCTCAGCCTCCAGAGACGCTGGGACTACAGGCGTACATGCCACCATGCCCAGCTAATTTTTTTGCATTTTTAGTAAGAGGTGGGGTTTCACCATGTTGGCCAGGCTGGTCTCAAACTCCTGACCTCAAGTGATCTGCCCGCCTCAGCCTCCCAAAGTGCTAGGATTACAGGCATGAGGCATCGCGCCCAGCCTAATTTTCAATAAGGAGTACATTCATATGGTTCAAAGCCAAAGGTTAAACAGGGTAAACAATGAAAAGTTCAACTTTTCTTCTTGCCACCCAGTTTCTCTTCTCGAAGGCAAACAATGTTATCAATTATGTTTATTTTTTCTGATAGCTTTTCTGATTCTTTTATTCTATGCATATATGTGAAAATGGATGCACATTTTCACACACAGAGAGACACACACCCAAGAAGTTTTTTCTTCCTTTTATACACACATGTGGCATACTCTGCATACTTTTCTTCATCTTGCTTTTGTTCATTTGACAAAATATTCACATCAATACATAATGAGCCTCATCATCTACTAAAAGCCTTCATACTGTCCCATTGAATGGATGAACATTAATTATTACTTCACAAGTCCCTTGTAAAAGTTGTTTCCACTGTTTTGTTATTAATTCTGTATTAAATGACCTTATATACATAATTTTGAAAATGTGAGGTTTTGTCTGTACAATATATCCCTACAAGTAAAATTATTGTTTCTAAACACATGCATTTAAAATTGTGGGCATTTGAAGGTAATTTATAGATTCAATGCCATCCCCATCAAGATACCAATGACTTTCTTCACAGAATTGGAAAAAACTACTTTAAAGTTCATATGGAACCAAAAAAGAGCCTGCATCGCCAAGTCAATCCTAAGCCAAAAGAACAAAGCTGGAGGCATCACGCTACCTGACTTCAAACTATACTACAAGGCTACAGTCACCAAAACAGCATGGTACTGGTACCAAAACAGAGATATAGATCAATGGAACAGAACAGAGCCCTCAGAAATAACGCCGCATATCTACAACTATCTGATCTTTGACAAACCTGAGAAAAACAAGAAATGGGGAAAGGATTCCCTATTTAATAAATGGTGCTGGGAAAACTGGCTAGCCATGTGCAGAAAGCTGAAACTGGATCCCTTCCTTACACCTTATACAAAAATTAATTCAAGATGGATTAAAGACTTAAATATTAGACCTAAAACCATAAAAACCCTAGAAGAAAACCTAGGCATTACCATTCAGGACATCGGCATGGGCAAGGACTTCATGTCTAAAACACCAAAAGCAATGGCAACAAAAGCCAAAATTGACAAATGGGATCTAATTAAACTAAAGGGCTTCTGCACAGCAAAAGAAACTACCATCAGACTGAACAGGCAACCTACAGAATGGGAGAAAAGTTTTGCAAGCTACTCATCTGACAAAGGGCTAATATCCAGAATCTACAATGAACTCAAACAAACTTACAAGAAAAAAACAAACAACCCCATCAAAAAGTGGGCAAAGGACATGAACAGACACTTCTCAAAAGAAGACATTTATGCAGCCAAAAAACACATGAAAAAATGCTCACCATCACTGGCCATCAGAGAAATGCAAATCAAAACCACAATGAGATACCATCTCACACCAGTTAGAATGGCAATCATTAAAAAGTCAGGAAACAACAGGTGCTGGAGAGGATGTGGAGAAATAGGAACACTTTTACACTGTTGGTGGGACTGTAAACTAGTTCAACCATTGTGGAAGTCAGTGTGGCGATTCCTCAGGGATCTAGAACTAGAAATAGCATTTGACCCAGCCATCCCATTACTGGGTATATACCCAAAGGACTACAAATCATGCTGCTATAAAGACACATGCACACATATGTTTATCGCGGCACTATTCACAATAGCAAAGACTTGGAACCAACCCAAATGTCCAACAATGATAGACTGGATTAAGAAAATGTGGCACATATATACCATGGAATAGTATGCAGCCATAAAAAATGACGAGTTCATGTCCTTTGTAGGGACATGGATGAAATTGGAAATCATCATTCTCAGTAAACTATCGCAAGAACAAAAACCAAACACCACATATTCTCACTCATAGGTGGGAATTGAACAATAAGAACACAGGGACACAGGAAGGGGAACATCACACTCTGGGGACTGTTGTGGGGTGGGGGGAGGGGTGAGGGATAGCATTAGGAGATATACCTAATGCTAAATGACGAGTTAATGGGTGCAGCACACCAGCATGGCACATGTATACATATGTAACTAACCTGCACAGTGTGCACATGTACCCTAAAACTTAAAGTATAATAAAAATTAAAAAAATAAAAATAAAAATAAAATAAAATAAAATAAAATTGTGGGCATTTGAATTAAATTTTTAGAAAAACTTTTATTGTATTCAATTTTTGAATAAGTAATACATGCATACAGTACAAAATTCAAAAGGAACAAAAGTGTAAATATCAGATTATTATACTGTATATCCTTCTAGAGTTATTGCATGTATATATGGGCATATCTGTATATACAGGAATATTTCTTTGATTAAGATCAGTTAATGTTTTCTTCTGCATTGGAGCCTATGGAAATCAGATGGCTCTCTCCTTCTGATGAAGGCTTTCTCCTTGCTGATGATTAAAAAAAGACACATCAAACTTTAGTATAATCATTCACATTAAGGCATATGTTTTATTGTCTTATTATTCTGTCTCAGCCATAAAGCCTCATCATTGTGGATACTGTCAGTAAAAGTAATGGTTCCTTCAGTTTTCACAATGCCTTTCAGCTCACTCTGGAACAACACAGATAAAAACTGCATTCTGCTTGGACAAAAAGTTTCAAACTTGCCCTAATATGAACTACTTTTTATTCTTCGTACATAGCGATTCCCCTCAGACCTACCCTTAGATTCTTCATCACCATCATTTTAGAGGTTGCCTTCACCTCTCTTCTGGATTAGATCTCATGTTTCCTGTATCCCATTTATTTCCCTTTCTTGGTTTACTATTTCATATTTGTGGAGCATATTCTTCCGTAGAGATTTTGATTGTTTTTTTGAGTTTTAGAAAATTTATACTTTATTGATAGGCTGTCTAAATGTAGAATTCTATTCTTCCCATTTATAATGTAAAAGGAATTGCTCCACTGTCTTCTGTGTTCTTGTTGGAATACAGAAGCCATTCTGATTCCTCGTCCTCTGAATATGTGTTGGTGGTGGTGGTGGTGTTGTCCTCTAAAAGCTGTTAGCATCTTCTCTTTATCCCTAGGTTCTGAAATTCCACAAGGATATGCCTTGGTGTAGGTCTATTATCATCCATTTTACTGGGCATTTGCTAACCCCTTTCAATATCCAAAATCCATGTGTTTTAATCTGGGAAATTTTCTTGAATTATTTTATTAATTTTTTGCCATGTACTTTTTCTGTTCTTTTCCTCTAGAACTTCGTGTTGTTCATATGTTAAATTTCCTGGACTGATCCTCCAATTTTCTTGTGTCTCTCTCTTATTTTCCTCTCTATATATTTTTGTTCTAATTTTTAGGTAAATTCCTCAACTTTGACTTCCAGCACTTTGACTGAATTTTTTCATTTCTGCCATCATGTTTTCAATTTCCAAATGTTATTTTTTTAAAAGATTATCTGAATTTTTAACATTCCGTCTGCTTCATAAATACAATATCTTGGTCGGGCGCAATAGCTCAGGCATGTAATCTCTTAGAACTTTGGGAGACTGAGGTGGGCAGATCGCTTGAGTTCAGGAGTTCAAGACCACCCTGGGCAACATGGCAAAACACCATCTCTACCAAAAAAAAAAAAAAAAAAAAAAACAATTAGCCAGGCCTGGTGGCACTTGCCTGTAGTCCCAGCTACTCAGGGCCTTTTACTCCAGGTCTAGAGGTTTCTAGAAGTGCTAGTTCATGAAACTTAGAGGACTCTCAGCATTAACTGGATTTTTCTCAGCTTTCTGAGACTGTAATAACTTAAGATCTGGCTTTCTCAGTTCTACTAATCAGTTACCACTCTTCCATCTCCTTTCCAGATTCCAAAATACTGTTACCATTGTCTCTTCACCTATTATCCCCATTCTTGTTGGTTTGTTCATCCCTTTATTGTAGTTCTACTATGCATTTGAATGATAGTGAAATTAAGCACAGGTAGCCAAACAGCCATTCTAACTCAAGGCTCCACATTTTTTTATTTCAATGACTATATTTTTTAATGTTCAGATTTTCTAATTGGTCCTTTTCATATCTCCTCATTCTGTTTTCAGCCTCTTTTTTCAAAATTTTTTATTTTTCAATGGAAGTTTTGATTTCATTTATTTATTTGAAATAATCAATACATTTACTTTAAAGTTTTATCTGATCATTCTGTAAAATTAATTTTATCTGAAGTGAATCCATGTTGATTGTTCGTTTGTTGACTTTTTTTTTTTTTTTTTTTTTTTTTTTTTTGAGACGGAGTCTCGCTCTTATCACCCAGGGCTGGAGTGCAATGGTGAGATCTCGGCTCGCTGCAACCTCCACCTCATCGGTTCAAGTGATTCTCCTGCCTCAGGCTCCCGAGTAGCCGGGATTACAGGCGCCCGCCACCATGCCTGGCTAATTTTTTTATTTAGTAGAGGCGGGGTTTCGCCATGTTGGCCAGGCTGTTTTGAACTCCTGGCCTCAAGTGATTCGCCCGCCTCGGCCTCCTAAAGTGCTGGGATTACAGGCGTGAGCCACCGAGCCCAGAGAGTTTGTTGACTTTTTTTTAGCATTAGCTTTTTTCCTTCAGTTTTGTATTTAGTTTATAGTCCCATTTGGAATTTGAAGTATTTTGCTCTTTTCGTTTTGTTTTTCATTCCCTCTCACTCCCCCTACTCCACCTCCATATTCAATTATCCTGTTGAAAGCTTTGGGGGTCTCCAATCCAGGTTCAGTTCTGGTAAGGGCAGTGAGAGGAACAGTCCTGCAGAACCACTGGGCCATGGCAATCCCAGGATGAGTCACAGGGGAAGCTCAACTCAGTTCTTGGTCACAAGGCTTTGTCTCATCCTTCTCTCCCAGTCTAGAGCTGGATGGAAGCCACTGCTCCTTCAGCACTTGGCACATGTTCATTTCCAGCCTCCTTCTATAAGGATAGGAGATGAGACATGAAACTCACCTTAGCCCTGGGCCTCCGTGGCTGAGAACCTGCCTCTGCTTTCCCATCTCTCAGGGAACACTTTTGACTCCTTTGCCACCACTGACTGCCACTGCATCCAAAACCCAGCAAGTCCACCAAGCCTTGCAGCCCTGATCACAGTTTGTGTTTCTGTGCCAGCCTGGATCTTCAAAAGCGCTTGTCTTGTAGTTGGGCCTGACTATGCCACCTTCTGTTTTCTCTTTTTACTTTATTCAGTAGGCCTATGTTTCTAGAGTGGAGGCAGTTCTTGAACTTACTACTCCATCTTGATCTGGCTCTCAGTAGGTTTTTTTGTTTTTTGTTTTTTTGATCTGTGATTTTGTTTTTAATTATCTTAAGTCTTATGATCACACATAATTTTTAAATTTGTGTATATCTCCTCTACTCTAATCCTTATAAGTTGGCAAAAGCACTATTCCCAATCACAAATACACAGTAGTTCTACAGTTTTATGTTCCTGGATGGCTGTTTAAAGACAATCTTAAATTATAATGTAGTCTGACTTAGATAGTAAGAATTCAAGAGTGAAGTTTAACTTGCTACTATTTTAAAGACATCTGACTTTATAGATCATCTATAAAATGTGAGAAGAGTTAAATAATCTTCATTTGATATTACACATAAACCACACTAAAATGTGTTTCAATAAGTAAAAGGAACCATTTTAAATACAGTGAATTCTAATTAGATTGGCATAGTTAAGGCCAAAAATATAAAAAAGACATTGCTATATTATCTTCAGCCCTTGCCTTTAAGAGACAAATGAGGCCAGGTGCAGTGGCTCACATCTGTAATCTCAGCACTTTGGGAGGCCAAGGCAGGCAGATCACTTGAGGTTAATACCAGCCTGGCCAACAGGTTTGATACCAGGTTTCATACCAGCCTGGCCAACATGGTGAAACCCTGTCTCTACTAAAAATACAAAAATTAGCCGGGCGTGGTGGCAGACACCTGTAATCCCAGCTACTCAGGAGACTGAGGCAAGAGAATCACTTAAACCCGGGAGGTAGAGGTTGCAGTGAGCCAAGATCATGCCATCGCACTCCAGCCTGGGCAGCAAGAGCAAAATTCCATCTCAAAAAAAAAAACAAAACAAACAAAATTCAAAAAACCCAAACATATTAATTTAACCACAAGACAATCTTAGTTTTAAATCAGGACTGCCCAATGAAAATGTTTTTTCAGTCATTCATGATCTGAATTCTGGTGTATGTAATCTATTAAATTATGGTACACATAAAAAAGTCATGAGACATTTCTGTTTTGTAATAAATGAGGCAGTGATGTATTATTACTCATAGTAGCTTTTTTTTTATATAAGCTATCAAATCTGCCCTTTCTGCCTTCTTTCTGCCTTCTTAATGCCAGCAAAGATCATTTTTGTTCCAGATATCTACTTCTTGGGATTCTCCAAATATTTCATCAGTGCATCCTCTCTCCAGGTGATGCCTTTGTTCTTATTGGCGTCTGTGTTAACAGAATCCAACAGCCTGATCTGTCTTTCACATGAAGAGACCATGGAGATTAGTCCCAGTCTTGTGTTTGCCTCCCTTTTCCATGGTGTGGCAGTGGGCACACTTCTGAACAAAAATCTTGCCTTTCTCAACATCACCCATATTTAATTTTCTCTTTCATTGCTGGCATTACGGAGCTTCCTACTCAGAAGCCGGATGTCCCGCTCTCCTCAGTAGGTATTCCTGAAGTTAGATCATTGAAGTGTGTAGACCTCAACCATGCTCATAATGTTGATGCCCAAAGTGGCCAGGCCAGGTCAGCAGTGGTATGAATGCACCTTAGGCTTAATGTTGTCTCTGTCTATTGCATATTACTGAAGCACCAGGCATCTAAGAGGCAGTCAAGGCTAAATATTAACCAAATCTAATTCTGAACATTCAGAATTCAAATACTAATAGAGTGAAATTGAATAAAATTGAAATAAATATTTGATGTTAATTCACCTTAGAAAAAATCCACTTCTGAGACACAACTGCAGAGCTTCACAGTGTTGTAGTAAGGGTTAAACGAATGGTGCGTGTAAGGCGCTTAGTACACTGTTCAGCACGTATTAAGTCTGCTAGCATACACTTGGTACTAGAATGCACTACAAAGGGGCCAGAGGAGTCAGTGGGTAGAGAGGTCTTTAGCGGATCAACAGGAAGGGAGAAACAAAGGGGAACAGGAAATGACTCTCCAGCCGACAGGGGGAAGGATTAAAAACAGAAAGATGATTATCACCAGTGAAATGATGTTTCCCTCCCTACCAGCAACCTTCACCCTGTACACAATAAGCAAAGAATTATCAACATAAATCCACAGGCTGTGTAAATCCAGAGAAGCTACAAGAAAGACAACATAGCTCCCAGACCCTCTGGAATGTACTGGAACCTTCTGTGAGGTCTGAGAGTCATCTTTGTTGTTCATACCTTTGTGTCTAGCACATAGTGAGCATTCAATAATTGTTGAATGAATGAATACATTAAAGGTTCTCAGAAAGGAGTTTCCATAGCAGATTCCAATACCAGCACCTGTGTGAATAAATGTATACTGTGGGTACAGAGAGGTAGCAAATCAGCAAAAAGAATATCCTCTCCACTTCCAGGATTTGGTACCATTAGAGTGCAAAAAGGGAAGAACCAAACCAAATAAATGAATGACCAACATTGACCATGGGGAGCATTCAGGGACATATCTTCAAAACAGGAAAATGGTGACATCTGGACTAAAAAGTATCTCAGCTGGGAATGGTGGCTCACACCTATAATCCCAGCATTTTGGAACGCCTAGGCAGGTGGGTCAGTTGAGCCCAGGAGTTTGAGACCAGCCTGGGCAATATAGTGAGACCCCATCTCTACCAAAAAAAAAAAAAAAATAGTAGCCCTCTCTCCAGATGTAAAGCATCACTCATTAAATGTGGTGGGGTGTGTGTGTGTGTGTGAGAGAGATATTATGTTCCCTGTCAATTAAACATGTTAATTCAATTGTATGGTAAGAGTGTTTGACTCAATTCCAGCTATTACCAGAAGTACTAGAATAGGAGAATATGACAACCAGGAACAGCCCTTAAAACCAATTGTGAGGGAATTCAGAAATAAGTTGCATAGATTACAGGGCTATCTGTGCAAACTCCATGTATTCAGAATGTAGCTGGTTTCCTGATTCTGAGGTTCCATAGAAGTGAATGGCTGAGATGACAAATCCTACTTGTTATACATGTGTCATTGGAGATGTCACTTCCCCTACTCTAGTCCTCACATTCCCTATATCTACATAGTGAAACCATGTCTATCAGGAATATTCTGACTGCAAATAGAAAACTCAACTCAAGCTCAATCAAGCATTCTCATTGATGGGTGAGTATGACTGAAGAATTCTAACATGTAAACAAGACTCCTAAGGTCAATTTTTTCTCCTTCCCCCTGCTCTGTCCACCCCTATGTGGGCTTCACTCTCAACAAGCCCTCTCCTCTTGGTGGCAGAGTGACTGTTACCAGCTCTGGACTTAAATTTTCATTTGTATAAGTCCAGTGGAAAAAAGGGCACACTTCTCCCACAGTAGTAGTGGGAGTAGTGGGAGTCCTGAGATGGCATCTCACTGCTTCCAAAGGGGGCAGATGCACTATCCTAAGTCTCGACCACTGTGGCTGGAGAGATAGGGTGGTCTTATTCCCTTCGTCTGACATGCATGCCCAACCCCAGAGCCAAGGAAGTTTGCAGAGACAATAGGAGGTTGGACCAGATGACCTCATATTCAAGAACTTCATGTTTTGTTTCACTTTAATATCATCCTCATTTCCTTCCTCCTGCCTTAGGCATTCTTCCTGCACAGGTGCTGCTGAAAGTTTCCAATAATCCAAGTACTAAGACAAAAATGTTCCATAAAAGAGGAGGAAATGCAGCACCCCAGCCACACACCCACATGTAAACACAATTTTTTGATGTATGTTAAAGAAGAATGTTGACCACCCCCCGCCCTTCTCCACACCTTCTTACATTCCCCGCCTCTGCTACCCCAAGATACTTATATTTCCATGGAAAAGACAGGATAGATGCTCCATCCTCCCAGAATATCTCTGCCTCTACCTCACTCCTGCATTTATTCTACCTCATGGCAGGTAGGTGAAGGGGGTGGGTGCTCTGAGAATGCATGTCTCAGCCCCCTCTGGTTATCTTTTCTCAATGTTTTCCCTAGGAATTTTTTTTCTCCCTGTTCTTCTCTCTGCCTTTGCTTGAAAGATGCCTGCAGTGTTGAATGGATGCTCTCAATCAGGGGCTGAGGATTAGAAAGCCTGCTGTCGCCTATAGGACCTCTCTTTCTGCCTAATCTCTCTTGCTTCCTCCCCTACCACTTCTCTCTGACTCTAACCAGATAAATTTCTCTGCTTCTAAAGACTCTAGAGATTATATTGAGCCCACCTAGATAATCCAAGACAATCTCTCTATCTTGAGTTCTATAACCTTAATTACATCTGCAAAGCACTTTTTGCCATGGAAAGTAACAGATTCATTGGATCTAAGAATTCAATGGAGGACCACTATTCAGCCTTACACAATGCCTAAAGAAGCAAGATTCTAAAGCAAAGTAGATGATCCAGCAAGTAGAGAGCAGACAGCCCATCCGGTACCTCCCAAACACCCTCTTAAGCATTTCTTCCTCACAGAAACTTAGGGGCATTTCAGGGATGCTTTCTGATCATGACCCTAAAGGGACCTTCTTAGAAAACTGAAATTCAGACCCTACCTGTGCTTGGCCAGGTGTGGTGGCTCATGCCTGTAATTCCAGCACTTTGGCAGGCTGAGGTGGGTGGATCACTTAAGGTCAGGAGCTCGAGACCAGCCTGGCCAACATGGCAAAACCCCGTCTGTACTAAAAATACAAAAATTAGACAGGCATGGTGGCAGGCGCCTGTAATGGCAGCTACTCAGGAGGCTGAGGCATGAGAATCACTTGAACCTGAGAGGAAGAGTTTGCAGTGAGCTGAGATCCGGCCACTGCATGCCAGCCTGGGTGACACAGCGAGACTGTATCTCAAAAAAAAAAAAAGGACCCACCTGCAATTCAAGATAGAGAATCAGTGAACTGAGAGTCAGGCTTCTCAGGCCAGTGAACCAGCAGCATTTTGTTTTCTTACCAGTAAGAAGCAGTAAGAGACAGGTCCAGCCTAGAAGAGCACACATCCTTACATGGCTCAATACTCAGAAATAGGAACAGGAAGAAGAGTGGACTCCCATCCTAACCCTCAAAACCACCCTGCAAGGTAAGAACTATTATATCCACTTTCAAATGAAGACATCAAGCAGGGAAACGTTAAGAAACTTGCTCAGAATCACGCAGCTAATTAATGGCATGGCTATGACTTGAACCTAGGTCAGACTTCAAGCCCACTCCCTCTCCACTATTGCTAACACTCAACACTTACATGTTTACTGCAATTTCCAACTCAGTTATAACCCCGAAAGATATAAAATGGGCCAGGAATTTGCTTTAATTTTAGAATTAGAGGAGCTTGAATTGCCACTTACTCCAGGGCACCAATGACAATAAAGCTCTGTGGTTCAGGAAAACAGGAGGATGAGCTGCCTCCAGGCAGAAGGCTGCAGAGCGGGCATGCTTTTGAGGTGGTGGCATAGCATCAGAGAGTTCAGAGCAATGGTCTAGAGGCACAGGGATGAGGGCTGGGTGGGATTCACTGATCTCAATACTTGCAGAGGTCAAAGCAGGATATGAATTGTCAGATGATGTCACAGCAGCCCCATCTCATTGTGTGTGGGATTGGAGAACCAAGGAGTGTATGCCCCAGCTTCAGCCTCTGTTTTCTCACTTGGAGAAGTCACATGATATCTGTCCTAGTCAGCTTACAGAAGACCTGATCTTCCAATTTATAACTACGTTTATTTACATGCAACAAATACTGCCAGCACGTCTTCTGCAGACAGGTACTAGATAAGGTAAAGGATATCAAGTTTGATTTTCTGACCTGATATTCATCAGAAAACAGTGAGGAACTGGCCCCATAGCAACTGATGATAACAAATCCTCAATACCCTTAAATCAGGGTGTGACTGTTAATTTTACGTATCAGCTTGACTGGGCTATGGGGTGCCCAGATATTTGTTCAAATGTTATTCCGGTTATGTCTGTGAGTGTTTCAGAAGAAATTAACATTTAAGGCTGGGCACGGTGAGTTAGGCCTGTAATCCGAGGAATTTGTGAGGCCTAGGCAGGCAGATCACTTAAGGTCAGGAGTTCAAGGCCAGCCTAGCCAACATGGTGAAACCCCATCTCTACTAAAAATACAAAAAAAGTAGCCAGGCATGGTGATGCATGCCTGTGGTCCCAGCTACTCAAGAGGCTGAGGTGGGAGGGTCACTTGAACCCAGGAGGTGGAGAATTTCAGTGAGCCGAGATCACGCCATCGCACTCCAGCCCGGGTGACAAAGGGAGATTCTGTCTCAAAAAAAAAAAAATGAAAAAGAAATTAACATTTAAACCAGTAGACTGAGTAAAGCAGTCTGTCTTCTATAATGTGAATGGTCCTCATCCAATCAGTTGGAGGCCTGAATAAAACAAAAAGCTGACCATCCCTCAAATAAGAGGTAATTTCTGCTGACTGATGGCCTTCAAGCTGACAAATGGATTTTTCCTGATTTCATACTCAAACTGAAACATCAGCTCTTCCTGGCTCTCAAGCCTACTGGCCTTCAAGCTGAAACTACATTATCCTTTTCCCGGGTCTCCAGTTTGCCCACTGCAGATGTTGGGGCTTGTCAGCCTCCGTAATTGCATGAGCCAATTCCTTATAAGAAGTATTTTTCTGGGGGAGGAGCCAAGATGGCCGAATAGGAACAGCTCCAGTCTACAGCTCCTAGCGTGAGCGACGCAGAAGATGGGTGATTTCTGCATTTCCATCTGAGGTACCGGGTTCATCTCACTAGGGAGTGCCAGACAGTGGGCGCAGGTCAGTGGGTGTGCACACCGTGCGTCAGCCAAAGCAGGGCGAGGCATTGCCTCACTTGGGAAGCGCAAGGGGTCAGGGAGTTCCCTTTCTGAGTCAAAGAAAGGGGTGACGGACGGCACCTGGAAAATTGGGTCACTCCCACCCGAATACTGTGCTTTTCTGATGGGCTTAAAAAACGGCGCACCACAAGATTATATCCCGCACCTGGCTCGGAGGCTCCTACGCCCACGGAGTCTCGCTGATTGCTAGCACAGCAGTCTGAGATCAAACTGCAAGGCGGCAGTGAGGCTGGGGGAGGGGCGTCCGCCATTGCCCAGGCTTGATTAGGTAAACAAAGCAGCCGGGAAGCTCGAACTGGGTGGACCCCACCACAGCTGAAGGAGGCCTGCCTGCCTCTGTAGGCTCCACCTCTGGGGGCAGGGCACAGACAAACAAAAAGACAGCAGTAACCTCTGCAGACTTAAATGTCCCTGTCTGACAGCTTTGAAGAGAGCAGTGGTTCTCCCAGCATGCAGCTGGAGATCTGAGAACGGGCAGACTGCCTCCTCAAGTGGGTCCCTGACCCCTGACCCCCGAGCAGCCTAACTGGGAGGCACCCCCCAGCAGGGGCACACTGACACCTCACACGGCAGGGTATTCCAACAGACCTGCAACTGAGGGTCCTGTCTGTTAGAAGGAAAACTAACAAACAGAAAGGACATCCACACCAAAAACCCATCTGTACATCACCATCATCAAAGACCAAAAGTAGATAAAACCACAAAGATGGGGAAAAAAGAGAACAGAAAAACTGGAACCTCTAAAAAGTAGAGCGCCTCCCCTCCTCCAAAGGAACGCAGTTCCTCACCAGCAATGGAACAAAGCTGGATGGAGAATGACTGACAAGCTGAGAGAAGAAGGCTTCAGATGATCAAATTACTCTGAGCTACGGGAGGACATTCAAACCAAAGGCAAAGAAGTTGAAAACTTTGAAAAAAAATTTAGAAGAATATATAACTAGAATAACCAATACAGAGAAGTGCTTAAAGGAGCTGATGGAGCTGAAAACCAAGGCTCGAGAACTACGTGAAGAATGCAGAAGCCTCAGGAGCCAATGCGATCAAGTGGAAGAAAGGGTATCAGCAATGGAAGATGAAATGAATGAAATGAAGTGAGAAGGGAAGTTTAGAGAAAAAAGAATAAAAAGAAATGAGCAAAGCCTCCAAGAAATATGGAACTATGTGAAAAGACCAAATCTACGTCTGATTGGTGTACCTGAAAGTGATGGGGAGAATGGAACCAAGTTGGAAAACACCCGGCAGGATATTATCCAGGAGAACTTCCCCAATCTAGCAAGGCAGGCCAATGTTCAGATTCAGGAAATACAGAGAACACCACAAAGATACTCCTCGAGAATAGCAACTCCAAGACACATAATTGTCAGATTCACCAAAGTTGAAATGAAGGAAAAAATGTTAAGGGCAGCCAGATAGAAAGGTCGGGTTACCCTCAAAGGGAAGCCCATCAGACTAACAGCAGATCTCTCGGCAGAAACCCTACAAGCCAGAAGAGAGTGGGGGCCAATATTCAACATTCTTAAAGAAAAGAATTTTCAAACCAGAATTTCATATCCAGCCAAACTAAGCTTCATAAGCGAAGGAGAAATAAAATACATTATAGACAAGCAAATGCTGAGAGATTTTGTCACCACCAGGCCTGCCTTACAAGAGCTCCTGAAGGAAGCGCTAAACATGGAAAGGAACAACCAGTACCAGCCGCTGCAAAATCATGCCAAAATGTAAAGACCATCGAGACTAGGAAGAAACTGCATCAACTAACGAGCAAACTAACCAGCTAACATCATAATGACAGGATCAAATTCACACATAACAATATTAACTTTAAATGTAAATGGACTAAATGCTCCAATTAAAAGACACAGACTGGCAAATTGGATAGAGTCAAGACCCATCAGTGTGCTGTATTCAGGAAACCCATCTCATGTGCAGAGACACCCATAGGCTCAAAATAAAAGGATGGAGGAAGATCTACCAAGCCAATGGAAAACAAAAAAAGGCAGGGGTTGCAATCCTAGTCTCTGATAAAACAGACTAAACCAACAAAGATCAAAAGAGACAAAGAAGGCCATTACATAATGGTAAAGGGATCAATTCAACAAGAAGAGCTAACTATCCTAAATATATATGCACCCAATACAGGAGCACCCAGATTCATAAAGCAAGTCCTGAGTGACCTACAAAGAGACTTAGACTCCCACACATTAATAATGGGAGACTTTAACACCCCACTGTCAACATTAGACAGATCAACGAGACAGAAGGTCAACAAGGATACCCAGGAATAGAACTCAGCTCTGCACCAAGCGGACCTAATAGACATCTACAGAACTCTCCACCCCAAATCAACAGAATATACATTTTTTTCAGCACCACACCACACCTATTCCAAAATTGACCACATACTTGGAAGTAAAGCTCTCCTCAGCAAATGTAAAAGAACAGAAATTATAACAAACTATCTCTCAGACCACAGTGCAATCAAACTAGAACTCAGGATTAAGAATCTCACTCAAAACCGCTCAACTACATGGAAACTGAACAACCTGCTCCTGAATGACTACTGGGTACATAACGAAATGAAGGCAGAAATAAAGATGTTCTTTGAAACCAATGAGAACAAAGACACAACATACCAGAATCTCTGGGATGCATTCAGAGCAGTGTGTAGAGGGAAATTTATAGCACTAAATGCCCACAAGAGAAAGCAGGAAAGATCCAAAATTGACACCCTAACATCACAATTAAAAGAACTAGAAAAGCAAGAGCAAACACATTCAAAAGCTAGCAGAAGGCAAGAAATAACTAAAATCAGAGCAGAACTGAAGGAAATAGAGGCACAAAAAACCCTTCAAAAAT
This sequence comes from Homo sapiens, assembly GCF_000001405.40. NCBI lineage: Eukaryota > Metazoa > Chordata > Mammalia > Primates > Hominidae > Homo > Homo sapiens. Next base: position 57,997,130 of record NC_000011.10, on the reverse strand, counting down.
TAATGAATCCAGGAGCTGGTTTTTTGAAAGAATCAACAAAATTGACAGACCGCTAGCAAGACTAATAAAGAAAAAAAGAGAGAAGAATCAAATAGATGCAATAAAAAATGACAAAGGGGATACCACCACTGATCCCACAGAAATACAAACTACCATCAGAGAATACTACAAACACCTCTACGCAAATAAACTAGAAAATCTAGAAGAAATGGATAAATTCCTCGACACATATACTCTCCCAAGACTAAGCCAGGAAGAAGTTGAATCTCTGAATAGACCAATAACAGGAGCTGAAATTGTGGCACTAATCAATAGCTTACCAACCAAAAAGAGTCCAGGACCAGATGGATTCACAGCCGAATTCTACCAGAGGTACAAGGAGGAACTGATACCATTCCTTCTGAAACTATTCCAATCAATAGAAAAAGAGGGAATCCTCCCTAACTCATTTTATGAGGCCAGCATCATTCTGATACCAAAGCCAGGCAGAGACACAACAAAAAAAGAGAATTTTAGACGAATATCCTTGATGAACATTGATGCAAAAATCCTCAATAAAATACTGGCAAAACGAATCCAGCAGCACATCCAAAAGCTTATCCACCATGATCAAGTGGGCTTCATCCCTGGGATGCAAGGCTGGTTCAATATACACAAATCAATAAATGTAATCCAGCATATAAACAGAGCCAAAGACAAAAACCACATGATTATCTCAATAGATGCAGAAAAAGCCTTTGACAAAATTCAACAACCCTTCATGCTAAAAACTCTCAATAAATTAGGTATTGATGGGACGTATTTCAAAATAATAAGAGCTATCTATGACAAACCCACAGCCAATATCATACTGAATGGGCAAAAACTGGAAGCATTCCCTTTGAAAACTAGCACAAGACAGGGATGCCCTCTCTCACCACTCCTATTCAACATAGTGTTGGAAGTTCTGGCCAGGGCAATTAGGCAGGAGAAGGAAATAAAGGGTATTCAATTAGGAAAAGAGGAAGTCAAATTGTCCCTGTTTGCAGACGACATGATTGTATATCTAGAAAACCCCATCGTCTCAGCCCAAAATCTCCTTAAGCTGATAAGCAACTTCAGCAAAGTCTCAGGATACAAAATCAATGTACAAAAATCACAAGCATTCTTATACACCAACAACAGACAAACAGAGAGCCAAATCATGAGTGAACTCCCATTCACAATTGCTTCAAAGAGAATAAAATACCTAGGAATCCAACTTACAAGGGATGTGAAGGACCTCTTCAAGGAGAACTACAAACCACTGCTCAAGGAAATAAAAGAGGATACAAACAAATGGAAGAACATTCCATGCTCATGGGTAGGAAGAATCAGTATCGTGAAAATGGCCATACTGCCCAAGGTAATTTACAGATTCAATGCCATCCCCATCAAGCTACCAATGACTTTCTTCACAGAATTGGAAAAAACTACTTTAAAGTTCATATGGAAACAAAAAAGAGCCCGCATCGCCAAGTCAATCCTAAGCCAAAAGAACAAAGCTGGAGGCATCACACTACCTGACTTCAAACTATACTACAAGGCTACAGTCACCAAAACAGCATGGTACTGGTACCAAAACAGAGATATAGATCAATGGAACAGAACAGAGCCCTCAGAAATAACACCGCATATCTACAACTATCTGATCTTTGACAAACCTGAGAAAAACAAGAAATAGAGAAAGGATTCCCTATTTAATAAATGGTGCTGGGAAAACTGGCTAGCCATATGTAGAAAGCTGAAACTGGATCCCTTCCTTACACCTTATACAAAAATCAATTCAAGATGGATTAAAGACTTAAACGTTAGACCTAAAACCATAAAAACCCTGGAAGAAAACCTAGGCATTACCATTCAGGACATAGGCGTGGGCAAGGACTTCATGTCTAAAACACCAAAAGCAATGGCAACAAAAGCCAAAATTGATAAATGGGATCTAATTAAACTAAAGAGCTCTGCACAGCAAAAGAAACTACCATCAGAGTGAACAGGCAACCTACAAAATGGGAGAAAATTTTCGCAACCTACTCATCTGACAAAGGGCTAACATCCAGAATCTACAATAAACTCAAACAAATTTACAAGAAAAAAACAAACAACCCCATCAAAAAGTGGGCGAAGGACATGAACAGACACTTCTCAAAAGAAGACATTTATGCAGCCAAAAAACACATGAAAAAATGCTCACCATCACTGGCCATCAGAGAAATGCAAATCAAAACCACAATGAGATACCATCTCACACCAGTTAGAATGGCAATCATTAAAAAGTCAGGAAACAACAGGTGCTGGAGAGGATGTGGAGAAATAGGAACACTTTTACACTGTTGGTGGGACTGTAAACTAGTTCAACCATTGTGGAAGTCAGTGTGGCGATTCCTTAGGGATCTAGAACTGGAAATACCATTTGACCCAGCCATCCCATTACTGGGTATATACCCAAAGGACTGTAAATCATGCTGCTATAAAGACACATGCACACGTATGTTTATTGCGGCATTATTCACAATAGCAAAGACTTGGAACCAACCCAAATGTCCAACAATGACAGACTGGATTAAGAAAATGTGGCACATATACACCATGGAATACTATGCAGCCATAAAAAATGATGAGTTCATGTCCTTTGTAGGGACATGGATGAAATTGGAAATCATCATTCTCAGTAAACTATCACAAGAACAAAAAACCAAACACTGCATATTCTCACTCATAGGTGGGAATTGAACAATGAGATCACATGGACACAGGAAGGGGAATATCACACTCTGGGGACTGTTGTGGGGTGGGGGGAGGAGGGAGGGATAGCATTGGGAGATATACCTAATGCTAGATGACGAGTTAGTGGGTGGAGCGCACCAGCATGGCACATGTATACATACGTAACTAACCTGCACAATGTGCACATGTACCCTAAAACTTAAAGTATAATAAAAAAAAAAAAAAGAAGTATTTTTCTACATACATATGTATCTCATTGGTTCTGTTTCTCTGGAAAACCCTGACTAATACACAGGGCATGGCTCAAAGTGGGACAAGAGGACATCACAGCCAACAAAGGAAAGAATCTTTCTTTATCGAGCACCGACTTTGTGCATTTTGCACACATTGTGTCACTTAAACTCACAATATCTCATTAAAGTAGTACTATGATTCTTTAGAAATAAAGAAGCTTAATCTTTGAGAGGTTAAATAACTTGTATATTCAAGGTCCTATAGCTAATAAGTGGAAGAGGTAAGAATTGATCCAGATCTGTATGGTGGCTTATTCGTTCTGCTATGGGGTGAATAATGGGGTTTGGTCATTCCAAAGCCCAAACAAGGGAGGCCCCGGCTCACAGGATCCCGGGACCTTTTCCCTAACAAGATGCAAACAGATCATCCCATTCAAAATCCCACATTGCATTATGTTTTAGAGAAGAGACTTGGGGTTCAAAAGGCCTCTCATAGAAGCTCATGATAGACCAGAGAGGAAGCAGAGAGAAGGATTCCCAGGCTAAAACTTGGAAAGGGTGTTGTTATTTATTAGCAATTTCTGCTAAGGAGTTCAAGTGAGATAACAGTTCATAAGTAACATACATTGCCATCCCCTGAAGAGGTCATCCAAATTTTCCATTTTGAGACCAAGAGACAGAAGGAACACCAAAATTACACTTTTGTAAGCCTAGAGACTTCCAGGAAGCAAGACTTTAATTGTGCTTTTATATCTGATATTGGAGGGAGAAAGAAGGAATCAGGAAGAACTTCATAAATAAAGCAGCAATCAGAATAAATCTTGAAGGAGGGTAGGCATCATGGTGTTGTTTTATTAAAAAGAAAAAAAATTAAAATCAGAATAAACCTGGTTCCAAAACTCACATACATCTCTTACTAACTGTTCAATGCAGAGACTTTAATTTATTGCATTCCAATATCTAGCACAGTGTCTGGCAGATAATAAATGCTCTTTAACAGTATGTAGAATGGGGGTGTCTGGCAAGATGGCCAAATAGGAACAGCTCTGGTCTGCAGCTCCCAGTGAGACCAATGCAGAAGGCAGGTGACACCGGCATTTCCAGCTGAGGTACTCAGTTCATCTCACCGGGACTGGTTAGACAGTGGGTGCAGCCCACAGAGGGTGAGCAGAAGCAGGGTGGGGCATCATCTCACCTGGGAAGTGCAAGGGGCTGGGGACCTCCCTCCCCTAGCCAAGGGAAGCTGTGAGATACTGTGCTATCTGGCCAAGATACTACACTTATCCCATGGTTTTTGCAACCTGCAGACCAGGAGATTCCCTCATGTGCCTACACCACCAGGGCCTTAGGTTTCAAACACAAAACTGGGCAGCTGTTTGGACAGACACTGAGCTAGCTGCAGTTTTCTTTCATACCACAGTGGCACCTGGAACCCCAGAAAGACAGAACTGTTCACTCCCCTGGAAAGGGGGCTGAAGCCAGGGAGCCAAGTAGTCTTGCTCAGCGGGTCCCACTCCCATGGAGCCCAGCAAGCTAAAAACCACTGACTTGAAATTCTCGCTGCCAGCACAGCAGTCTGAAGTCAACCTGGGACAATCGAGCTTGGTGGGAGGAGGGGAATCCACCATTACTGAGGCTTGAGTAGGTGGTTTTCCCTTCACAGTGTTAAGAAAGCTGGAGGGAAGTTCGGACTGTGTGGAACTCACTGCAGCATGGCAAAAAGGCTGTGGCCAGACTGCCTCTCTAGATTCCTCCTCAGTGGGCAGGGCATTTCTGAAGGAAAAGCAGCAGCCCCAATCAGGGGCTTATAGATGAAACTCCCATCTCCCTGGGATAGAACCCCTGGGGGGAGGAGCAGCTCTGGGCGCAGCTTCAGCAGATTTAAACTTTCCTGCCTGCAGGCTCTGAAGAGAGCAGTGGATCTCCTAGCACAGTGCTCGAGCTCTGCTAAGGGACAGACTGCCTCCTCAAGTGGGTCCCTGACCACCATGCCTCCAGACTGGGAGACACCTCCCAGCAGGGATGGACAGACACCTCATATAGGAGAGCTCCGACTGGCATCTGGCAAGTGCCCCTCTGGGACAAAGCATCCAAAGGAAGGAGCAGGCAACAATCTTTGCTGTTCTGCAGCCTCCACTGGTGATACCCAGGCAAACAGGGTCTGGAGTGGACCTCCAGCAAACTCCAGCAGACCTACAGAAGAGGGCTCTGACTGTTAGAAGAAAAACTAACCAACAGAAAGTGATAACATCAACATCAACAATAAAAATGCCCACACAAAAACCCCATCCAAAGGTCATCACATCAAAGATCAAAGGTAAATAAATCCACAAAGATAAGCAAAAACCAGCATAAAAATGCTGAAAATTCCAAAAACAAAAATGCCTCTTCTCCTCCAAATGATCGCAACTCCTCTCCAGCAAGGGCACAAAACTGGATGGAGAATGAGTTTGATGAATTGACAGAAGTAGGCTTCAGAAGGTGGGTAACAACAAACTCCTCTGAGCTAAAGGAGCATGTACTAACCCAATGCAAGGAATCTGAGAACGTTGATAAAAGGTTACAGGAATGGCTAAGTAGAATAACCAGTTTAGAGAAGAACATAAATGACCTGATGGAGCTGAAAAACAGCATGAGAACTTCGTGAAGCATACACAAGTATCAATAGCTGAATCAATCAAGCAGAAGAAAGGATATCAGAGATTGAAGATCAATTTAACAAAATAAGGTGTGACAACACGATTAGAGAAAAAAGAATGAAAAGGTACAAACAAAACCTCCAAGAAATATACTATGTGAAAAGACCAAACCTACAATTGATTAGTATACCTGAAAGTTACCAAGGAGTACTTCCCCAACCTAGCAAGACACACCAACATTCAAATTCAGGAAATACAGAGAACACCACTAAGATACTCCTCAAGAAGAGTAACCCCAAGACACATAATCCTCAGATTCTCCAAGGTTGAAACAAAGGAAAAAATGTTAAAGGAAGCCAGAGAGAAAGGTCAGGTTACCCACAAGGGAAGCCCATCAGACTAACAGCGGATCTCTCTGCAGAAACCCTGCAAGCCAAAAAGAGTGGGGACCAATATTCAATATTCTTTTTTTTTTTTTTTTTTTCAGACAGAGTCTTGCTCTGTCGCCCAGGCTGGAGTGCAGTGGCGCAATCTCAGCTCACAGCAAACTCCACCTCCCGGGTTCACACCATTCTCCTGCCTCAGCCTCCTCAGTAGCTGGGATTACAGGCGCCCGTCACCATGCCTGGCTAATTTTTTTGTATTTTTTAGTAGAGATGGGGTTTCACCATGTTGGCCAGGATGGTCTCCATCTCCTGACCTCGTGATCCACCCACCTCGGCCTCCCAAAGTGCTGGGATTACAGGCATAAGCCACCACGCCCGGCTTCAACATTCTTAAAGAAAAGAATTTTCAACCCAGAATTTCATATCCAGCCAAACTAATCTTCATAAGCAAAGAAGAAATAAAATCCTTTACAGACAAGCAAATGCTGACGGATTTTGTCACCACCAGGCCTGCCTTACAACAGCTCCTGAAGGAAGCACTAAATATGGAAAGAAAAAACTAGTACCAGCCATTGCAAAAAACACACAAAAATATAAAGACCAATGACCCTATGAAGAAACCACATCAATTAATGTGCAAAATAATCAGCTAGCATTATGATGACAGAATCAAATTTACACATAACAATATTAACCTTAAATGTAAATAGGCTAAATGCCCCCAATTAAAAGAAACAGACAGCCAAATTGGATAAAGAATCAAGACCCATTGGTGCGCTATATTCAGGAGACCCATCTCACATGCAAAGACAAATATAGGCTCGAAATAAAGGGATGGAGGAATATTTACCAAGCAAAGAGAAAGCAAGAAAAGGCAGGGGTTGCAATCCTAGTCTCTGATAAAACAGACTTTAAACCAACAAAGATTTAAAAAGACAAAGAAGGGCATTACATAATGGTAAATGGATCAAGGCAACAAGAAAAGCTAACTTTCCTAAATATATATGCACCCAATACAGGAGCACCAGGATTCATAAAGAAAGCTCTTAGAGGCCTACAAAGAGACTTAGACTCCCACACAATAGTGGTGGGAGACATTAACAACCATTGTAAATACTAGACAAATCAACGAGATAGAATATTAACAAGGATATTCAGGATTTGAACTTAGCTCTAGACCAAGCAGATTGAATAGACATCTACAGAACTCTCCACCCCAAATCAACAGAATATACATTCTTCTCAGCACCACATCGCAATTATTCTAAAATCAACCTAATTGAAAGTAAAACACTCCTCAGCAAATGCAAAAGAATGGAAATCATAACAAACAGTCTCTCAGACCACAGAGCAATAAAATTAGAACTCAGGATTAAGAAACTCACTCAAAACCACACAAGTACATGGAAACTGAACAACCTGCTCCTGAATGACTACTGGATAAATAACGAAATTAAGGCAAAAATAAATAAGTTCTTTGAAACCAATGAGAACAAAGAGACAACGTACCAGAATCTCTGGAACACAACTAAAGCAGTGTTAAGAGGAAAATTTATAGCACTAAATGCCCACATAAGAGAATGGGAAAGATCTAAAATTGACATCCTGACATCAAAATTAAAAGAACTAGAGAAGCAACCGCAAATAAATTCAAAAGCTAGCAGAAAACAAGAAATAACTAAGATCAGAGCAGAACTGAAGGAGATAGAGACACAAAAAACCCTTCCAAAAAAAACAATGAATCCAGCAGCCTGTTTTTTGAAAAGATTAACAAAATATATAGACCACTAGCCAGGCTAATAAAGAAGAAAAGAGAGAAAAATCAAATAGACACAATAAAAACTAATGGAGATGTCACCACTGATCCCACAGAAATACAAACTACCATCAGAGAATACTGCAAACACCTCTACACAAATAAACCAGAAAATCTAGAAGAAATGGATAAATTCCTGGACACATAAACCCTCCCAAGACAAAACCAGGAAGAAGTCGAATCTCTGAATAGACCCATAACAAGTCTGAAATTGACGTGGTAATTAACAATCTACCAACCAAAAAAAGCCCAAGACCAGATTCACAGCCAAATTCTACCAGAAGTACAAAGAGAAGCTGGTTCCACTCCTTCTGAAACTATTCCAAACAATAGAAAAGGAGGGACTCCTCCCTAACTCATTTTATGAGGCCAATATTATCCTGATACCAAAACCTGGCAGAAACACAACAAAAAAAGAAAATTTCAGGCCAATATCCCTGATGAACCTCAATGCGAAAATCCTCAATAAAATACTGGCAAACTAAATCCAGCAGTACATCAAAAAGCTTATGCAACATGATCAAGAGGGCTTCATCCCTGGGATGCAAGGCTGGCTCAACATATGCAAATCAAGAAATGTAATCCATCACATAAACAGAACCAACGACAAAAACCACATGATTATCTCAATAGATGCAGAAAAGGTCTTTGACAAAATTCAACACCCCTTCATGCTAAAAACTCTCAATCAACTAGGTACTGATGGAAGATATCTCAAAATAATAAGAGTATTTATGACAAACCCATAGCCAATATCATACTGAAGGGGCAAAAGCTGGAAACCGGCACAAGACAAGGATGCCCTCTCTCACCACTCCTATTCAACATAGTATTGGAAGTTCTGGCCAGGGCAATCAGGCAAGAGAAAGAAATATAGAGTATTCAAATAGGAAGAGAGGAAGTTAAATTTTCTCTGTTTGCAGATGACATGATTATATATTTAGAAAACCCCATCGTCTCAGCCCAAAATCTCCTTAAACTGATAAGCAACTTCAGCAAATTCTCAGTATACAAAATCAATGTGCAAAATCACAAGCATTCCTATACACCAATAATAGACAGAGAGCGAAATCACAAATGAACTCCCATTCACAATTGCTACCAAAAGAATAAAATACCTAGGAACACAACTTACAAGGGACATGCAGGACCTTTTCAAGGATAACTACAAACTGCTGCTCAAGGAAATAAGAGAGGACACAAATGGAAAAACATTCCATGATCATGGATAGGAAGAATCAATATCGTGATGCCTACCAAGCTACCTTTGACTTTCTTCTCAGAATTAGAAAAAACTACTTTAAATTTCATATGGAACCAAAAGAGACCCTGTATAGGAAAAACAATCCTAAGTAAAAAGAACAAAACTGGAGGCATCATGCTACCTAACTTCAAACTATACTACAAGTCTACAATAAACAAAACAGCATGATACTGGTACCAAAACAGATATATAGATCAATAGAACAGAACAGAGGTCTCAGAAATCACACCACACATCTACAACCATCTGATCTTCAACAAACCTGACAAAAACAAGTACTACGGAAAGGATTCCCTGTTTAATAAACGGTGCTGGGAAAACTGGCTAGCCATATGCAAAAAGCTGAAACTGGATCCTTTCCTTACACCTTATAAAAAAATTAACTCGAGATGAATTAAAGACTTAAACATAAAACCTAAAATCACAAAAACCCTAAAGAAAACCTAGGTAATACCATTCAGGACAAAAGCATGGGCAAAGACTTTATGACTAAAACACCAAAAGCAATGCAACAAAAGACAAAACTGACAAATGGGATCTAATTAAACTAAAGAGCTTCTGCCTAGCAAAAGAAACTATTATCAAAATTAACAAGCAACATACAGAATGGGAGAAAAATTTTGCAAGCTACCCATCTGACAAAGGTCTGATACCCAAAATATACAAGGAACTTAAACAAATTTACAAGAAAAAAAAACAAACAACCCTATCAAAAAGTGGGTGAAGGATATGAACAGACACTTCTCAAAAGAAGACATTTATGTGACCAACAAACATATGAAAAAAGCTCATCATCACTGGTCATTAGAGAAATTCAAATCAAAACCACAATGAGATACCATTTCATGCCAGTTAGAATGGTGATCATTAAAAAGTCAGGAAACAACAGATGCTGGAGAGGATATGGAGAAACAGGAATGCTTTTTCACTGTTGGTGGGAGTGTGAATTAGTTCAACCATTGTGGAAGACAGTGTGGCAATTCCTCAAGGATCTAGAACCAGAAACACCATTTGACCCAGCCATCCCATTGTTGGGTATATACCCAAAGGATTATAAATCACTCTACTTTAAAGAAACATGCACATATATGTTTATTGCAGCACTATTCACAATAGCAAAGACTTGGAATCAACCCAAATGCCCAACAATTATACACTGGATAAAGAAAATATGGTACATATACACCACGGAATACTATGCAGCCATAGAAAAGAATGAGTTCACGTCCTTTGCAGGGACATGGATGAAGCTGAAAACCATCATTCTCAGCAAACTGACACAGCAACAGGAAAACAAACACTGCATATTCTCACTTATAAGTGGGAACTGAACAATGAGAACACGTGGACACAGGCAGGGGAACATTACACGCTGGGGCCTATTGGGGGGTGAGGGGGAAGGAGAGAGAGCATTAGGACAAATACTTAATGCATGCAGGGCTTAAAACCTAGATGACGGGTTGATGGGTGCAGCAAACCACCATGGCACATGTATACCTGTGTAACAAACCTGCACGTTCTGCACATGTATCCCAGAACTTAAAGTATAATTTTTTTTAAAAAAGTATGTAGAATAAATGTCAACAAGTAAACCATTACTATATCCTCTCTGCATGTTATTTTGAGCATATGACTATACCTTCTCTGCACTTCATTCTTACATGTAAAAGAGACTTAATAGTACTTCTTTCCGGCATTGTCATGAGGAGTTTCTGGGATTATGTCTGTATAGTGATCAGCAGATAGCAGAAACTCCTTAAAGAACTCCAACACCCCCATCAGAGTTGCTGCTCTCAAACAGTAATCAATAGGAATATTACTAGACCCTACTATATACTTAGCACCTAGGAATCAGAGGGGATGGGGCATGAAATATCAAGAAGAGAGGATACAGGTTGAACCTCAGAGACTGGAGAGCATTAGGTGTTAATTGCAGCAGGAACATTTCACTGGATCATAGCTAAGGAAGTCAAGAAAGGGCCACCAAGAGCTATGGGGCTAGAAGGAACCTAAAAACCATGGGAAGATGAGCCTTTATCTCCAACACGGTCTTTCCTCCAGAACGCAGAATGGGGCCTGAAACCAAGCCTGAAATCAGGACCTCAAATTGGCATCCCAGGTCTGCCACTCATTTTCTATGTGACCTTGGATAAAGTACATAACCTCTGTGGTGTATGTTTTCCAATCTCCACAATGATAATAATTATGCCTAGGGCTCAAGGATATTGTAAAGACATATATATACATATATATATACATATATATGCAGCCTCTTCCTCCCGGATTCAAGCAATTCTCCTGTCTCAGCCTCCTGAGTAGCTGGGATTACAGGCACGCACCACAATGCCAGGCTAATTTTGTATTTTTAGTAGAGACAGGGTTTTACCACTTTGGCTAGGCTGGTCTCGAACTCCTGACCTCAGGTAATCCACCCGCTTCGGCCTCACAAAGTGCTGGGATTACAAGCATGAGCCACCATGCCCAGCAGATTTTTTTTTTTTTTTTTTTTGAGATGGAGTCTCACTCTGTCGACCAGGCTGGAGTGCAGTGGCATGATCTCGGCTCACTGCAACCTCTGCCTCCCAGGTTCACGCAATTCTCCTGCCTCAGCCTTTCACGTAGCTGGGACTACAGGTGCCCGCCACCACACCCGGCTAATTGTTTATGTTTTTAGTAGAGACGGGGTTTCACCATGTTAGCCAGGATGGTCTCGATCTCCTGACCTTGTGATCCGCCCACCCAGCAGATTTTTTAAACTGGAAAAGGTGCTTAGTTCTACAGCATTTTTGCCCCCAGGGCAAAAACAGAGACTGCACATACCCTAACTTAGAAGCAGGAGATGAGCAACACATCATTTACCCACGTAACAAACCTGCACATGTTCCTCCAAACCTAAAATAAAAGTTGGAAGGAAAAAAATAAAAATAAAAAATAAAGGCATTCTTTATGTAAATATATATGTCAACTTGATAAAATACATATTCATTACTTTATAGATTAATACATACTAAATATGAAAGAAATGTATTTTTTTTAATTTTTCATCCAGTTTATGGTATTTTTGTTTTATGGTAATTACTTTTAATTTTATCAGAGTTTTCCTTCATGGCTTGTATATTTTATATCTCATATAAGAAATTAATTTGGTGTATGGTTAAAAAAAAAGCAGCAGGAGATAAGAAGAGAGTTGACTTTGGGATTGTAGAGATAAGATTTTTTAAGTAGTAAAGTATATGTTATAACCAAAATATAGGAATTCCATGACAGCATATATACTCTCTTTGATTCTCAGACACATGACTAAGGCAAAGATCATGCTTTTTGTTCACCAAATCCCATTTATTTTCTTCCTATGGGGCACAAGGAAGACTGGTTCTGGATAATAAAATGCTTCCAGGCTGAAGCAGTGAAAAAACCCTATGTGAACCTCCAGATTCTCTCCTCCTTTGCCATGAAACCAGAAGCACCAGTTAGCTGAGTCCCTCTTCCAGCCTGCTCTGGATACCCAATATGAGCGAGAAATAAAATGTTGTCATGTAAAGAGATATTCAATGTCTGTATGTTTTATTGCAGAATAGCTGAAGCTATCCTAATACAGTAACAGGGAAAAAAAGTTTAAAAGAGAAACATTTTTTGAAAAAGTTTTAATTCTTTTTAAAAGTCGGTGGTAATATTAATCTATTCATAATAAGATAGAACTTGAGGCTAAAACAGGCATTGAATTTTACAATATCATTTTATATTGTTAAAGGTAATTCCATCAAGAAAGTATATCATGAGACCTTGTGAATTTAAGCATGTGACTTCAAAATTTTATAAGAAAATCTGCTAAAAAGTAAGGAAAAATGACATGCATAGAAGAAGAGTCATATGAGAAGCCAATGAAGTGGTTTGAGCAGAGAGGTGACATGGTCTGACTTAGGTTTCAAAAGGATTGTTCTAACTATTGAATTTTGGTTTTAACAGAGTGCAAAGAGGTAAAGGCAGACACAGGAAGACTAGTTAGGAAGTTTTTGCAATAATCCAGGTGGGAACTCACAGTCACTGGGACTAGAGAAGCAGCAGGACAGGTGATGAGAAGTGGCCAGGTTCTGGGTACATTTGGAAAGTATAGGCAACAGGAGTTTTTGACTGGTGGGATGTGAGGTTCAAGGGAAAGAAGAGACGCGAAGACAATACCAAGGTTTAGACTGAGCCACTAGAGGGATGGAATAGCCCCCAGCTCATGTGGGAAAGGTTTGGGAAGAGCAGGTTTGCTGGGAGAAGATCAGGAGTTTGGTTTGGGATCCAACAAAAATTTCCTTTTAGACACATCCAAGCAGAAAGACCAAGTGTGAAATTGGATCCATGAGTCTGAAGTTCAAAGGAGAGAGGACTGAAGATACCATTTTGGAACTCATCAACTTATAGATCATATTTAAAGTAATGAGGCTGCAAGAGAGCGAGCCGGGAGTGAGCGTAGGTAGGGAAAAGAAGCTGTCCAAGAACTATTTCCTGAGCACTTCTACATTAAGAGGCTAGAGAAATTAGGAGCAACCCACAAAAGAGACCGAAGGAGCAGCCAACAGCAAGAAGAAAACCAGGAGAATGAGCTCAGTGAGTGCTAAGCAAAGAAAGTGTCTGGGGAATTCCAAATTGCCAACTGCATCAAATGCTGCCAATTCCTTAAGTAAGAGAAAAACTGAATTCACCATTAAATTTAGTAACACAGAGGCCATTAAAGATGTTAAAAAGAGCTGTTTTTAGTGGAGTCGTGGGAATGAAAGCTTGTTGGAGTGAATTCAAAAAGAAAGGGAGAAAAGAATTAGAAACAATGGGTGTGAACAACTATTTAGAGAAATGTGGCTGTAAAGTGATGCAGAAAAATAAAGCAATAGCTAAAGGAGAAAGTGGGATAAAAAGTAAATTTTTTTCAGCTAGGAGAAATAACCTAATGTTTGTGTGCTATTTGCATGTTTATTTATCTATCCTTAAACGTGTAGTGAGAGACTCTTGGTTCCCAGACCTTCTATTCCAGCAGAGAATGAAAGAATATGATAAGCTCATGACTGCTTCAAAGAAGACACCACGTTCCGCATGACTAGGCCCCAATGGTGCAGCTGTCTCCAAACCCTCACTATTAGTACTGCACCAAGAGGCCAACAGATTACAGATGAGATGGTATATAAGACCATCCCCTCATTACCATACTGCTGTAATTTAACTGTTTTTTTTATTATTATCAAAAGACTTCATTATGCAGTTTAAAGAGTTGAACAGAACCACGAGACTTGTAACAAGAAAAATCTTCCCTGGACCACTCCTCCCTCTGCCCGGGACTCGCACACCAAAGCAATCACTTTCAAATCTGTCGTGTATTTCTCTTGTTTACTGTCATATTTCTAGATCACATGCTTTTAGAATTTTTTTCATTTTGTTTTTCACTTCAAGATTTTAACTTTTTACTTCCTAAAATAGAAAACAGAGATTTAGCTCTTTTAACCTATCTATCATCTCTATATCCCTTTTCTATCATTCTCTCAGTAAAGTTATATCAAGATTTTTTCTTAAGTTACTGTTCAATGTTTGCATTATTGGCTATAAAAATGTAATTCACAGGTTTGTCATTTGGTATGTTATGATCACATATCCTTTCTTGTATGACTTTTTGTTTTTCCTGAATTAATAATTGCCTTAGTTTTTCATTTGCTTACTTTTCTATGTACCCATAATTAACGCTTTCTCAAACTATCCCCAGACTATTCCCAACCAGAACTAAAAACCCATCTCCATGCTAGTATATCAGTTAATCCATTAGTTCAATGTATTTCTCAGAGGCACACGTCCTGGGACCCTGCCCACTCCTGCTCCTCTCTGGACTGGACATTCTCTCAGCTTGATGTGTGGCTCCCTTCCTGAAACTACCCTCAGCATGGGAATTCCTTTCCTGTCTTCTGTCCTCTGTTTGTTGGATCAAAGATCTTCTTCCATGGTTTATTCCCTAATTTTGCCACTTCTTCTGTAGTGTCTTAAGACAGGATGCCCGAGAGGTACACTTTTATGACTTGGCATATCTGAACCATTCTTTATTTCACCATCACATTAATCTAATTGCTTGGCTATGTATAGAATTCAAAAGTTGTGACCACCTTCTCTCAGTTTTTGAGGTTATCATCTCGTTGTCTCTGGTTTCCCGTGCTGTCATTGAGAAGTCCAACATCATTCTGATACTCATCTTTTGTTTGTGATCTCCTTTTACTCTCTGGAAGCTTTACAGGATCTTCTTATTATACCCCGGAATCTGAAATTTCACAATCATGTGCCTTGAAATAATTCTGTTGTCATTTATTTACCCAGGTACCCAGTGAATGCTTGAATTCTGTCCAAATTTTCTGTCCTTCCTTTCTGGAATTCCCATTAGTTTGATGTTAAGATTCTGTGCTATATCTAATTTTCTTATGTTTTTTGTTATTATCTTTTTGTTATTATCTTTTTTGTTATTATCTTTCATCATTTTATTCTGTATCTTGAGGATATTTTCTCAATTTTATTTTGCAAATCTCCTATTGAATTCTTTAAAATTAATTCTTTAAAATGTCTTATTATACTATTAATGTTCCAAAGTATTTTCTGCTTTTTAATGTTTTTTTATAATACTCTTTTTTATTATGGATACAGTTGTTATTCATTCAATCAATATTTGGTGTGTTTGTTGTGGGATTTTTTGTTTTTCAGACAGGGTCTCACTCTGTCACCCCAGCTAGAGTACAGTGGCATGATCACAGGTCACTGCAGCCTCGGTCTCCTGGGCTCAAGTTACCCTCCCACCTCAGCCTCCCAAGTAGCTGGGACCATAAGCACAGAATACCATGCCCATCTAATTTTTTATTTTTTGTAGGGACAGGGTCTTACTATGTTGCCCAGGCTGGTCTAGAACTCCTGGGCTCAAACAGTCCTCCTGCATCAGCCTCCCAAAGTGCTGGGAATATGGGTGTGGGTCCCCACGCCAGGCTGATCAACAACGTTTATTGGAACTCCCCTTGTGCCAGTCATGAGTACTGGTGAGAGAAAAACGGACAAGACACAGTCTCTGGCCTCATAGAGTTTACATTCTGCTGAGGGTGGCAAAGAGTAAACAAAAAACTAAGAGATGTACTATATAATGTTAGGAAGTGATAGTGCTAACAAAAGAAATTAACAAGAAATGGAAATAGAAAATAATTGGGGGCAGTTACTCTGTTTTCTCCAAGTTGCTCCAAAGTCTGTTTATTGACTTTGACCTTATCTTTCATCCTAGTGGCTTTCTCCAAGAAAGTTTAGCTGTCCTTTCATATTTAAGACTGAGGCACAGTTCTGTCTGGGCAGGACTTTCTGGTTCTTAGGCATCAGCAAAGAGCAAGTGAGAGGGGCACTGGCCTTTGGTGGTGGGTAAAATGGGCAGCTCTCTTCTGGTTGGTGGTCTCCCCAGAGAGGACTTCTCCACACTTCTGCCTGGCAGCTATGAGCCCACCTGCCAGCATTCTGGGAGCCAAAGGTAAGTGAGCAAGCTAGAAAACCCTCTTTTAGGTTTCCATTAGTCCCCATGTTCAATCTGGCACCTGACAACTGTCCTCAACTGTGCCTGGTATGTACAAATCCAAAAGCTCTTGTGGTTCAACATTTCCCGAGAGACACTTGCCTCCAAAAATCTTTCGCTGTAGTGGGGTAAGGAATCTGGGATACAATCACTCTTTATTCAGACTTTCAAGCATCTTCCTGTTTTTAGCCCCAGCCTACCCCTGCCTCTAGAATAGCTTATGTCTCCAGCTCCTGAGTCTTTGGGGAGTTCTGCAGTGAGACTTAACTAATGTCTTGCTAGCTCATCCCTTCCCTTCTGTAGGGATTTAAGAGTTAGCTTTCTTCATCTCCCAGGTGCTCTGCTGTCCTTTTATGCTCCCTTTGTCCTTATAGATTTGTACCTTTTTTCCTTTTGCCAATATTTTAGTGGAGTCATGGAAGAAATCACATGTAAAATTATATGCTCAATCCCTCATGTTTGACCAGAAAAACTCCACTGTGGCAGCCACTCCTAATTGGTGCTGACAAAATAAAAAATAATAATTCTAAATCACTGTGATTGTTAATCTGAGTTTACTGCTGGGCAAAGCAGGGAAAATATGATCCAACACAGAGAAATTCAGTCCTGTGGGTTGGGGCCAAAAATAACTCAGAGGCAATTAGCCTAAGCCTTGCAGGTTTCATCATTCATAAACAGGCAGGCACCAAGCCTACCTTCTTGGGCTAAAGTTAGGGTTAGGGTTAGGGCTAAGACTAGGGCTAGGGCTAGAGTTAGGGTTAGAGATAAGGCTAATGTTAGGGCTAGGGCTAGGGTCATGGTTAGGATCAGAGTTAATCCTGAGTGTACATAAAGCCCAGGAACCCTGTGTAGACACTCTCGCCAACTAAAGACAAGAGCAAGATTTGTAAATGCAAAAGCCATAAAGTTCCCAAGAAGGTGAGGCTGTCTGATTTAAACAATGTACTATCTTCTTAGTTTCAGACTGACCTGTAATAAATCTCAGCTCAAGTCATTTGTTGAACTTTTATGTCTATTTTTGTTTTTTTCAAACTGTGTGGTCAACATCAGATTCATTAGATTGAATGCAAATAAGGCATCTGTCTGAGTCACAGACATGAAGCAGTCACAAGTTTACCACCAGGCTGTTTCTCTGCTGATTCTGATGAGTCTTCTGAGAAGCAGTTGCTCTAGTTTTCATTTCTATGGTCCTGATCTTGCAATCTCTCACATTCTCCATGCTCAAGGTCTTGCCTAGAGATAAGTCTGCAAGCCCATGTCCAAGACCTATCAAAAATTGTCTTTATTGCTACTAGATATCCATCCCCACTTCTTCCTTACTTACAGAAAAGCAATATTTTTGAGTATCTGGCAGCAATATTCCAAGCTGAAAATTATATGTTCCAGCCTCCCTTACAGGTGTCCCTGAGATCTGGCCAGCGAAGCCCAAGTGAAAGTTGCCTGTGGATTTTCTAGGACTGTTTTATTTTCCTAACATGAAACTTATCTCTTCTTTTGCATATTCTTCTTTTTCTGCTGCCTGGCGCTCCACTCAGCAAATGGTCAGTTAATGAGTACCTGCCATTCTTCCAAGCTATGGCGATATAGCAGTAAGCAAATATCCTTGCCCTTGTTGTGTGTACATTCTAGTGGACCATCTTGCAGTAAGAAGGAAAGCAAATAGAATCACAATCAGCCTCAGCTTTGACATTTCAAAGCACCTGAACCAAAGATGGGAACTTACTTGAGAAAAATAAAATCTCATTTAGTCATATTTTCAGTTACTTGCAACTGGACACAATTACTAAACATACTACTGCCTTTTTTGTTGGTGGGTGGGGGGTCGGGGGGACGGAGTCTTGCTCTTTGTCACTCAGGCTGGAGAGCAGTTGCACGATCTCAGCTCACTGCAACCTCGGCCTCCCAGGTTCAAGCAATCCACCTGCCTCAGCCTCCTGAGTAGCTGGGATTACAGGCACCCACCACCATGCCCAGCTAATTTTTGTATTATTAGTAGAGATGGGGTTTCACCATGTTCGCCGGGCTGGTCTTGAGCTCCTTACCTTAAGCGATCCACCTGCCTCAGCCTCCCAAAGTGCTGGGAATACAGGTGTGAGCCACTGCACGCAGCTGCCTTTCTTTCTTTAACTACAGGTAAGTTCCTTTATAGTTAAGATATCTGGAAGACACCTTGATGGAATAAAATGGTTTCTCAACCTCAACACTCTTGACATTTTGAACCAGATAATTCTTTGTTGTGGAGCTGTCCTAGGCACTGTAAGATGTTTGGCTGCATTCCTGACATCTACCAACCAGATGCCAGTAGCCGCATCCCCCTCCCAAGATATGACAATCAGAATGTCTCTAGACATTGTCAAGTGTTCCCTGAAAGCCAGATTTTCCCTGGTTGAGAACCACTCGCATATGGATGGTGGTGCTGGCAGAGCTAAGGCAAGCAACAAAAGCCAACCCAAACCCAGAGTATTTGGAAACAAAGCATTACTTCCTCCATCGTGGAAAGAATCCAATACAGCTAATCTACCTCTGGGGAGCTGGCTGCCCTTCCCCCCACCCTCCAGTTATCACAGCATTCCAAGAGCTCAGGGCCACTTGGCCACTGCTGCCAACAGTCCCTGCACTCCACCACAGCAGGTCAGACTTGGTGAGAGGAAAAGGGTTGTTGAGTACAGGCACAGCCTCCCTTCCTGCCACCACACTCACTTTGTGAGCACTGAGGTATCTGGGATACCCCAATTTTTGTGAGCATTGGGATATCTGGGAAAGGAGTCTAACATCTCACAGAGTGGGCCATCCATCCTACTTACGTAGTCACAAAGGCCCCCTCTGTATCAAGGCCTTGTGGCAAGCATTCATGTGGGCCACAAATAGCTCCTCACTTCACATTTACCTGAGAGGTCAGTTCACAGACACCTTCACAGGCCTCCTCAGCCATTTCCCAGTCTTGCTTCTTCCAAACCCTTAACCATCAGAGCGTGTCTTTGTCTATTTGGGCTGCTATAAAAACCAAATACCTGAGACTGAGGGGCTCATAACAACAGAAATTTATTTCTTCCAATTCTGGAGATTGGGAAGTTCAAGATCAGGTGCCAGCACGGTCAGGTTCTGGTGAGGGCCTGCCCCTGGATTGCAGACTGCCAGCTTCTTGCTGTGTCCTCACATGGTGGAAGGGACAAGGCAGCTCTCTGGGGTCTCTTTTATTATAAGGGCATTAATCTCACTCATGAGGACTTCACCCTTGTGACCTAACTACCTCTAAAAGGCCCCACCTTCTAATACCACCACCTTGGGGGTTAGGATTTCAGCATGTGGATTTGCAGGAGACACAAATATTCAGACCAGAGTACAGCCCAATTGCAAGTCAGGGGTTATTTCCTTTTTTTTTTTTTTTTTTAAAAAAAAGAAAAAAGTTCTTTGCTGAAAGAGGTGACTTTCCTCCAAAATCCTAGCAAGCCAATTTGTCCCATGCAGCTTACAAAATTTGCTGGGTCTTAAGAGCCTAGCTGCAGAGCCAATCAACTTAAAAGCTTTTACCCCCTGGAGATGCTTTCCCCTGGCCCAGCTCTCATCAAACCTGGTGGCTTTTCAGATCACCCAGTAAATAGGTCAAATAGGTGTTAAATGTTATTCATAGTGATTTACTAGGAACTACATCAGGATGAGTAGTGTGGTGTGTGTGAAAGTTAATTTTATTCAGCCTCTTAGGGCTAGCTGATTGGCATAAAGAATATTAGAAATAACTTTCACTAGAGAAATTAAAGTTTAAGACACGGTTTACTTCGAAACCACCAATGTGATGATTGATGCAGGTTAGGATTATCAATGGGTGCTAAATCAGTCTCAGAGTATCACCCCACAGGTCGCTTTTTAATAACAAAGAGAAAAAGATACCTAATGGAAATAAAATCTGGCAGACATCAACTTAATTATGTAAACAAATTAATACCACCAGTAATGGGGAAAAAATGACATTTTGTGTCTCCTACATGAGAAGAACACATTATCTGTGTAGAGTTCTTGCCAAAAATATCTAGCCTAAATCTAATCATAGGGAAAAATTCGAGAAGTTTAAATTATAGAGCATTATGCAAAAACACTGGTCTGGACTCTTCAGAACTTTCAGTATTCCAAAATAAAAGTTTTAAAAATCTAGATTAAAATTAAATTTAAAAACTAATGGACACGATAACTAAATGCAATGAATAATCCCTGATTGGACCTTAGATTCAAAATAAATAGATATATTATTTTATTATTAAAACAATTGGGAAAATTTGAATTTGAGTATAGACTGCATATTAAATTTCTTAAACATGATCATGTAATTGTGGTTATGTAAGAGAATGGCCTTCTTCTTAGCAGCTAGTATTTAAGGTGAAGTGTTTAAGGGTAAAGCATCATAATGTTCCAACTACTTTCAAGTAGTTTGGAAAAAGATACATAAGCATAAACTCACATGTTCATCAACAGATGAATGGATAAAGAAAACGTGGTATATGCATTAAAATGGAGTATTACGCAGCCTTTAAAAAGAAGGAAATCCCTGTCACATTCAACATGCATAAACCTTGAGGACATTATGCTAAGTTATATAAGCTAGTCACAAAAGCACAAATACAGCACTTTTCCACTCACATGAGATATCTAAAGTAGTCAAAATTATAAAAACAGAAAGTAAGAAAGTGGTTGCCAAGGACGGGGAGAGTGGAGAAGGAGAATTAGTTTGTTTCTGGCCATCAAGTTTCAGTTTTGCAAAATGAAAAAGTTCTAGAGATCTGTTGCACAACAATGTGAATATACTTCACACTATTGAACTGGACACAAAAATAGTTAAGATAGTAAATTTAATGTGATACGTTTATAACCACAATTAAAAATAAAATAAAAATTTAAAAATATAGACCCATATATGTTCATGACTTATGTATGTGTGTAGGTAAATATATGTATATATTATTTCTTAGAAAGAAAAGTAGGCAAAGCAAATGTGGGAAAATGTTAATAACTGTGAATCTGGAGAGAAGATATGTGGGTATTTTTATATTATCCTTTCCCTTTTTCTAAAAAAGGAAGTGGGGGCTAATCTGTGATTCACTTAGAATTGTGTAACAAGGCTCATGGCCCTTCCATGAATAACGTATTTTTTTAAATTAAGGCAAGCCCAACAGTTTACATGGGGAGAGGATGCTTGGGCTAAAGTCACTTGGGCCCATTTCTCTACTTTTTGGAGGAGTTTGCCCATCCTGCTGTAAGCGGGTATCTGCTTTAGAACGAGATTTTCATTACAGTGCTGGTCAGCGTGGCTGACCACACAAGCAGAGCCCCCTTCCAAACTCCAGACCAGCTGTTCATGCCTGCGAGCCAAGAAAGGACTGTACAGTTGCTGGCATTTGGTCTGAGACTTGCTCTCATACCAACACTCCGGCAGCAGCAAGCTTGTGTGGGTGGAGATGCATAAGGCCTGCACTCGCACCTGCTTCTAACACCACTCACCGAAAATAATCCGACACTCACGTCATGTCGTTTGGCAACAACAGGGCACCAACTGTGGAATGTGCGCCTCTCCAACCCAAACAGGCATACAGTGATGTAATGCGGGGTGAAGGAAGCAAGTTGCGGAACAGTATTTCGGAATGATACCATATGTGTTAGAAAGCAAAAAGGGAGGAGTGGAGAAAGAAAAGGAGGCAGGGGAGAAAAGAAGGGAGAGGGAGAGGAAAAGAAAGGTAGAAAAGAAAAGCAAAAGGAAGGAAAGAAAAAAAAACAAAAACAAAACCCCTGTCTGTGGATGTCTGTATGTATATATATCATATATATGTTATATGTAATATATAATATATGTAATAGATATGTTATATATGTAACATATATGTTATATATGATATATATACACACACATTTAAAATCTGAAAAAACATATATCAAACTATTAACAGTGGTTATTCTTAGAGTGTTTGAAGGTAAGGATAAGATTTTCACTATTTTACTTCTTTTTCTTGTATATTGTATAAATTTTCTGAATTAGTCCATCTTAATTTGAAATTTTCTTTTAATTTAATTTTTAAATTTTCTTTTAATTAAGAAAAATTAAAGCAAAGGACTATTTAGGGGAGGGATCTTTCTCCTTGAAGGAAAGGGGCTGCTGCTGTCACTTTGAAGTAAATAAAGACAAAGTGCAGTCTAGATCAGAGGCCCATACACTGTGGTTAGTGGACCACACATGGCCTGCCCCTATTTTTATAAACAAATTTGCATTGGAACATAGCAGCCTCCCTCATGCTATCAACAACGAAGTTCTATAGTTGTGACAAGACTAGATAGCCTGCAAAGTCAAAAATGTGTATTATCTGGCCCTTTACAAAAGACATTAGCCAATCCCAGTTCTAGATTTATATTTACCTCTGAGATGGAGTTATCTATAAGAATACCAACTCCATTAGAACACCAACTCATAAATTCAAACTCTCAGAGGAAGGAGTAAAAGGTAAAGGCTAAATTTATTTTGTAAACTCTAAAAGTTGAAATCACAAATGCGCCTCATTATAAAGACCTTTTTTTTTTTTTTTTTTTTTGAGACAGTCTTGCTCTGTCACTCCAGCTGGAATGCGGAGGCATGATCTCGGCTCACTGCAGCCTCCACCTCCCGGGTTCAAGCCATTCTCCTGCCTCAGCCTCCCAAGTGGCTGGGACTACAGGCACCCGCCACCATGCCTGGCTAATTTTTGTATTTTTAGTAGAGATGAGGTTTTACCATGTTTGTCAGGCTTGTCTTGAACTCCTGACCTCAGGTGATCCACCCACCTCGGCCTCCCAAAGTGCTGGGATTACAGGCATGAGCCACTGCGCCCAGCCAAGACCTTCTTTATTCACCCAATGTGAGTACATCCTAACACAGTCCTGTCTGTCATTCTTGGTTGATTTTCTTCAAAGAATTTATCACTGATTGATACATTCTCATTTGTTTATACTGGCCTTTCTCATCACAACCTAAGAGCCATGAGAACAGGAATCATCTCATTCTTATTTGTCACTATATCCCCAATGCCTAGAACACAGCCTGGCACATAGTGAGTGCTCAATAACATTTGACGAATGAATGAATAAGTCATTCAATCAATCTATGATTCAGTGGCAAAATGTGTATATCAGGGTAAGGAGGGATGACGATGCACTCAACAGCAATAGGAAACAGACTCCAAAGGTAAAGACAAAGAGCAGTCAGTGAACAGTCCATGAACATCTTTGAAGATGAACTAAAATGCTTAGTAATTGTGTACATGTGGCTTCTATTTTTCAGTTGAATTCAAAAATAACATAGAGAGAAATGAAAGAAATGTCTGCCTGGGGGAAGAGACTGCAATGAGATGCAGCAGCGTCAGGGCTGGGGTGGAGGTGCTTTATTATGACTTCTTTGTTTAAGGCAGGTCTCAGGGTCATCACCTCAAGGGCAAGGTGGAAAGATGTGGGGAATTCAAGCATGTTCCTTTTTGAGGTTCAGGCACAGTCAGTGGCTCAGAGGAGGAAGGAAGTGGCTGAGGGTCCAAGCTGGAAATCCTTCCCTTTCTCTTGTTTTTTGTTTGTTTGTTTGTTTGTTTGTTTGATCATAAAGCTACCTACCAGGTGGGACCCATCAAATCTTCAAGCACAGCCCACTCCCCTCAGCATACACAGTGCAAAGAGGGCTATAAACTGAGGAACTGTGTCCAAGAGGAGCCGGTTCCTCTGGGGGAATCCCAGTCCTGGAGACATAAGAGGGGTACCACAGGGTCTCTCTTTTCCTTTACTCCATTCATCCCTCTGAGGGCAAATTGGATTATCAAATGCCTGGGGGTGAATTATCAACTACTTACAAGCGGTCCTCACACCCCACATTCTAGCTCCCTTCTGAAGGGAGTGGTCCTTCGTTTTTCCAGAGGAATAGATGACAGGCTGAGAGCCTGGAAACCTTGAAAGAAATGAGATTGTTTGCCCAAGAACACAGAGAAAAGAGATAAAGGAAATGTGAAACCTTTCCTCTTTGGAAAGAAAGCATATATGTCTCCTGGGAATTTTTATTAGGTTTTGCCATAGATCAAAACTACCTCCCCGGGACACAGACAGCTTTTCAGTCTCCCCAAGAAATTTTCAGTAAAATTGTCATTACTCATTAATCCTTGGTTGCACTGGATTTTTGGGAAATGATAACAAAGATCCTGCCTCAAGGTGGGTGTAGGGTCAAGAACAGAGACTACTCATGGTGCCCAGTCACATCTGAGTTACAAGAATAGCCTATTGTATTCTGCGGCCCTGGAGTTCTTATCTCTGCCTCGATGAAATGCAGAAAAATGTGCAACCTTGAAATACAGAGAGACCCATTCACTCTCCTAGGTGAAACCAAAAAGGCCTGTACTGTTTTAGAAACAAATTAACTCCCAGTTGGCTAGCAGATACCAATGGAAAACAACAACTCATTCAAAGATAAATTAATCCTTTGTACAAATAGCCGAACTCGAATACCAAAACTAGTACAGACCCACATCCATTTACAATTTCTTCAAACTTTGTACAATATGCCCCATTCTCTCAACTGAACAATCTAATTGTCTGAAACAACCTGCATCTATAATCCTCAGATCCTGGATTTTTCCTTAACTATTTCACTGCAGCTCCTTCCCCGGGCAGATACGCTGTACCTGACTGACGAGTTTCCAACCAGAGAAGGGAACAGCTATATGCCCAAATGTATACTTTATAATCTTAAAGGAATCCAATTCAGAGATTTCTATTTTTATGATCTCCAGATCTCTACTTTTTTCTACAGCATCGGCTTCTCTCATCTATTGCTTTTCCCCATGGGTTATGTGGTATTTATACCATCTCAATTTGAACCTCCAGGAAATTCACAACACAAATGTACAGATTTACCTTTACCCTTGGAGCCTGCACTCCCTAATCAGACTTAGCTGCCTCCACTGTAGTGATCCATCTGGATTCAGACCCAACTTTGCCAGTATTTCCTCCAGGTTTTCAGCAGGTTCCTCTTCCTCCCTCACCTGAGTCAGGTGGTCCTTCCACCTTCCTATTTGTTGCTGGGGCTTAGGGGAGTGGAGTAAGAGGGTGGCAGAGTGCATACATGACAGTACAAAAAAAGTTGCACATAAAAAATGGTATAAAGTGAATGTCCTACTCATGTGTCCCCTGGCCAGGGTAACCACTATTAAGATTTTGTCACATGTCTGATAGACCTTTATGTATATATAGTTTATGCAAACACATACACATGCACACACACAACATGCACATGCACACAACACGCTCACACACACATACACACGCAGGGTCATATTGGATATCTGGTTATGTGACTGGCTTTTTTCACTTGCTTTATATATTCATTCATTCCTAACACACTTAATGAGCATCTATTCTCTTCCAGTGCCTTCTAGGCCCTGGGAACATATTAGTGAACAAAACAGACAATTCTTGCCCTCAAGGAGCTTACATTCTTGTGAAGAAGGTGGACAAGAAAAACTAAGTAAGCAGATGGTATTTCATATGGCAATGTATTCGTCTGTTCTCACGCTGGTAATAAAGACATACCCGAGACTGGGTAATTTATGAAGGAAAAAGGTTTAATGGACTCACAGTTCCACATGGCTGGGGAGGCCTCACAATCATGGCAGAAGATGAAAGAAGAGCAAAGGGATGTCTTACATGGCGGCAGGCAAGAGAGATGAGAACCAAGCAAAAGGGGTTTCCCCTTATAAAACCATCAAATCTCGCCAGGCACGGTGGCTCACGCCTGTAATCTCAGCACTTTGGGAGGCCATGGTGGGCGGATCACCTGAGGTCAGGAGTTGGAGACCAGCCTGACCAACATGGTAAAACCCTGTCTCTACTAAAAATACAAAAATTAGCCAGGCATGGTTGTGGGTGCCTGTAATCCCAACTACTCAGGAGGCTGAGGCAGGAGAATCACTTCAACCTGGGAGATGGAGCTTGCAGTGAGCCAAGATGATGCCATTGCACTCCAACCTGGGCAACAGAGTAAGACTCTGTCTCAAAAAAATAAATAAATACAACAAAGTTAAAAAAAATCAAATCTCATGAGACTTATCCACTACCATGAGAATAGTATGAAGGAAACTGCCCCTATGATTCAATTACCTCCCACTGGGTCCCTCCCACAACATGTGGGAAATATGGGAGCTACAATTCAATATGAGATTTGGGTGAGGACACAGCCAAACCATATCAGTAATAAGTGCTATAAAAAGTGGGAGAGGGAAGATTGGAAGTGGGATATTGCTATTTAAATGATACTGAAAAAAAGTCTCTCTAATAAGATGATATTTGAGCAGAAACCTGGGATTCAAGTTACAGGAGGAAGCTGGAGTGGCTGAAACCAGCAAGAGGGACCTGCAAGCAGCTATGTGGGGTGTGTGCTGGAAGAGATCAAGTAAGGCTGTGAAGGCCACAGTGGAAGCCTTCCATTCTGAATGAGACTCATGCTGAGCATAGAAATATTCCTTTTTTTCTCATTTCCATTCCAAACCATTTTTCCTCCCCTACCACCCCACAACCCTACCTTAAACATTTTTAAATTATTCTTATGTCATCAGATTCTACCCCCACCACCTTCCTGTGACTGTCATACGCAACCCCAAGTCTCCTCTCTTTTGTAGAGACTGTAGCTCCCGGCTCAAGATCCTTCTGTCAGTGACCCTGTTATCCCTGTAACTCAGAGGTTCTCAACCTCGGCTGCACATTAAAATCACCAGTGGTGCTTATAAAAGAATACATGGCTGGGTACAGTGGTTCACGCCTATAATCCCAGCACTTTGGGAGGCCGAGGCAGGTGGATCACAAGGTCAGGAGTTTGAGACCATCCTGGCCAACATAGTGAAACCCCATCTCTACTACAAATACAAAAATTAGCTGGGCGTGGTGGCAGGTGCCTGTAATCCCAGCTACTCGGGAGGCTGAAGCAGGAGAATTGCTTGAACCCAGGAGGTGGAGGTTGCAGTGAGCGGAGATCGCACCACTGCACTCCAGCCTGGGCAACAGAACAAGTCTCCGTCTCAAAAAAAAAAAAATTACCAAAATGGATTAATGAGCCAGTCTCCTCCAATCACCCACCAATTCCCAGATGTTTGAATTCTTCATCTTTCTCTCCATGGCTTTTTCAATCAGTTGTATGTAACCCAAAGAACTGTACGTTGATTTCCTTTGCCCTAGATTCAGAATATTTTGAATCAGAACTTTATTTCCTCTATTCAATGCCATGCAGTCTTTCACCTAAATCTCCAGTGGACCTTTATTTGCTGATTCAAGAGGTTATCCTGCTAAAGATATAAACCTAGTAACATTCAAAAGAATGTCTGTTTTTTCTATATGGTCAAACTGATACAAGTTTATGACACCCCTGAGAAACAGGGGAATTTCTGTAAACATTGTTAAAAACACCACGTTGTTGGTACTCACTTCACAATTCCCTCATGGTCCCAAAGAGCCAGGATAAGCTGAATGCTCAGGATTATTGTTTCCTGACCTTATCAAAGACACAGAGCTATGGGAGCAATTTCAGATGCATGTAGAAGTAAAGCTACCCAGGGGCTGGCTGTGGTGGCTCACACCTATAATCCACACTTTGGGAGGCTGAGGTGGGAGGATCACTTGAGGTCAGGTGTTCAAGACCAGCCTGGCCAACGTGGTGAAATCCCATCTCTACTAAAAATACAAAAATTAGCCAGACATGGTGGCACATGCCTGTAAAGAAGGAACGAAGGGAGGGAGGGAGGGAGGGAAGAAAGGAGGGAGGGAGGGAGAGAGAGAGGGAGGGAAGAAGGGAGGGAGTGAGGGAAGAAGGAAGGAAGGAAGGAAGGAAGGAAAGCAGGCAGGCAGGCAGGCAGGCTACTTAAGAGCTGAGTCAGGAGAATCATTTTAGCCCAGGAGTTCCAGATCACCCCAGGCAACATAAAATTGTCAATACTAATAGAAGTGGAGGGTAGAATGATGGTTACCAAAGGCTGGGTGCTGAGGGTGTAGGGGCGGAGGGGAGAAGAAGGAGGAGTTTTGTTGATCAAAGGGTACAAATTTTCAGATAGATAAGAGGAATAAGATTTGAGATCTATTGTACAGCAGAGGGACTATAATCAATAATATTGTGGTGTCTATTTCAAAATAACTAAGAGTAAATTTCAAATGTTTCACCATAATAAATGACAGATAATTACACAAGGTGTTGGATAAGTTAATTAGCTGGATTTAATCATTACACATTGTATACATATATCAAGATATCACATCATGCTCCATAAATGTATACAATTATGATTTATTAGTCAAAAATAATATTGACAAACATAAATAAAACTGTCATTTGTAGATGATTTGATTGTGTACATAAAATCTCAAGGAAGTGACAGATAAACTACTGTGACTTGAACAAGGTCTCTGGATACAGGATTAACATTCAAAACCTAATTGAATTTCTATATTTTAGTAATAAACAACTAGAAAGAGAAATTTTTGACCATTTACTATTATATTAAAAACTTAAAATACCTAGAAATAAATCTAACAAAAACTATTTAAGACCCCTAACATAAAACTACAGAAAAACTTCAATTAAAGAAAACAAGTAAATTGATGAATACACTATTCTCATGTTCAATATATTCAACATTGTAAGGATATCAGTTTTCCCAAAGTTTATACATAGTTCAATATAATTCTAATCAAAATCCCAGCAGAATTTTGTAGAAACAAACAGATTTTTAAATTTATATGGACTGCATTAAAATAAAAAACATCTACTCATCAAAAGACACCATTGAGAGTAAAAAACCAAATCGCCACGTAGGAGGAGACATAATCATGCATTTATCTGATGAAGGAATGATATCAAGCATTTATAAAGAATTTCTAATAATTAATTTAAAAAAAGGCCGGGCGTGATGGCTCACGCCTGTAATCCCAGCACTTTGGGAGGCCATGGCGGGCAGATCACCTGAGGTCAGAAGTTTGAGACCAGCCTGGCCAACATGGTGAAACCTCGTCTCTACTAAAAATACAAAAATTAGCCGGGTGTGGTGGTGCACACCTGTAACCCCAGCTACTTGGGAAGCTGAGGCAGGACAATTGCTTGAATCTGGGAGGCGGAGGTTGCAGTGAGCCCAGATCGCGCCACTGCACTACAGCCTGGGCAACAGAGTGAGACTCTGTCTCAAAAAAAAAAAGAAAAGAAAAAGAAAAAAAGGCACCTAACCCCCTTCAAAAAAAAAATGGATGTCCCAGTCACCCCTGGGGTGACCTAATCAATAATGCATACTACTGCATCCTTGAATTCCCTCTTCCTTGTTCCTTTTATCAACTCCTTCTCCTGAACTCTGGCTCCCTGGGATGGCAATGCCCAAATAAACTAACCCCATCCAAACTTTTGTCACAGGCTCTACTCTCAGGGGAACCCAGCTAAGACAGCATGCAAAAGTAGTTGAAGCCTGTAGACCTTAAGGCTTCAACCAAAAGGATGGAGACCAAAAGTTTCTATTTTTCACTATGCCAGACAGGTCCCCACGGAAACTGGGTCCTTTGACTGGCCGAAAGGGAAAAGAACACTTCTATATTAAATACTTCTTATGCCTTTTGGGACATTTTGTTTTCTACAGATGTTTCTGAGGCAGCCAGGAAGAGCTCCTTCAAGCTGCACCAAGTTCTTTTGCTTTCCACATTCAGTCCCCCACAAAAGATGCCGCGAAGGCCTCAGCCAGCTCAACATGGGCACGCCTGAAGTATAAGGCAATAAACAAATGTTCCACAAGCAATTCTGGACCAATGACAGAGCTGCAGCATACATCCTTCTTTCTTTCATCTAGATTGTGCAGTATTGACCAGATCTATAACACACATTTTTATTGGTTTTCCATTGAGAGTGAAAATCCAAATCGCCACGTAGGAGTTTCACTTAGTTTCTTAGTTTTGCTTTTTCCAGTCCTTCCCTCCTGTTTCTTGGATTCCCTTCCCAAATAAATGACCCACATCAAAAAAAGAATAATAATAATATAATAATGAGTAAACACTTGAATAAAGACTTCACAAAAGAGGACACCCAAATAGCCAAGTAGTATATGAAAATGGTATTTAAGCATACCATTCAACTCAGCAATCCCATTACTGGTTATATACCGAGAGGAATATAAATCATTCTACCAAAGACACATACACATGAATGTTCATTGCAGCATTATTCATAGCAATAGCAAAGATGTGAAATCAACTTAAATGTCCATGAATGACAGGCTGGATAAAGAAAATGTGGTACATATACACCATGGAATACTATGTAGCCATAAAAAAGAATGAGATCATATCTTTTGCAGGAACATGAATTGAATCGGGGGCCATTATCCTTAGCAAGCTAACGCAGGAACAGAAAACCAAATACTGTGTGTTCTTATTTATAAATGGGAGCTAAATGATGAGAACCCACGAACACCAAGAAGGGAACAATAGACACTGGGGCCTCCTTGATGGTGGAGAGTAGGAGGAGGGAGAGGAGCAGAAAAAATAACTATTGGGTACTAGACTTAATACATGGGTGATGAAATAATCTGTACAACAAATCCCCATGACACAAGTTTACATGTACAACAAATTTGCATATATATCCCCAAATCTAAAATAAATTTTTTAAAAAATGGTATACAACATCAGCTGTCATTAGAGAAATGCAAATTTAAACCATATGAGATACAACTATACACATAGAATGGCTAAACAAAAGGTTTTTTCTTAACTGACAATGCCAAGTGTTGGCAAAGATGTGGAGGAACTGGATCACTCATATGCTGCAAGTGGGAATATAAATAGGTAAAACCACCGGGCACAGTGGCTCATGCCTGTAATCCCAGCACTTTGGGAGGCCAAGGCAGGTGGATCACTTGAGGCCAGGAGTTTGAGACCAGCCTGGCCAGCATAGTGAAACCCCGTCTCCACTAAAAACACAAAAATTAGCAGTGCATGATGGCTTTCTCCTGTAATCCCAGCTACTTGGGGGGCTGAGGCTCAAGAATTGCTTGAACCTGGGAGGTAGAGGTTGCAGCTGAGATCGCGCCATTGCATTCCAGCCTGGGTGGCAGAGCAAGACTCTGTCTCAAAAAAATAAATAAATAAATAGGTAAAACTATAACAAACCTGCACATGTACCCCCTGAATCTACAAAAATAAAATAGTAAATAGGTAAAACCACTTTTGAAAACAAATGGTTAGTTTTGTTTAATACGTACTAAAACTAAACATGTGCATCACCTATGACCCGGAAGTTCCTTTTCTAGGTATACACCTAACAGAAGGACGCATGTGCCAAAAGAAGCATACAAGACTGTTCATAGCAGCATCATGCATAATTAGTCCAGAACTGGAAACAACACCAATGTCACCTACAACAGAATGGTTAAATTGTAGTATATTCCTTCAGTGGAATGTTATACAGCAAATGAAAGAGAACAAATTATTGATCTGTGCAACACTATCACAGTAGGTTGAAGGCAATAATTAGAAGAAAAATGAAGCCACTTTATGTTTGTCTCACTGTTGGGTTATTCAGTAAACTTTCAGAGAGCTATTGCCTGCTGTTGTGCAGTAGAATGTGATGATAAGCAGATGTTTGAGGAAGTGGAGCGTGATATCTGATGGTAGAATCCATAGAACACAGCAAACTCCAGTCCTTCAGAGCGGACTTCTGGATCTCTCCAGGGTGCATCCACTGCCTCCTCTGAGGCCTCTACAGATCTCTCCAGAGTCAGAAGTCTAGAGACAGGGTTTTCTTCATACAAGCTACCTGCCTAACAGGGCTTTGTTTTCCGTAAGAATTTCCCAGTGGGACAGGATATTAAGGATCCCCAACTGCATATGAGAGGTGCTAGTCCCTTCCATCTCCACCTTGGAGAGGCATCCTCTGTAGTCCATTCTTGTTGGCTCTTCCAGTCCTCACACCTTGCCTCAGGGAACCCAAATACAGAGAAAAAAGCAGGATTCTCAGATTCAGAGCAGAGAATTCAGCAGTGGATGAGAAGAAGCTGAGATTCTGAGCACCAAACTAGAGGTAGGCAAAAGAATTCAAAGTGAATGAAACTATTGCACAAACAAACTTGGTACAGAGAGCCCAATATTCGCTCTTTCACCTCCCTGAGGTTTCCTCTATGTGCTTCAGGGGCCAAGCTACCTCATTTCTATCCTGCACATTAAATTACCACTGGGACAGAACCTACATGTGCTCAAAGGATGGAGTTAAAGTGGACTTGCCACTGAGAAATTACACCAGTGCAATGGTAGCCTCCTACTGCACTGGTAGGAAGGCTATTGAGCAGAAATGCTTGTGGACCGATTCAAGATGCTCAAACCAAATGGTTTATTGAATCAATAACAAAAACCAGGGAAAAGCAAGGGGAAAGAGACAAATTTAGGAAACAGTGCAACAAGGTGGAAGAACCACACTAGCTGAATTCTGTGTTACACAGTGTGTGTGAGTGTGAGCCTCCATTTCTCATTCTCTAGCTCTCTCACTCTCTTGCTCTCCCACATCAGCCTTTCTCCTGACATATGATCATAAGAACATTGAGTTGAGAAGGAACAAAGGACATGAGCAGACAGGCGGTGCCTGGGGCCAGCAGGTGCTCCATCAGAGAGATGCAGAAACAAGTATGTCTAACCAACAGCTGTTGCTCACCAGCGACTTGCTAAGCAACCATGCCTTACCTGCAGCATGCCTTGGGAAGAAAACAAATGGAACCAAAAGTGGGGATCACCCAAGGGTGTCCGTCTAAGATTTCATGAATACTGAGAGCTTCATGAAGATATAGTGACTCACATGCCTCATAAATATGAGATGCTTTTTGGTCCTTCCATGGCTTCCTATAAATATTCATCACATATCGTCTCTACCTCCTTTCTCACAAGTTTTTTGGCTCTATATTTCTTTCTCTTATTTTCTATAAAGAGTGTTCTTAAATAATACAAACACTTATTACAGGTCTCTCTGTAAGAAGGATTTTGAATCTGATCCTCAAGACAGAGAAAGTAAAAGAAAGGGACAAGAACCGAAGCCACAGAAATTCACAGGGAGAGAGAGGAAGGACACCTCAGATGGCAGGAGACAGATTCAGGAGCAGCAACTGAAAGAGAAAACATCCAAAGCCTGCAATAATGACAGGTCTAATTTGCAACAACCAGTCAGTATCATTGGTGTGCTCCAGGAGATGACATCCACAAAGCTGCAGTGTGAATGAGGCGCCCCGAAGTTGTGAAATGCAGTATCCAGCCAGAGGTGGATGGGAAAAAAATGAAGACAAATGAATGCAAGCAGAGATCACTTAGGGAAAAAAGGTGACATTTGAGAGGCAGGTTTCAGCCACCCTTTGGGGTGACTCCAGTTCCTATGACAAACAGAACCCCAGTCCTGCAAGGGGCACAAATCTAGAGAGAAAATAGTAGGTATGCTGTTCTCAGAATCTGCTGCTAAAGCAGAGGGCAAGAATCTCTTCAAGGATGGGGATGCTATGGCCTGGAGTGTGGTGTTGAATCTGCCTATGCCTCACCTGAAAATAATTGTTAATTATTTCTGTAGGTGAGACCAGTAATATCAAGTAATTTCAAGATAACTAAACCCTCAAAGGTTGGGATCTCTGGGAAGAAGTAAAGATCAAAAGTAAGAAGAACGTGGTATTGGTCCTGACTCTGCCACTTACCAGATATGACCCTGGACTAGTCACATCACTTCCCTGAGCCTCCATTCCCCGCCCCCGACCTGCCACATAGTATGGAGACAATTACGTTTCCTGAGTAGACCTTAGAGGATTTGTATGAAGAGAGAATAAGGTAAAATACGCAAGCTGTTGCTAAATATACAAGTTGCTTTTATTATTATTCTTACAAGTGATTTGCTGTGTGATCAGAAGAAAATTGGTGATGTTTGTCAGATCTCAGATTTCTCTTATGAGAAAAAGGAAGAACTAATAACCTCTCTGCTGTTAATGAGAGAAAAGAAATGAATTGTCTCAAGCCCCCAGGAAGATGTCATTGTGTGTTTGCTCTATGATAGGTTTCCGTGCAATTCTCCCTCTCTAGAGTTTCACATTCATTAAACTTTAGAGGCCCCCAGGGGTGGGACTTGGTAAATGAAGAAAGTCAGTCCTATACTAGGAGCCCTAGAGGGTCCCAGGCCCAACAGGATCTCTATCTTCAGGCATCACTCCCCATATATCCTGGACCACCAATCATTGGCTTCCTGCTCAGCCCTGGGACAATCCAAAATAAGCCAATTCTCACAGAGGCAGATGGAAAGGCCACAGAAGAGCTCAGCCAGAAGCCTTCCCAGAGAGGAGAGATCCAAGGGTGTTCCAGGACTGTCTGAGAGCACCCACCCCTAGAGGTGGTCCAAAGGACCAAAAACCACAGTGAGAAAAAGTCACTCCCAGGGGTCTCCAAGAGCTGGACTCCAAGGGTCAGTGCACTCAGAGATGATCCCCACCTCCAGAAGGTCTTTTCTCCTTTGCTTTACTTCTTACACTGTACCCTCAAGCCTCTACTTAGAAATAATAACAAGCATTGAATACTTTTTCTGTGCCAAACACAGTGAGAAGTGCTTCAAATGCATTGTCTCATTTAATCCTTCCAGCAATCCTAAGAGTAGAGACTATTATTCCCACTTTTCAGGAGACAAAACCGAGTGAGGTTAAATAACTTGCTCAGGGTCAGGAAACTAGTTAGGACTAGCACTGGGATTCAGATCCACATCTGGCTGATGCCAAGTCTCATGCTCTTAATTGAGAGGGGATAATGTTTTCCAGAAAAGCCACCACAGACACAATAGAGGGAAGAAACTCTTCTAAAAATGCAATGAAATGTCCAACTGTTTGGCAATACATTTGCAGTGGTTGGGGGTGGTGCAGGAAGGGGGGGTGCAGAATCCCTCTCTTCCCCCAACTGTTCTAGGCCATTTTGATGTTATTCATTAGTCCTTGGAACTGGGTTCTCAGGGCCAGATACTCAGGGTCTACATGTACTCCTAGGTTCTGGGCCCCTGGACAAATAAGTTTTCCCCGGACATCTCATTACTTAGGCTGCCCCCAAACACACACTTCATTATGAAATTTAATATTTCTCTTCTATTCACTTATATTAAAATATCTTTTTTAAAAAAGTAACTAGTTAGACCAACTGCTAATCACTGTTCTTTGAGCACACATATGAACTAGAAAATTCTATTAATATAAAGAAGACATGCCTTTTCATCCTATATAAGGGAGGAGACCCTCACATGGCCAGGATTCTCTCTGACATTCTTAGGTCCAAGCTAGAAGGAAAGTATCTAGTTCTCTGGGGCTTCTCCCTTCAGCGACTCCACTGCCTTCATGACACTCCCCTCATCAGCCCTCCAAGTTACTTCCAGATATTCAGACCAAATATGAGGTCACTTTCATGACCAGCCCTAACACAGAGGTCCCAGCTATGAGGCTCTAGCAGTTTTAGGGAGTTTTAGGAACAGGGATGAAGAGCTTCCAGTCTCTGTTCCTCTCCACAGGTATGCACCTGCCTCCTGCACTAAGCCCACTCAGGCTGCCAGCTAGCAAGACTCAAACTCTAAGGAGGGTAGAAATCAGGCGCAGATCTTGTTAAAACACAGATCTGATTCAGTATGTCTGCAGTGAAACCAGATTCTGCATTTCTTTTTTTTTTCTTTTTCTTTTTTTTTTTTTTTTTTTGAGACGGAGTCTCGCTCTGTCGCCCAGGCTGGAGTACAGTGGCGCCATCTTGGCTCACCCACAAGCTCCGCCTCCCGGGTTCACGCCATTCTCCTGCCTCAGCCTTCCAGGTAGCTGGGACTACAGGCGTCCACCACCACGCCCAGCTAATGTTTTTGTATTTTTAGTAGAGACAGGGTTTCACCGTGTTAGTCAGGATGGTCTCGACCTCCTGACCTCGTGATCCGCCCGCCTCAGCCTCCCAAAGTGCTGGGATTACAGGCGTGAGCCACTGCGCCCGGTCAGAAGCACCCAGCGATGTCGGTGTTGCTGGTGTGCAGCACTTAATTACTGACAGGGAAAGATCTCCAAGACATGTTGTTAATTTTTTTAAAAAAGCAAGGTGCAGAACAATATATATAGTTTGTTACCATTTGTATCTTAATGCCATTGAATCTTTTAAAAGGTAGAGAAGAATATATATGTATACATATTGCTTTTATCACCAATGACTAACAATGGAAAGATCCATGAGAAACTGGTAGCTTCCAGGAAGAGAGCTGGGTGGCTGAGGAAGCAAAGGGAGGTGGGAGAAGGACTTATTTTCACTCTAGTCTCTTCTCAATTTTATGCCATAGAAATGTATTTCCCACTCAAAAAATCAAAAACTAAAATTGAAACATAAATCTCTTGCTCATTCTGTGTTTTCAGACACTCAAAATACCAGTGAAATAGATTCATTCAACACACATTTTTGAGTACCCTCTTGGTGAGACCCTGGGAGAGTTACTTCTTCAAACAGGGATTAGAATAGCACTGACCAAAGAGCGTATGCTCAGAAGCTGGAGTCTCTGAGGGTTGCTGATTTCTCTCAAGGGATCCAAGAGACCTGCCACTGAAGAAAAGAATTGCCAGCCTGCGTTCTCTCTAGCTCAAAGAAATTCTGCACACATGGGTCGGATGGCCTCATAAAGGAGGGATCAATGGTAACAGCCTAGGAGGCTTCCACACATGGATCACTGAACTGGAGTCTGTGACTAAGAACTTAAGGTGGAAGAACAATTACTTCCCCTAAAAAATCTTGTAAGGACTCATACTTCACTTAGGATATGTTCCCTTCTCCCGAGTTATTTCTGGTTTAAACATCTGACTTTGGCTGCCTGATTTACAGTAGTTCACCCTATCCACAGTTTCAGTTACCGGTGGTCAATCATGATCTAAAAATATTAAATGGAAATTTCCAGAAATAAACAATTCATTAGTTTTAAATTGAACATGATCCTAAATAGTGTGATGGAATCTTGACTGTCCCACTCCATCCTGCCCAGGATATGAATCAGTCCTTCATACAGCATATCCACAGGTGTATATGCCACCTGCTCATTGGTCAATTAAATAGCTGTCTTGGTTATCAGATTGACTATCACAGTATCCCAGTGCTTGAGTTAAAACAACCCTTATTTTGCTTAATAATGCCCCCAAAGCACAAGAGTAGTAATGTTGGCATATTATTATAATTGCTCTACTTTATTAATAGTTATTGTTGTTAATCTCACACTGTGCTTAACTTATAAAGTTTATGATAAGTATGTATTCATAGAAAGAACATATCGTATATGTAGGGTTCGGTACCATCTGCAATTTCAGGCATCCACTGGGGGTCTTGGAATATATCTGCCTCAGGTAAGGAGGACTAGGGTATTGGGTTTTACTGTACTTCCCTGGTTACCGTGTGTCTTAATTCGTTTTCTGTTGCTTATACTGGAATACCTAAAACTGAGTAATTTATAAAGAAAAAATATTTCTATGCTATGGAGGCTGAGAAATCCAAGGTCAAGAGGCTGAATCTGGTGAGGGCCTTCTTGCTGATGGGGACACTCTGCAGGGTCCCTAGGTGGTGCAGGACATCATATGGTAAGGCGGCTGAGCATCATGGCCCAGGTCTTTCTTCCTCTTCTAATAAAGCCACCAGTTCTACCCTCATGATAACCCTTTAATCCATTAACAACCCATATATCCATGAATGGATTAACCCATTCATGAGGGCAGAGCCCTCACGATCCACTCACCTCTTAAAGGTCTCACCTCTCAATACTACTACATTGGGGATTAAATGTCAACGTGAGTTCTGAAGGGAACAAACATTCAAACTGCAGCACCATATTGTACTTCTTGCTTCTCATTAAGTACATTCTTTAGCTTGCATCATTTATTTTCTTTCCTGATCTACATTATCCCTACCCAGTGAAGAAGGGACTAAGCCAACAGCTCTCCACATGGTCATCCAAGTTCAAATCTCAACTCCTCCATTTGTGACCTTAAGCAGTTTACTCGCTTCTCCACTGAGGTCAGGATGGGGGAAGTGTCTGGCCTAGAGGATAACACAGAGCAGGAGCTCAACAAATATTTGTTTCCCCATCACACTATTTCTTCCTCAGGCCATACCACCTGGGATCATCATAAGCACTTCATTCTTTTCAAAGCGCCTCTGTCCATCTTCTCAGTCTACTGAATCCCAAAAGTCCAGCCAGGATTTGTCCTCTTCACTTCACAGACTCTGCTTTCTCCCATGAGTTGCCCAGTGTCACATTACAAAACGTGGAAGAACTGGACTGTACCCCAACCCCACTCCTATGGCTCCTTCATACTTCTCCCCTCAATCAGCTGAAATCCACAAGTGTTTGGGCTCCCACAATGTACCATTTTGCAAGGGATTCTTTTTAATATCCAAGTCTTTTGTGCAAGAAAAGAAATATCTAAAGCTGTTTTATAATTGGTTATAATATTTTAAGTTGTCAACTTAGAACTTTTTTGACCATTAAATGCAATTACCAAATACCATGTTTAATTATCTATCCAC
The DNA here is from genome assembly GCF_000001405.40 of Homo sapiens. NCBI lineage: Eukaryota > Metazoa > Chordata > Mammalia > Primates > Hominidae > Homo > Homo sapiens. The sequence continues at coordinate 57,957,914 of NC_000011.10, read as the reverse complement.
TAATGTTTGTTTTAAATTTTAAAGCAATCACAACTTATCTTTAATTAATATTCCCTTAGCCCAAAAACTTAACAAATTAAATTCCCCCAAATAACTTAAGCACTGTTTGCAGTCAAGTTCTCTTAATTCAAAGTAAAGTCACAGGCTAGGCGCCGTGGCTCATGCCTGTAATCCCAGCACTTTTGGAGGCCGAGACAGCGGATCACTTGAGGTCAGGAGTTTGAGAGCAGCCTGGCCAACATGGTGAAACCCCGTCTCTACTAAAAATACAAAAATTAGCCAGGCGTGGTGGCACATGCCTGTAGTCCCAGCTACTCAGGAGGCTGAGGTGGGAGAATTGCTTCAACCCGGGAGGCAGAGGTTGCAGTGAGCCAGGATCACACCATTGCACTGCAGCCTGGGCAACAGAGCAAGGCTCTGTCAAAAAAAAAAAAAAAAAAAAAACAACTAACATTTAAACTCTGTTTATAGACTTAATTAATTACATTATCTTAAACTTTTTAAACTATAATCACATATTTAATGCACCTGATTACTCAAGCCCTTCAAATGTCTTCATGAGCACTTAAACAACTCTTGAAATATACAGCCAGGCGTGGTTGTTCACACCTGTAATCCCAACACTTTGGGAGGCTGAGGCAGGTGCAGTGCTTGAGACTAGGAGAGTTTGAGACCAGCCTGGGCAACATAGCAAAACCCCATTTCTATCTTAAAAAAGAAGAAAAAAAAGTATATATTTAGTAAATCAAATGTCCTTATGCATTTTAGCAGAGTCAAATCAAATATAAAATTAGTTAATTCAGTGTTATCATCCTCAATATTTCAAGTCAAATTAAGCAGATCCTCTTAAATGTTTCAAACACCTTAAGTATATGCATATGAAATGTATATGTATTCAAATATGTATTCAAATTCATATTAAATTATATAATTATTATAAAAGCACATAGATCTATATACATAGGGTTGTCAGAGATTCAGGACCAGGGTTGTGAATTCAGAGATTTGGGCCAAAATTCAAGACTGGTAGAACAAGGTCGGTAGAATCCTCCCCAGAAGATTCTACCCACCTTTATGTCCACAAGCTGATCCCCCTTCTATAGCCAGGTTCTGCTGCTATGACAACAGGCCACCATAGGCCCTGACTTTCAGCCAGTACTGAGTTTCACCACCCTGTGCCTCATGTTTCAAGTTCGACTCTATCCCAATTCTTATCATACCTATTCTCCAATTTTTATCACCTGATTTGGGAACACGGAATGCTGTTTTATACTTTGTTTTACCTTTTTAAAAATTTAATATAGAGACAGGGTCTCGCCATGTTGCCCGGGCTGGTCTCAAACTCCTGGACTCAAGCAATCCTCCCACTTGGCCTCTCAAAGTGCTGGGATTACAGGTGTGAGCCACTGTGCCCGGCCTGGAATCACGGAATTCTGAATTCATTCATCTGGGTAGTAGTTCTCCTCTTGACAGCCTGTTTTGCTTTGAAGAAATCCTTCTTTATAGTTTTCACTTACCCATTCAACAACTTCTTATTGAGGGCCTACTATGTGCCAATCACTGGAGACAAAACAAGGAACAAAATAGACAAAAATGCCTCCCTTCATGGCCTTTGCATCCTAATGTCAAGATAGAGATCAAAAACAAAACTAATAAGTTATGTGTATATAGCAAGTTAAAAGAAAATAAGTGGCCAGGCATGGTGGCTCACACCTGTAAATCCCAATGCTTTGGGAGGCCTAGGCATGTGGATCATCTGAGGCCAGGAGTTTGAAACCAGCCTGGCCAACATGATGAAACCTCGTCTCTACTAAAGATACAAAAATCAGCCAGACATGGTGGCAGGCTCCTGTAATCCCAGCTACTCGGGAGGCTGAGGCAGGAGAATCGCTTGAACCTGGGAGGCAGAGGTTGCAGTGAGCAGAGATGGCACCACTGCACTCCAGCCTGGGCAACAGAGTGCAACTCTGTCTCAAAAAAAAAAGAGAGAGAAAAGAAAAGAAGTGCTATGAGAAAAAATTAGAGAAGAGAGATCATGAGTGCTGGCATTGGAGAAGGTTTAGTTTTAAATAAGATAGTCAGGGAGAGCTTCAGACAGTAGACATTTAAGCAGAAAATGAAAGGAGATGAAGAAGGGACCACATGGCTAACCAGAGCTAGGATACTCTGAGGAGAGGGAACAGTGGGTGCAGAGGTCTTGAATCCCACCTGGCATGTCCTCAGTGGAATGAGGAAGCAGGTGTAGGTAACACAGAGTGAGAAGCATGAGAAGAGTAGGAAAAGAGACAAAGATAGAAGAGAGGAACGGGGTAGTGGCCAACTGAATAGAGCAGGGCTTTGAGGGCCATCGTGAGGGTCTGACTTTTACTTGTGTGTTAACAGAACCACTCTGGCTGCTCTGCCCACAATAACGAAGCAGGACACCAGTTAAGAGCAATTGCAATGGTCCAAGCAAGATATGACGGTGTCTTGCAAAGGGTGGGAAGTCAGACTTTTCAAGGTAGAGCCAATATAATTTTCTGAGAGATTTAATGAGGAGCGAGAGAAAAAGGGGTCAAAAATGGCTTAGAAGTTTTTGGCCAAAACAACTGAAAAAATTACGTTGTCATTCCTGAGTGAGGAAGACCTTCCTATCTAATTGATAACTAATTTATACTCATTCATTGACACCAGGCACTGTGACAAGGACTAGAACACAAATTCTCAAGATATTAAATAACTCTCCTCCTTCTAGGAGTAAGAAAATTCAATAGAAAAGATGAATAGGCATTTTTAATGTTAAAATACAGTGCCATTAATTCCACTAAAGACCTGTCTTTGAAATTCAGGGGAGAGAGAACAGTGACAGAGCTCTTAACTGGATTTGGAAAGAACAAAAGACATTCTATTAATAATAAGAAAACATAGACTATGGAAAGGCATAGACCATTGTCTTTTCAGAGAAGAAAGTTGTTAAGAATTGCTGGAGGGTAAAATGAGAACAACATGGCATGGACATGTGTCATAGAGGACATCCGGCAGACCAAGGATTTAGACAGTCGTGATACCTAAAATGCAAAAGCAACACACGTATCCCACGATGGACGAATGGAAAAGAAAAATGTGGTGTATTCATATAGTAGAATATTAGCCTTAAGAGGATGGAAATTCTGGGCAGGCACAGTAGCTCACGCCTGTAATCCCAAGACTTTGAGAGGCTGAGGGGGGCGGATCACCTGAGGTCAGGAGTTCAAGACCAGCCTGGCCAATATGGCAAAAACCAACCCCTACTAAAAATACAAAAAACAAAATTAGCCAGGTGTGGTGATGGGTGCCTGTAATCCCAGCTACTCGGGAGGCTGAGGCCAGAGAATCACTTGAACCCAGGGGCAGAGGCTGCAGTGAGCTGACATCATGCCATTGCACTCCAGCCTAGGCAACAAGAACAAAACTCCTTCTCGATTAAAAAAAAAAAAAAAAAAAGGATGAAAATTCTGACACATACACAGCATGGATGAACCTTGAGGACATTATGTTCAGTGAAATAAGGCAGTCACACAAAGAAAAAATAAATACCACATAATTCCAGTTATATAAGTTACTTAGAGTAGCCAAAATTATTGAGACAGAAAGTAGAATAGTAGTTGCCAGGGGCTGGCAATGGAGACAATGGAGATTTGTTGTTTAATAGGTACAGTTTCAGTTTTACAAGATGAAAAGAGTTATGAAGATGCATGGTGGTGATATTTGCACAATATTATGAAAAAAATTTTTTAGACATGAGGTCATGCTATGTTGCCCAGGCTGGTCTTGAACTCCTGGGCTCAAGCAATTCTCCTGCCTCAGCCTCCCCCCTGTGACTACAAGTATGCACCACCACCCCCAGCTGTGAATGTATTTAATACCATTGAGATGTACACTTAAAAATGGTTACAGTGGGACCTGGGCAAGATGGCCAAATAGGAACAGCTCTGGTCTGCAGCTCCCAGCAACATCAGCGCAGAAGGCGGGTGATTTCTGCATTTCCAACTGAGGTACCCAGCTTATCTCATTGGGACTGGATAGACAGTGGATGCAGCCCGCAGAGGTTGAGCAGAAGCAGGGTGGGGCGCCGCCTCACCCAGGATGTGCAAGGGTTGGGGAACTCCCTCCCCTAGCCAAGGGAAGCCATGAGGGACTGTGCCATGAGGAATGGTGCATTCCAGTCCAGATACCCCACTTTTCCCATGGTCTTCGCAACCTGCAAGCCAGGAGATTCCCTCAGGTGCCTACACCACCAGGGACCTGGGTTTCAAGCACAAAACTGGGGAGCAGTTTTGGCAGACATGAAGCTAGCTGCAGGAGATTTTTTTTCATACTACAGTGGCTCCTGGAATGCTAGTGAGATAGAACCGTTCACTCCCCTGGAAAGGGGGCTGAAGCCAGGGAGCCAAGTGGTCTAGCTCACTGGATCCCACCCCTACAGAGCCCAGCAAGCTAAGATCCGCAAGCTTGAAATTCTCGCTGCCAGCACAGCAGTCTGAAGTCAACCTGGGACACTGGAGCTTGGTGGGAGGAGGGGCATCCACCATTACTGAGGCTTGACGGTTTTCCCCTCACAGTGTAAACAGAGCCCCCAGAAATTTCCAACTGGGCGGAGCCCACCACAGCACCACAAAGCAGCTGTCACCACACTACCTCTCTAGATTCCTCCTCTCTGCGAAGGGCATCCCTGAAAGTTAGGCAGCAGCCCCAGTCAGGGGCTTATAGGTAAAACTCTCATCTCCCTGAGATAGAGCAACTGCAGGAAGGGGTGGCTGTGGGCGCAGCTTCAGCAAACTTAAACATTCCTGCCTGCTGGCTCTAAAGAGAGCAGCGGATCTCCCAGCACAGTGCTCAAGCTCTGCTAAGGGACAGACTGCCTCCTCAAGTGGGTCCCTGACCCCCATGCCTCCTGACTGGGAGACACCTCCCAGCAGGGATCAACAGACACCTTATACAGGAGAGCTCTGGCTGGTATCTGGTGGGTGCCCCTCTGGGACAAAGCTTCCAAAGGAAGGAGCAGGTGGCAATCTTTGCTGTTCTGCAGCCTCCACTGGTAATACCCAGGCAAAGAGGGTCTGGAGTGGACCTCCAGCAAACTTCAGCAGACCTGCAGCAGAAGGGCCTGCCTGTTAGAAGAAAAACTAACAAACAGAAATGAATAGCATCAACATTAACAAAAAGGACATCCACACAAAAACCCCATCCAAAAGTCACCAAGATCAAAGACTAAAAGTAGATAAATCCAAGAAGATGAGGAAAAGCAAGTGTAAAAAGGCTAAAAATTCAAAAAAAACAGAATGCTTCTTCTCTCCCAAAGGATCACAACTCCTCACCAGCAGTGAAAACAACTGGATGGAGAATGAATTTGACGAATTGACAGAAGTAGGCTTTAGAAGGTGGGTAATAACAAACTCTTCAAAGCAAAAGGAGCATGTTCTAACCTAATACAAGGAAGCTAAGAACCTTGAAAAAAGGTTAGAGGAATTGCTAACTAGAAAAACTAATTTAAAGAAGAACATAAATGACCTGATGGAACTGAAAAACACAGCACAAGAACTTCGTGAAGCATACACAAGTATCAATAGTCGAATCCATCAAGCAGAGAGAGAAAGGATATCAGAGATTGAGGTCAACTTAATGAAATAGGGCATAACAACAAGATTAGAGAAAAAAGAATAAAAGGGAACAAACAAAGCCTCCAAGAAATATGGGACTATGTGGAAAGACAAAACTTACATTTGATTAGTATACCTGAAAGTGACAGGGAGAATGGAAACAAGCTGGAAAACCCTCTTCAGGATATTATACAGAACTTCCCCAACTAGAAAGACAGGCCAACATTTAAATTCAGGAAATACAGAGAACACCACAAAGATACTCCTCGAGAAGAGCAACTCCAAGACACATAATGTCAGATTCACCAAGGCTGAAATGAAGGAAAAAATGTTAAGGGGAGGCAGAGAGAAAGGTCAGGCTACCCATGAAAGGAAGCCCATCAGACTAACAGCTAATCTCTCTGCAGAAACCCTACAAGCCAGACGAGAGTGGGGGCCAATATTCAACATTCTTAAAGAAAAGAATTTTTAACCCAGAATTTCATATCCAGCCAAACTAAGCTTCATAAGTGAAGAAGAAATAAAATTCTTTACAGACAAGCAAATGCTGAGGGATTTTGTCACCACCAGGCCTGCCTTACAAGAGCTCCTAAAGGAAGCACTAAACATGGAAAGGAGCAAATGGTACCAGCCACTGCAAAAACATACCAAATAGTAAAGACCATCGGCACTATGAAGAAACTGCTTCAACTAATGGGCAAAATAACCAGCTAGCATCATAATGACAGGATCAAATTCACACATAACAATATTAACCTTAAATGTAAATAGGCTAAATGCCCCAATTAAAAGACACAGAATGGCAAATTGGATAAAGAGTCAAGACCCATTGGTGTGCTATATTCAGGAGACCCATCTCACATGCAAAGAAACACATAGGCTCAAAATAAAGGGTTGAAGGAAGATCTACCAAGCAAATGGAAAGCAAAAAAAAAAGGCAGGGTTGCAATCCTTGTCTCTGATAAAACAGACTTTAAACCAACAAAGATCAGAAGAGACAAAGAAGGCCATTACATAATGGTATAGGGATCAATTCAACAAGAAGAGCTAACTATCCGAAATATATATGCACCCAATACAGGAGCACCCAGATTCATAATGCAAGTTCCTAGAAACCTACAAAGAGACTTAGACTGGCACACAATAATAGTGGGAGAGTTTAACACCTCACTATCAATATTAGACACATCAACAAGACAGAAAATTAAAAAGTATATTCAGAACTGGAACTCAGCTCTGGACCAAGTGGACCTAATACACATCTACAGAACTCTCCACCCCAAATCAACAGAATATACATTCTTCTCAGCAACTCGTCGCACTTATTCTAAAATTGACCACATAATTGGAAGTAAAACACTCCTCAGCAAATGCAAAAGAATGGAAATTATAACAAACAGTCTCTCAGACAAAGTGCAATCAAATTAGAACTCAAGATTAAGAAACTCACTCAAAACCACACAATTACATGGAAACTGAACAACCTGCTCCTGAATGACTACTGGGTAAATAACAAAATTAAGACAGAAATAAATAAGTTCTTTGAAACCAATGAGAACAAAGAGACAACATACCATAATCTCTGGGTCACAGCTAAAGTAGTGTTTAGAGGGAAATTTATGGCACTAAATACCCACAGGAGAAAGCAAGAAAGATCTAAAATCAACACCCTAACATCACAATTAAAAGAACTACAGAAGCAAGTGCAAACAAATTCAAAAGCTAGGAGAAGACAAGAAATAGCTAAGATCAGAGCAGAACTGAAGGAGATAGATACAAGAAAAACTCTTCAAAAAATCAATGAATCCAGGAGCTGGTTTTTTGGAAAGACTAACAAAATAGACCGCTATCCAGACTCATAAAGAAGAAAAGAGAGAAGAATCCAATAGACACAATAAAAAATGATAAAGGGGATATCACCACTGATCCCACAGAAATACACACTACCATCACAGAATACTATAACCACCTCTACACAAATAAACTAGAAAATCTAGAAGAAATGGATAAATTCCTGGATGCATACACCCTCCCAAGACTAACCCAGGAAAAAGTCAAATCCCTGAATAGAACAATAGCAAGTTCTAAAATTGAGGCAGTAATTAATAGCCTACCAACCAAAGAAAGCCCAAGACCAGACAGATTCACAGCCAAATTTCACCAGAGGTACAAAGAGGAGCAGGTATCATTCCTTCTGAAACTACTCCAAACAACAGAAAAAGAGGGACTCCGCCTTAACTCATTTTATGAAGCTGGCATCATCCTGATACTAAAACCCAGCAGAGACACCACAAAAAAAAAAGAAAATTTCAGGACATATCCCTAAAGAACATCCATACGAAAATCCTCAATAAAATACTGGCAAACTAAATCCAGCAGCACATCAAAAAGCTTATCCACCATGATCAAGTCGGCTTCATCCCTGGGATGCAAGGCTGGTTCAACATATGCAAATCAATAAACGTAATCCATCACATAAACAGAACCAATGACAAAAACCACATGATTATCTCAATAGATGCAGAAAAGGCCTTGGATAAAATTCAACACTCCTTTATACTAAAAACTCTCAATAAACTAGGTATTGATGGAACGTATCTCAAAATAATAAGAGCTATTTAGGACACCCACAGCCAATATCATACTAAATGTGTAAAAGCTGGAAACCGGCACAAGACAAGGATGCCCTCTCTCACCACTCCTATTCAACATAGTATTGGAAGTTCTGGCCAGGGCAATCAGGCAAGAGAAAGAAATACAGAGTATTCAAATAGGAAGAGAGGAAGTCAAATTCTCTCCATTTGCAGATGACATGATTGTATATTTAGAAAACCCCATCATCTCAGCCCAAAATATCCTTAAGCTGATAAGCAACTTCAGCAAAGTCTCAGGATACAAAATCAATGTGCAAAAATCACAAGCTTCCTATATATCAATAATAGACAGACAGCCAAATCATGAGTGAACTCCCATTCACAATTGCTACAAAGAGAATAAAATACCTAGGAATACAATTTATGAGGGATCTGAAGGACCTCTTCAAGGAGAACTACAAACCACTGCTCAAGGAAATAAGAGAGGACACAAACAAACGGAAAAAATTTCATGCTCATGGAGAGGAAGAATCAATATCATGAAAATGGCCATACTGCCCAAGGTAATCTATAGATTCAATGCTATCCCCATCAAGCAACCATTGACTTTCTTCACAGAATTAGAAAGATAAAACTATTTTAAATTTCATATGGAACCAAAAAAGAGCCCATATAGCCAAGACAATCCTAAGCAAAAAAAAACAAAGCTGGAGACATCACGCTACCTGACTTCAAACTATACTACAAGGCTACATTAACCAAAACAGCACGGTACTGGTACCAAAACAGATATATAGACCAAGGAACAGAACAGAGGCCTCAGAAATAATGCCACACATCTATAACCATCTGATCTTTGACAAACCTGAAAAAACAAGCAATGGGGAAATGATTTTTTTCCCTATTTAATAAATAGTGTTGGGAAAACTGGCTAGCCATATGCAGAAAACTGAAACTGGACCCCTTCCTTACACTTTATACAAAAATTAATTCAAAATGGATTAAAGACTTAAACGTAAGACCTAAAACCATAAAAATCCTAGAAGAAAACTTAGGCCATACCATTCAGGACAGAGGCATGGGCAAAGACTTCATGACTAAAACACCAAAAGCAATGGCAACAAAAGACATAATTGACAAATGGGATCTAATTAAACTAAAGAGCTTCTGCACACCAAAAGAAACTATCATCAGAGTGAAAAGGCAACCTACAGAATGGGAGAAAATTTTTGCAATCTATCCATCTGACAAAGGACTAATATCCAGAATCTACAAGGAACTTAAACAAATTTACAAGAAAAATACAAACAACCCCACCAAAAGTGAGGGAAGGATACGAACAGACACTTCTCAAAAGAAGACATTTATATGGCCAACAAACATATGAAAAAAAGCTCATCATCACTGGTCATTAGAGAAATGCAAATCAAAACCACAATGAGATATCATCTCATGCCAGTTAGAATGGCAATCTTTAAAAGGTCAGGAAACAACAGATGCTGGAGAGGATGTGGAGAAATAGGAACATTTTTACACTATTGTTAGGAGTGTAAATTAGTTCAACCATTGTGGAAGACAGTGCGGCGATTCCTCAAGGATCCAGACCAGAAATACCATTTGACCCAGCAATGCCATTACTGAGTATATACCCAAAGCATTATAAATCATTCTACCATAAAGACACTTGCACAAGTATGTATATTGCAGCACTATTCACAATAGCAAAGACTTGGAACCGACCCAAATGCCCATCAATGATACACTGGATAAAGAAAATGTGGCACATATACACCATGAAATACTATGCAGCCATAAAAAAGGATGAGCTCATGTCCTTTGCAGGGACATGGATGAAGCTGGAAACCATCATTCTCAGCAAACTAACACAGGAACAGAAAACCAAACACCGCATGTTCTCACTCATAGGTGGCAGTTGAACAACGAGAACACATGGACACAGGGAGGGGAACATCACACATGGGGCCTGTCAGTGGGTGGGAGGCTAGGAGAGGGATAGCATTAGGAGAAATAGCTAATGTAGATGGCGGGTTGATGGGTGCAGCAAACCACCATGGCATGTGTATACCTATGTAACAAACCTGCACATTCTGCCCATGTATCCCAGAACTTAAAGTATAATAAATAAATAAATATAAAACAGTTACAATGGATCCTAGATTCAATCCATCTGTGTAACCAAAAACCACTTGTATTTCTAAAGCTACTGAAATTTAAAAATTTAAATTAAAAAAAAATTGTTGGCCAGGTGCAGTGGCTCATGCCTGTAATCCCAGCACTTTGGGAGGCCGAGGCAGGAGACAGGAGTCTGAGACCGGCCTGACCTACGTGGTGAAACCCCATCTCTACTAAAAATACAAAAAATTAACCAGGCATGGTGGCAGGCACCTGTAATCCCAGCTACTTGGGAGGCTGAGGAAGGAGAATCGCTTGAACCTGGGAGGCAGTGGTTGCAGTGAGTTGAGATCGCACCATTGCACTCCAGCCTGGGTGACAAAGCAAGTCTCCGTCTCAAAAGAAAAAAAAAAAAAAAAAAATTACAATGGTGAACTGAGCACAGGGGCACGTACCAGTAGTCTCAGCTTCTTGCAAGGCTGAGGCAAAAGGATCACTTGAGCCCAGGAGTTTGAGGCATTTATTATATTTTGTGGGAAACAATACTAATGTAGATATTATCCTAAGGAAGGCAGAGCACCCTTAACACATAAGCATGAGTGTGACATGATGGGATTCATGTGGGGTTTGGTGAGCAGTGCACCACCTGGGCATAAATGCAGCTTTTCACTTGTAGAAGACATTAAAGGTTACCTTTTTGATAAGGATGTTAGTATTCTTATTTCACTTCCTCTTATTCATTGTCACATAAAAAACACACCAGAGGTTTGGCCTTGGCGCAGAATCACACCACAGTGATGAGATTCATGCTGCTGGGCCTCGGACTACACAGATTAAAAATCACTTCTAGTCCAGGTGGGGTGGTTCATGCCTGTAATCCCAGCACTTTGGGAGGCCAAGGTGGGCAGCTAATTTGAGGTCAGGAGTTCAAGACCAGCCTGGCCAACATGGCAAAACTTCGTCTCTACTAAAACAATACAAAAATTAGCCAGGTATGGTGGTGTGCACCTATAATCCCAGATACTCAGGAGGCTGAGGCAGGAGGATGGCTTGAGCCTGGTAGGCAAATGTTGTAGTGAAGGGAGAGAGTGCCACTGCATGCCAGCCTGGGCAATGAGAGAGAAACCCTGTAAAAAAAAAAAAAAACACTCCTCACTCCTCTTTGCTGTCTTCCTGCTGACCTACTCCGTGACTCTGGTGGGCAACCTGGGCATGACAGATCTGATCTGCCAATCTGCACCAGCTCTGCCCTCCACACCCCCATGTGCTTCCTCCTGAGCGTATTCTCCTTCCTAGACATCTGCAGTTCCTCCATGTGCACCCCAGGCTGCTGATCCACTTTCTCACCACTAACCATCCATCTCCTTTGCAGGTGGTATAATCCAGATGGCCCTCATGACCTTCTATGGCACAGGGGAATGTCTGCTGCTGGCCATCGTAGCCTATGACTGAGTTGTGGCCATTTGCCACCCTTTCCCCTAGCATATCATCATGTCCAAGGGGACTGTGTGCCCAGCTGGTGGTGGTTACCTCTGCTGTGGGGGTGCTCATTTCAGCTCTAGACAGGATGCATTCATCTCGCCCTACCGTGGCCTAACATCATTGATCATTACTATGTTCTGTTACATTCCCCACCCCCATGCTCCAACTGGCCTGCTCAGATGCCACTGTGGCCAACATGATCCTGTTTGTCTCTTCTGCCTTGATCACTATCCCTACCATCTCAGTCATCTTGGTCTCTTACACTTACATCCTGGTTAATCAGTGGGATGAGGTCCCTGGATGCCCAGTGCAAAGCTTTCTCCACTCGTGCCTCCCACCTCACTGCTCACTGCCTGTTTTATGGGTTTGTGTTCCTTGTATACATTCCACCCAACCCTGAAATGGCCTCAGCCTATAACAAAATCCTCTTCACCGTTGTGATCCCCATGCTGAACCTCCTGGTCTAAGGCCTGAGAAATAAAGATGTCAAAGTCGGCTGGGTGCTGTGGCTCTTGCCTGTAACACCAGTACTTTGGGAGGGCGAGGTGGGAAAATCACTTGAGCACAGGAGTTTGAGACCAGCCCGGGCAACATAGTGAGACCCTAACTCAAAATCAAATTACCTTTATGTCTTTAAACAAAACCCTCTTCTATTATAACAGAAATCAATCTTACTAATTTAAAGGGAAGGAGGTGGGATTTATTATGAAACCCAAATGTCAACTGAGGTTCAATATCTTTTTGAGACTCAAATAAAATGGGCTTGAATTCCATTTTGTGTGTAGCAGAATCCCCACATCCCTGACAACCTGTCTGGAGTCTGAAGGAGCAGCGGGTAGGATGTAGATGGCTTGTGTTTTACCTGGTTCCCTCTAACTCTGAGTTCCTGAATTCACTGAATTACTTTAGCTTATGAACCACCTGGTGAGAAGAGAAAGAACGGGGCTAAGACTGTGGATGGTATAAAGGGGAAGTGGGAAATAAAATTTTTACTGTCAAGGGTCCTGGAGGGGAGGAAAAAAGGGAGGTTTTGGCAGGTTGGGTTGAACCAGCACAGCTAGGCTTGAGCTCCATGAAGAAGACAAAGAAGCAATTGCGTCTTCATGGGGCAAAACCTCCTCCTTCACGTGTAATTTTACAGAGTAGTACTGCTTCATTGCTCATAGATGTCAAAATGAAACATTTTCTTAGAAAATTAAGTAATCCATGGGCGAATCTGTTGATCAGTGCTTCAGAATGAAACTAGAATTACATCCTGGCCTTATTTACAGATTTGAGGTAGTTTTTCTTAACATACTAAATATATAGTGGGCTCCAAGCAGGCCCCTATCATCACCATCACCACTCTAACACTCTGTCCCAGACTCAGGAGTTGACAGATTGAAATCTCGTCATGAAAACAAGCCATTTGCTCTCCCTCTCCCTCTCCCCCTCCCCCTCCCCCTCCCCCTCCCCGGTCTCCCTCTGATGCCACCAAAGTTGTGAAAGCCGAGGCTGGACTGTACTGCCGCCATCTCGGCTCACTGCAACCTCCCTGCCTGATTCTCCTGCCTCAGCCTGCAGAGTGCCTGGGATTGCAGGCGCGCACCGCCACACCTGACTGGTTTTTGCATTTTTTGGTGGAGACGGGGTTTCGCCGTATTGGCCGGGCTGGTCTCCAGCTCCTGACCGCGAGTGATCTGCCTGCCTCGGCCTCCCGAGGTGCCGGGATTGCAGACCGAGTCTCGCTCACTCAGTGCTCAATGTTGCCCAGGCTGGAGTGCAGTGGCGTGATCTCGGCTCGCTACAACCTCCACCTCCCAGCCGCCTGCCTTGGCCTCCCCAAGTGCCGAGATTGCAGCCTCTGCCCGGCCGCCACCCTGTCTGGGAAGTGAGGAGTGTCTCTGCCTGGCCGCCCATCGTCTGGGATGTGAGGAGCCCCTCTGCCCAGCCACCCAGTCTGGGAAGTGAGGAGCGCCTCTTCCCGGCCACCATCCCGTCTAGGAAGTGAGGAGTGTCTCTGCCCGGCCACCCATCGTCTGAGATGTGGGGAGTGCCTCTGCCCCGCCGCCCCGTCTGGGATGTGAGGAGCGCCTCTGCCCGGCCTCGACCCCGTCTGGGAACTGAGGAGTGTCTCTGACCGACCGCCACCCCGTCTGGGAGGTGATGAGCGTCTCTGCCCGGCCACCCCGTCTGAGAAGTGAGGAGCCCCTCCGCCCGGCAGCCGCCCCGTCTGGGAAGTGAGGAGCCCTTCCGCCCAGCAGCCGCCCCGTCCAGGAGGTGGGGGGCAGCCCCCGCCCGGCCACTGCCCCATCTGGGAGGTGGGGGGCGCCTCTGCCTGGCCGCCCCGTCTGGGATGTGAGGAGCCCCTCTGCCCGGCCGCCACTCCGCCTGGGAGGTGTACCCAACAGCTCATTGAGAACGGGCCATGATGATGATGGCGGTTTTGTCGAATAGAAAAGGGGGAAAGGTGGGGAAAAGAAAGAGAGATCAGATTGTTACTGTGTCTGTGTAGAAAGAAGTAGACATGGGAGACTCCATTTTGTTCTGTACTAAGAAAAATTCTTCTGCCTTGGGATGCTGTTAATCTATAACCTTACCCCCAACCCCGTGCTCTCTGAAACATGTGCTGTGTCAACTCAGGGTTAAATGGATTAAGGGCGGTGCAAGATGTGCTTTGTTAAACAGATGCTTGAAGGCAGCATGATCGTTAAGAGTCATCACCACTCCCTAATCTCAACTACCCAGGGACACAAACACTGCGGAAGGCCACAGGGTCCTCTGCCTAGGAAAACCAGAGACCCTTGTTCATATGTTTATCTGCTGACCTTCCCTCCACTATTGTCCTATGACCCTGCCAAATCCCCCTCTCCGAGAAACACCCAAGAATGATCAATAAATACTAAAAAAAAAAAAAAAAAAAAAGAAAACAAGCCATTTGCTTAGCAGATATTTTCCCTTTGAATAATAAATTCCCTTAGGGCCAAAGAGACACAAAGGACCAAGGAACAGAGAAGAAGGTGCAAACCCCTCCTTCATCACCCTGATAAATGCAAGCTTTGCTTCCTAACCTCACCCATTCCTATGCACACACCACCCCATGGCCCTAGGCAACCCAGTCATAGACTAAGGAGTCAACAAAATTCCCAGAAATAGACTAGTGAGTGGCCTAAAAAGAATGGAGGATAGGCAAGGCAGAGGGATGAGTGCAGGAGCAGTTAAGTTTGCCCAGACAGACAAGACGTCCAACTCCTTTGGCCCCACACATACCCCATCTCCAAATGGGGCCAGTCCTTTCTACCTGTCTCTCTTCACCTAAAACCATCTTCCACAGAACCTAATAAAAGTCAGCAGATGAGATATTAAGTCCAGTGTTACTGCTCTCAAGAGCATTTGAATTAAATTTGTATGTACACTATGTCTTAGATCGCCTAGAGCCCACCCAGTACCTGAAGATCAGGAAATTTCCATCAGGTGAAAGTGGGGCTGCAGGGAGGGAGCAGGGGCAGATCAAGCTGCAGATAAGAGACTAGTTTGTGGTCCTGGACTGACCACCAAAGCACTGGGCTACAACAGACCACAATGCTGACAAACAGTCAGTATCAGATGCATGCTTATTGTTACCGATGACTGCTGGATCTATCAACTGAGAATAATTAGTTAATCATCCCAGATCTCAGGTCTTCCATATGTGGGATAGAGACATGATCTCTAAAATCACTTGTTTCTGGATAGAAAGGGGAGTACATTGCTTTGGATCCCTGGATATTAATCTTGTTCTCAAGGGTCTCAAATTCATTTAAACAAATCCTAGAGGCCTTTGGGGTGACAGGGGTCAGACGTGGCACTGGGATCTTAGGTGGAGAACTCAAGCTCTCCAGTGGCTGACAGCTGTCACTCACCAAGTGGGATGTCTCTTCAGGCATCACCTCCAGAGACAACTCGGGGCCACCAGTCATCAACTCCCAGTGCTGTCCCTGGAGTAACCACACATATGCCAACCCCCACTGACTCATAGGAACTAAGCAGCACAGGATGGAAGGAGCTGAATGTAGGTGAGCTAGGGGCCTTCCCTTGGAGAAAGCATCCCAAGGCAGCCTGAACACATCTCCAGTTGAAGGTGGTCCGAGGCCACTAGTATCACAGGGAGGGAATGACATCTTCTAGAAGATTCCTGGACACTGCCAGGAAGTGGTCACCCTGCCTCCTCCACAGGTCAGGGTACTGAACTTTGGTCCCCCTCCCCAGAGTGTCATAAACCAGTTCATCCCCACCCTCTCCAAGACCTCAGAGAAACTAGCCACCAGCCCCAAGAGGCTGGAAGAGATGAACAGCAAGCCCAACCCACAGGCAGTGTGTGGATATGCTCCATAAAGATGGATTTGCTCCAGGGAGGGGGCACCAGTCATGCTCAGAGCACCATTTTTCTACTCCTAGGTGCTTATAGAGTATTTTGTTTGCTGTCATTCTAAGAGGCCAAGGTTTCAACGCCAGTGCTCCAGAGCTGTTATTATGAGAAAGCTCTATGCCTGCAGATCTGTGATGTGCTGCCAGATGAACGACACATGTGAGATCCAACCTCCGGGTCCGAGCTGTGCGGCTTCCCTACAGTGTTATTTTTGTTTCCAACAGCATAGTTTGCTATTCTATTCATTTGTGCTTTTAAGCTTGGAACTACAATTCTTTGTAAAAATGACTCTAATTACTCTATGTACACAAAAACTATCAGCAAACAAATGCTGTGAGCAAGGCTGGGGGCTCTCAAATGGTGCCCTAGAAAAACTAAAGCAAGAAGGAAGACCAGAGAAAGACTAAGATCTATGGGCAGATGGAGATCCTTCCACATTTTCTCAGGGGTTCCCACTCTGGCATCTCTGCCTTCATGACTCTTCCTCTTCTGATGTCTCCAGTTCACCAGAGTTGTGCTCAGATATTCTGTCCAAATGTGCGGCCTCACCCTGGCAGCCCCACAGCCAAAGTCCTCAGAGCAGAGCTCCTTGGAGAAGCCATTCTCAAGCTCCCAACATCTCTTTCCATCAAGCAGACATTTTCACTCAGTGTGATTATCACATCCCATGGTTAAATCTAATTCACACATTACTAAACACTCGCAACTTACCAGACATCAGTGATCTCTGGTACATGCCAGCTCACAGATCACTTCTTAGCCATGGGGCTGAGAGCCGCTCATGAATGTGACAAAGGCAAAAGGGATGATGTTAGCTGTTTATTCATGCTCTCACCAGAGAAGAAATCTCTGTTCAAATTGTTCCCATAATTCCAGGAATCTGAAGGGATCTTAATTTTACAACAAGCACAGGCTAGAAGGATCATGCTAGCACTTTTCCTAAAAGCCAAGATTTCTCAGCCTCAGCTTCTTCAACCCAGTATTGGCTTCGTGCAAACTCTGCATTTTTCCTTTGTTTCTTCCTGAGGCCCTGTCTTCTGTGCTACATTAATCTCAGATCACAGGTCCCAGCATGATTAAAACCTTGGGAGAGTAACACAGCTGAGTTACTATTCTGTTACTTGGGTGGATTTCCCAATGTAGGCATGCCAAACATGTGTGTGTTAGCTTGTTTCCACAGTAAGACTGAGGAAAGTGCCAAGGTACAACTCTGCCAATACAAGGACATGTTTAGAAATGGTGCTCATCTTAGGTGTAATCCTCTGAGCAATGCCGAGAGTTGGAAGCACAGGGTCCTTTAGTCCTTTGCTCTCTGACTAGATAGGACTGGAACATCAGCCAGACCCTCTCCATGAGGCACAAACCATTCACATCCCCACTTTTAAGATGAAGAAACTAAGTCACAGAAGCATGACATAACTTGCCTGAGATGCTGGGGCCACAGAAGGGCAAAATGAAGATGTCATTCTGTGTGACCACATCACTGATGCCAGCAGCCAATAGCCTTTTAATGGCCTACGATGAATAATGCTAGGGGAAGTGAGGAAACTGATATCGAATGAGCATCAGCTGTGAACCATGCTCTGTGCTAGGCTTTTTACAGCACAAGTGTTTAATCTTCATACAACTTTGTTTACAAATTATGCCAGGTTTAGACATCAGTCTAAAACCAGATTTAGATGTCAGTACTGTCTGATCACATAACCCATGTAATTTCTGTTTCTGTATCTACATTTTTCTGTCCCATCATTTCTGGTTTCATGGTGAAAGAGAAATAAGGAATGTTGGGTGCATGGCTGTGTAGCCTGGGTAGCTAGTAGACCCTGTTATGCTTGTTGTCACCAGGTGTGTGGCTTCATTAAACATTCTCTACTTGATAGAAATAATATGAGAGATAATATAATAACACAGGTTAGAGCAATTATTCAGTGTAAGGATGACTTTTAACAGCTAATATGTGCTGGGCACTAATTAAAGGCCTGAGATTGTTCTCAGCACTTAATAGATGTTAAATCTCATTTGATTCTCACAAACTCCCTTATGAGATAATTAATATTAACATACTCATTTTCTTGGACAAAGAGATGAAGGTCATACAGCTTTATGTAACAGAGCCAGAATCCAGTCCTAGGTCTGGCTATCTCCAAATTCTGTGTTCTGAACCTCAAGGATATACTGTCTCCCTAAGGAGGAAAAAACAGCGAGACTGGACAAGACTGCCCAGACACAAACACCAAGCTCCATGGAGCCATCACAGGGACCCTGTAAGGCTTTGGGTCTAAATTCCAGATGATCCATTAGGAGTTATTTCAATTGTCTCTTGTTATGTAAAAAACCACCCTAAAACATAGTGTCTTTTTTATTTATATAAATTTATGGGGGGTACAAATACAATTGGTTGCTTGCATAGATTGTGCAGTGGTTAAGTCAGGACTTTCAGGATATCCATCACCTGAATGACATACATTGTACCCAATTAGTGATTTCATAGTGTTTTAAAACTACAAGAGTTGTTATTTCTCATAATTCTGAGGGTTAGACATTTGATCAGGGTTTGGATTGGTGGTTCTTCTGTTCCACATAGTCTCAAGTGATGGGTTAAACTCTAGTCCTGTAGCAGGGCAGCACCAGGACAATTGATCAGATTTCAGAGAGCAGAGTGGCGACTCTAAACCAAGGATAAGCCAAGAGCCAAATATCAGGGGAGGAGGGGTAAGACTTAAAAATCCAAGTCAAGACAAAAAAAGCAGTATCACGAGTGAACTCAGAGTCAGACATGAAGTCAGGACAAGAGATAGTGCTTTGAGGAGCAACACATATATAGGATTCCTTGCCCTGGAGGCCACTGGAGGTCATGAGGAGCCAGACTGAGGATAAAGAGGTATTTCCAGATCCCTTAAGGCTCCTGCTTTTGCACAAAGTTTACTTGGAGTTAAGCATCTTTTGAAGATTCCTCTGACATCCTGGTGACTACACTGACCTCTCCTGTGCATCAGTAGAGGCAGTGGCCAAAGGCAGCAGTTCTGAAGCTAAAATGAAACCTGCTATTATTCCAATACCTGCTTCTTCACCTGTCCCTGTTTTTTTATGAGCTCTCCACTCCCAGGAACAACACACAGACAGAAGCCCATTTGTCACTGGGACAGTGCTGAATTATTCCTGCAGAGTTACATTCCTACAAAACTCTGCTCACTACTGTTATCTGGCTGTGTATCTCACTGCCCCGGCTATACTGCAGACTCCCTGTGGCAGGAATCAAACCTCATCCTTCATTGTATCTACCCCTGAGACGAGCACTGTGCGCAGTACTATACTTAATCAGAGGGTAAGGAATGTGTGTGTGTGTATATATATATATGTGTGTGTGTGTGTGTGTGTGTGTATACATATATATATGCACATATTTCACTTCTTCCTTTTTGAATTTTAGGCTTCCAGGCAACAGATGATAAAAAGGATAGCAGTTGTTTTTATTCTATAAGGCTCAGGGCCTCAATCAAACACTATTCCTTCCTGAAAAATTTGCTTTCTCAATAATGATAATGAATAGCTAATATTTAATGAGCATGTGTTATATGCCAGGAATTCTGTGAAGCACATCGTACATACCATTTCATTTAACTCTCACAATAATTCTATGACTAGGTTACATCTATTTCACATATAAGGAAACTGAGAGTCCAATAAATTAACTGGACTGTGATATACAGTTCATAACTGGTAGCCAGGTCCAGCTGATTTCAAAGTCCGTACTTTCCTATAGTGCCTAAAACCTCTTGAGGTTTTGCAGAAAATTCCATAACAAGTCTACATTTCTACTGTCTTCAAAAAAACCCAAAGTGCTGCTCTCATATTTTCCACTGGGGCCCAGCTTTCTATTAATCCCAGAGAGTCCTGACTCCCACCAGTAATTTTCACTTTCTACACAACACCTGAAGAACAACTTGGAACAGGAAAAAAAGAAATGGGCTAGAAGAAACAAAAAGAATTAGAAAATGAAAGGAGGGCCCCCAGTGCTACTGCCTTGGCCCTACCCCTCTGGCCACCGAAGAGCCTGAATTCCCTAAACCACTTACCTCCTTCTCAGCTCCTTCCTGAGTCCTATCTTAATGCCAGCAAGGAGTTTTCTTTGTGAGTCACAACGAGAAAGGAGGCCACTTCTTTAAACAAGGTTTCAAGAGTGGGCAATCAGTGATTTATTGATTGAATTAAAAATTCGGGACTAGGGCTGGGAGCTGTGGCTCCTGCCTGTAGTTTCAGTACTTTGGAGGCAGAGACTAATGGATAGCTTGAGGCGAAGAATTCGAGACCAGCCTGGGCTACATGGCAAAACCCTATCTCTACAAAACAATACAAAAAAAAAAATTAGCCAGGCACACTGGCGCACAATTGTGGTGCCAGCTATTCTGGAGGTAGAAGTGGTAGGATCATGCCGGGCACGGTGGCTCATGCCTGTAATAGCAGCACTTTGGGAGGCCAAGGCAGGTGGATCACTTGAGGTCAGGAGTTCAAGACCAGCCTGGCCAACATGGTGAAACCTGGCCTCTACCAAACAATACAAAAATTAGCTGGGTGTGGTGTCTGTTCCCTGTAGTTCCAGCTACTTGGGAGGCTGAGGTGGGAGAATCGCTTGAACCCAGGAGGTGGAGGTTGCAGTGTCGCCATTGTACTCCACCCAGGGCGACAGTATGAGACCCTGTCTCAAAAAAAAGAAGAAGAAGTAGTGGGAGGATCACTTGAGGCTGGGGAGATGGAGTCTGCAGTGAGCCGAGTTTAGACCACTGCCCTCCAACTTGGGTAACAGAGCAAGACTCTGTTTCAAAAAAAAAAAAAAAAAAAATAGGGGCTCGGAGAAGAAATGATGTTGCTTGAAGTATCCAACTTGAACATTGTCCCCAAAATCAGAAAGAGATTTGTCCCAGAACCTCAATTTTTCCTTGTGCAAAATGAGGAAGTTAGAAAAGCTGATCTATGTAGGATGCCTTTTCAGACTGACATTGACATACTATATGAACCCTCTTAGGAGTATCAGTGACCCTATATACTGATGAGCTAAACTACATTCATAAAGGCAACTCTAATCATCACCATTAGAGAAATAAAGATGGCCCAAAAAGGAAACAAAATGCCCTCAGGAAAAAAAAAAATGGGATGTAAAATGCCCTCAAGTAACCCTGGGGAAAGAGTAGATTGACAGCTGGTAGCTCTTCAAAACACCACCAGAAAACCTATTGACCAGCAAAAGCTACATTGATTAGACCTACTGTAGAAAGAAAAAATATCACCTGGATGAAATCCCAGTATTTTCTCAAAAGTCCTATATTTATAGGACTTGGGGGTCTTGACTCAAGTGATACAAGGTCACTCTTTCAAGGTAGGTAACAGGATTGGACAAAGTTTGTGACATTATAGTTTAGGATTGACAGGCACAGGAAGGGAAGTGCCTGGAAGCAAATATTAATAAAAAACCATTGTTTGTTGAGCAAATTGTTTGTCCAGATGAGTAATCTATTGTCCTGATAGGAGAGCTGTTGGCCCAGAGGAGTAAACTATTTGTTCGTATAAATTGTTCAGATAAAAGCCAACAGTGATTTATTGGTTTACAGCCATATCTTCCCAGGCCTTAATTTCCTGTAACAATTAGTTAAGTCATATTGCCACAGTAAGTCTCAGTTATCAGTCCCAATAGTTAAGGTATGTGGACATAGATGACCTCAATTCTCAAGTTCATTTTATCATTTCTAAAAACCACTATACTGTTCCTATGGAAACAAACTTCTGTTCCTCTCACTAGTGACACTCTGCCTGGTTATAATCCTGAATATTTCTACAACTCTGTCCCACAGAGTGAGCAACAGGGAAATCATTTCAGCTGGAGAAGAGTTCACTGCCATAGATAGAGAACCTATCCATGCCCCGAATGGTTCAGGAATAATCAGTGCTATGGTCTGAATGTGTCCCCCAAAAAGCATGTGTTGGAAATTGAATCCGCAATGCAACAATGTCGGGAGGAGGGGACTAACAGGAGGTGTTTATGTTCCACCCTCATGAATGAATTAATACCAGTTATGAAAGGGTTAGAGGCCATGAGTTTGATCTCTTGCTCTCCCTCCTGCTCTCTCTCACCACATGTCATGACTCAGCAAGAGGGTCCTCACTTGATGTGGTCCCCTGGACCTTGGACTTCCCAACCTCCAGAAATGTGAAAAATAAATTTCTTTCCTTTATAAATGTCCAAAGGTTGATATTCTGTTTAACAATGCAAAATGGACTAAGACGGTCAGTATCCCCCAAAAATGATACAAAACATCCAGTAGAACTGAGAACAGTAATAAACTACTATGGTAATGTCAAGAAATTTTAGGATTTTTTTAAATTTAGTCAAGACCAGGTCTGCAGCCCCAGATTTCACTGGCTGTGTATAACTTTTGACAAGCACCTTCCCCTCTCTGGGCCTCTTTTCCCACTCCCAGACATTTTGAGCTAGATGTTCCTCAAGAGTTATTCCAACTCCAGCTTTCTGGGTTATTTGACTTCACCCCACCAATGTAAATCTAGCCCTTATCAAAAAGATGCAAAGATGCCAGGCACGGAGGCTCATGCCTGTAATCCCAGCATTTTGGGAGACTGAGGCAGGTGGATCACCTGAGGTCAGGAGTTCGAGACCAGCCCGACCAATATAGTGAAACCCCATCTCTACTAAAAATACAAAAATCAGCTGGGTGTGGTGGCATGCACCTGTAGTCCCAGCTACTCAGGAGGCTGAGACAGGAAAATCACTTGAACCCAGGAGGCAGAGGTTGCAGTGAGCCGAGATCATGCCACTGCACTCCAGCCTGGGTGACAGAGCGAGACTGTCTCAAACAAACAAAAAAAAAATTGCAAAGACAATAAAGGACATCCATTTGGCTGCTGATGTAGCCTTTAGATGGGTTTTCCTTTTTCCTTCAAGAGCCTGTCATCTAAGATCATGGACCCACACTACTCAGAATAGAATGATCACAATGCCATACACAAGCAAGCTCTAAAAGCTCATAGCATATTGTCTTTCCCGTCTACCACAAATGCACTGCCCTTTGGTTCTGCATCTTTCTATTTCCTAGAGGATCCTGCCAGTAAAATGTTGATGGTAAAACATCAACATTTCACTTCCAAGTGAGCTTTTCATGAAAGATTTGCTGGCCAGTATACCCAAGGGAAAAGAAAATAACTACCCCCTAATGACAGACAGGTGTGTTGACTGCCTATGCTTGCTTACTAACGATTAAGTTTGTTTGGAAGAACTTGTAAGCTGGGAAGATTGTGATCCAAGACTTTCATGGCAACATAACAACTATCTATCGGGTTTGCAAGAATGGGTTCATATAGGACCTGCCACTAACAACTAGAACCTTCTCATATTTAAAAACAAAATGACTGCCATAGGTCAATTAGCTAGATGCAGACTCAGTAAGTGCAAGGAAGCTGTTCCACAGGGGAGACAGGAAGGACTCTAACTGACAGGCATAGACAATCTGATAGTCACGATAGAGCTGGTGTCATAATTTAAAAAAGAAGTTTGTCTTTGAAGAATACTTCAGGCAACGGAGGCCGCTGTATTAAAAAACAACACCCAAATCTCATTGCCTTGCAGTAGCAAAAAAGTTTATTTCTTGCTCATGTTAATGTCCATCCATAAGTCAGTGATGAACTTTCTGCTTTTCACTCCAAGACTCAAAAGGATGTAAGAGAATACCTATGCCTTGGACTTCACTGGTGTCAAAGCAGAAGGGAAAGAAGGGAAGTGGGGAACCAGAGGTTGGCTCCTAAGGCTTCAATACTCAGAAGTGGCACAAATTACTTCCATTCATACTCCCTGAGCCAAACCCAATCATGTGGCCAAGCTTAATTTAAATGAAGAAAGAGACTGTATAACCCTTCTTATCCAAGAGCTGCAGGGAGGAACATTGACTCTTAGGCATCATCATAAACTCTACCACAAAAAGGCTGAAAGGTTGTTGCATGTTCATGAGAAGACAATTGACACAATGAAGGGGCCAATTTTTTTGGGAACCAGACAACTTGTACAGGTTGGAATGCAGTGAGGAAGGTCGGAGGACACAGCACTGCTTTACCTCTCCAGGTGAGATTCCGCGGGTCTTTCCCAAGTGAATACCTCTTACCTGCAGGAAACATGGGCAATCCAGTCCCTCTTCTGTTGAGACTTCCTCCCAGATCAGTAGTGTAGGGACTGCATCTCTTTTACACAAACAAGTTATTTGCCTAACAAGGCCCTTTTCTTTGCCTGGTGATTTTCCCTAGGGCTGTGAACACCCAAAGTGCCAGGATCCCAAGGAGAGAACAGTCTCTTCCTACCTACCTGGGAAAAGCAGTCTGTCTACATCATGTTCTCACTGGACTTGGCACTCCAGGCCCCATACCTCCTCTCAGGAGGTGTCTATCAGAGAGCTATCCATAACAGTGAAAAGTTGGAAATACCTTATTGTCAATCGATGGGGACCAGTTAAGTAAATAATGATACACATACAACAATAAAATAATATGCATCCATTAAATATGATGATGTAGGCTACTATTTATTGATATGGGAAAATGTTCATGACATCTTGCTGAGTGAGAAGGTCAATGGCAGAATAGCTTGTATAGTATGAATCTGTGTATGGAAAATTACAGTCATGAACACACTGAGATATTTATGTCTAAAGTAACAATAATCGACTCCCATTATCTGTGGTGGTGGGATTTCAGGTGACATTTTACTTCCTTTTTGGTTCTCTTCCATCTTCTTTAATTTTTTTTTTACAACTAGCATGTGTTACTTTTACAAAGACAATAGAGCTATTTGGAGAGGATGGGAAATGATTTTTTTGAGATGGAGAGATGCGTTTTCAATATTGTTAAGTGAATGAAGCAATTATGGTATAATCATGTGTGTGTGTGTGTGTGTGTGTGTGTGTGTGTGTATACACACAGATATCTCCAAAAAAATACTACCAAGCACGTTTCCCAGGGACATTCAGATGATCAAAGAAAATAACATTTGAGAGCTCCACACCTATGTGTTCAAATACACACAAGTATTGATGATTGACATCACCAGCATTTTCAATCACTTTCTGCGAGACCTGGAGATTATGTTGACATGTGTCCCTGTGTACCACTTGGTCTGCAGAGCCTTTTGAGGTTCATTAAACTGAAAATAGAAGCCCATAAGGGATGGACACTATAAGTGAAGAACATCTAGCCTCATATTTGGTGGAGAATCCCTGCTCCTCAGGGGTTCCCAGACACCCTCACCAAGCAAGATCTCTCTGCCATTCCTTGGAGAAAACTTGCAGTGCTGGGTCAGCCTCTGAGAGATCTCATCAAAAATTCCCACTGGCACATTCCCGCAGGCACATTCCTCAACTCTGAGAGTCAGAATTAAAGCCAGTTGAATCTTAAGACAGGAGTCTTCCCAGCAAAAAGTACTCTCAAAGCTTTGTTACTTACAACTGGCTGAAAAGTGCTCCTGAGAAAGCTGGCCAGAAGCAACAGATGAAAAAAGGAGAGAAAGAACACACAGCCACCACCCCCGTCAAGAGGTCTCCAACACAAAGCTCATGGGTGGATGGTCTCTGTTCAACCACAGGTAAGTGGGCTGGGGGTGGGATCCTATCACTAATAAGAGCTCAGACTCCTTTATCCTCCTTCCTCACAAGTCAGGCCCAAAGTTCCTCAAAATTCCCAGGCAAATGGGAAAAAAAAAAAAAAAATCAGAGCTTAGAACCGAGAAGCAGCATGAAGTAAATAGGAAATTAATTTCCTTGGGAATCTGTCCTGGGGCCTCTTGTATTTCACAGCTCACGCTCTCCCTGGCACATCTTAATCTCTCTTAGCTTCAACTGCCAGTTCTATTGTATATATCCGAGACCTCAGAATCCAACCTGAGTCTGCTCTCCTCCTCACACTGACATCTTCAGTCCATCACCAAATCCAAACATCTCTCAGATTCATTTATCCCTAGCTATATCCCACACTCTAGTTTAAGCTGTAACTCCCACCTGGATGACTTCAATATCCTCTCAACAATCTTGCCCATCCATTGACCCTCCTCCAATCATTTCTCTACAACTGCATTCAGAGTGATCTTGTCAAAAAGCAAATATGACCATGTCACCTTCCTGGTGAAAATTATGTAATGGTATCCCATTAAAAAAAAATTTTTTTTTGAGACAGAATCTCGCTCTGTTGCCCAGGCTGGAGTGCAATGGTGCAATATCAGCTCACTGCAACCTCTGCCTCCCGGGTTCAAGCAATTATCCTGCCTCAGCCTCCCAAGTAGCTAGGATTACAGGTGCCCTCCATTACGCCCAGCTAATTTTTTATTTTTAGTAGAGATGGGTTTTTGCCATGTTGGCCAGGCTGGTCTCGAACTCCTGACCTCAGGTGATCTGCCCACCTCAGCCTCCCAAAGTGCTGGGATTAAAGGTGTGAGCCACTGTGCCGGCCCAAAAAAAACAAATTCTTTAACATGGTCTAGGGGACTAGATAAAAGTTTGGACTCTAGAACCTGACCACCTTAATTCAATCCCCAGCTCTGCCTCTTATTAGCTGTGTCTTTGGGCAAGTTACTTGGCTTCCTTTTGTCTTGACTTCCTCTAATCAACATGGAGATATCAATAGTACCTCCCATAAGATGGTAGAGAGGATTAAATGGGCTGGGCGCAGTGGCTCAGGCTCACTATTTGCCATGCTGTGTTCTAGGCACTGGGGATATAGTGACATAAAATTGAGAAGATTCCTGGCTGGGTGTGATGGCTCATGCCTGTAATCCCAGCACTTTGGGAGTCCAAGGTGGGCCAATCACTGGAGGCCAGGAGTTTGAGACCAGCCTGGCCAACATGGCAAAATCCCGTCTCTACCAAAAATACAAAAACCAGCTGAGCGTGGTGGCACATGACAGTAGTCTCAACTACTCACGAAGCTGAGGCAGGAGAATCGTTTGAACTGGGGAGGCAGAGGCTGCAGTGAGCCAAGATCGCACCACTGCACTCCAGCCTGGGCGACAGAGCAAGATTCCATCTCAAAAAAAAAGGATAAAATGAAGTTAAAGGTATTTGGAAACAATGCCTGACACAAAATAAACACTCAATAAATGTTACAAAACACTGCCACCGGCTTGCGAGGTTCAGCCACACCACACCTCCTCTCTCTTTGTCCTGTATCTACACTGGTCTTTATTCAGCTCCTCTTCCTCACCAACAACCCTCAGACCTCAAGGTCTTTGTGTACACCATTCCCACTCTTCCTTCCTCTGGAAATGTCTTCTTAGGGAAACCCTTCTTGACCTCCCAGAGCCAAATCCCCCAGTTTTAGGCTCATAACATTGGGCACCTCTACTTCAGAGCTACTGTCCCAGTTGCAGTTTTTCAATAATGTGTATGATTGTTTCATTCATGTTTATCCCCCCACCTAAACTATAAACTCTGCAAAAGTAGGCACCATGTTTTTTCCTTGTGATTGTATCCTCACCTCCTACACAGTGCCCAGCACACAGTAGATACACAATAAACATATTTTGAATGACTGAATACATGCCTTCACATCTCCATCTCCTATAGGAAACTCCCTCCTAAGCTTCAGAACAGTACACCCACCAGTCTCCTGAACTTCTGTATTAGACGGTCCCAGACTCACCGCATCCTTCCTCAAATCTGTTACTGTTAGAGTAAATGACGCCACTATTCATCCATTTACCTAAATTAGGAATCAGGAAATCATCTCTGACCCTCTTGTGGGCCACACATCCAATCAATGAGCAGGTACTAATAAACCCATCTTCTAAATACTTCCTTAATCTTTCTATTCTTAAACTCTCTGAAGGCAAATATCTTGTCTACCTTAATTACCATTGTGTCTCCAGTACTATAATAGGACTTAACTATTTGTGAATAAATAAAATAACACTGCCCTAGCTAAGGCCAGTATGATCCTTTGCCTAATGTATCTCCCTGGCTTCTCTCTAATTCGTTTTTACATCTGAGTCTGACCATGTCACCATCCTGCTTAAAACCTTTTAACTGCTCCCCACTTACGGGACTCTGCCTTCAAAGCCAGTCCTCCAGAGGCAAGACAGTATTTTCTCATGGTCAACAATGACCAGGACTGGTTAACAAATGTCTATTTTTAAAAAGGAAGGAATAAAATGTGCCCAGACTACTCTGGTGGTCCAAAAACATCAGTTTCTTCTCCCATTCCCTAAAGCTCTTCCTATCAAAAGGAAAACGAATTATTAAAACAGCTGAGACTACAAACTACTAAGCACTGTGCTTTACAGACAAATATCAAGGAATACAAGTTGTAACCCAAACCAGTGAGTTCCTTAGTGTCCTCAAGAAAAGAGCAGAGCTATCAGAGATAGAACTGGAACCCATCCGTGGTTCTGTAATAGATCCGTGGGGACAGGAGATCTTCAGAAATTCTCAGAGATTCTCCCATCTTCAGATGGCCTCCACTTTCATAAACCTCCCCTCTTCTGACCTTGATAAGCCTCCTCTCTCCTGTCATGTCAGAACACTTCAACATTCAGCCCAAGTGCATTCTCATTGTCATTGCAGCCCCTCCTCAAAGTCTCAGCAGGAGAACTGGAGGAAGCTATTCTCCTGCTCTTTCAATCAGGAATTATTACTGTGAATCCAGAGTTCTCCAAGGCTTTATCACATATCACACCCCAGTGTTACAGCCCACTCATTCCTTAACGATATCAGTTTGCTAGAGATGTGTGAACCCAGCTCATGGACCCATTGAAGAGATAAGCTAGGCAAATTGTCCCTGCCAACTTCCTTCATGTTTTCTCTCTGCTGAGGTCTTTAAGGACCACAATAAACAGCATCTCTCTTTCCTATGCAAATTCTCAACGAATTAAGAGATAAGGTATAGAAGCAAGGCAGATAGGGGGCAAAATATTACCTGCATCGCTGACAAAACTTTTTATTGCAAAACATGATTCATACCTGTAGGTGAGTGGTCTTAAAACTGAACCCCAGAATTAGACAAATTTAATGACCAATTTTAAGATCTACATTACAGAGGAGCAGAACAGAGCAGAACCTATGCTTCCAAGGAGCAAAGAAGAAGGCAGAGCAGAACTATACAAACCCAATCTCTTATATGAAACTCACTGATCACATGAGGCACTCACCCTCCAGGAGAGGGGGGTAAGAATATTATACAATAGCTCTCCTTCCATATGGAGGGAAACATCATGAATAAAGAAGCATCCTCTCTGGCGCTCTCCGCAGCTAAAATCTGCTCAAATTGTTTACATTTCAAAAGGCCTGAAGTTGTCAATAAGATGCTGATAGCACAAAACCACGTTACAGGCTTTGATTAGAGGCCACCTATTTCTAGCTACCCCAGGTTGCTCTAAATGAGGCTCTGCCTTATTCCTTCTTTATTCCCAGCCATTTGACAACCAGTATACCATGGGCACCAAATAATCAGAACAGACACCCAGGCAATCAGAGCAGACACTTACCATTATGCTCTACAGGACCTTACTCATGATTATTTGAAAACCTAGATGATGAGGATCCCAACAAGCAAATTTGTGGGAGCATGAGAACACTGGAGAGAAGTTTCACTGGCATGGAATTTAAGAGGGTATGCCCTTTGACCTTTGCTCCCTGCCTAGAGATCTCCATCACCCATTCTGCCATAAGAACTGTGTCCTTCATACACTCGTATGTTCATCGTACCACTATTCACAGTAGCAAAGATAGATAACCAGCCTATGCCCATCAGCGGTGGACTGGATAAACAAAATGCAGTTATATATACACCAAGGAATACTACACAGCCATAAAAAGGAACAAAATCATGTCCTTTGCAGCAACGTGGTTACAGCTGGAGGCCATAATCCTAAGCAGGCACAGAAAACTTAACACTGCGTGTTCTCACTTACAAGGGGGAGCTAAACACTGAATATATTTGGTCACAAAGATAGGAACAACAGACACTGGGGACTACTTGATGGAGGAGGTTGGGAGGGGGACATGAATTGCAAAACTACCTATTGGGTACTGTGCTCACTACCTGGGTGACGGGATCATTTGTACACCAAACCCCAGTGACATGCAATTTACCCATGTAACAAACCTGCACATGTACCCTCTGAAATAAAATAAAAGTCGAGAGAAAAAAAGAAAGAACTGTCCTTCACTAGACGCCAAAGCCACCAATCTGGCATGTTCTACTGCCTTCAGTTCTTCTTGGCTAAAACAAAAGCACTTGGTCCTTTGACATGGTTTTGTCCAGCTGGAATTCCACATTTGCTGTAGCTACCTATTCTCACAGTCAGATATTTTTCTTAGTAATGAACAATAACACAGACTTTGTTTTCTTTTTTTTTAATTGATACATAATGTTTTACATATTTATGGGGTACATGTGAGTATTTTTTACATACATAGAATGTGTATTGCTCAAGTTAAAGTATTTGAGTTATCCATCACCTTGAGTATTTATCATTTCTATGTGTTGGTAACATTTCAAGTCCTCTCTTCTAGCTATTTTGAAATATACAATATGTTGTTGCTAACCATAGTCACATTACTCTGCTATCAAACATTAGAACTTATTTCTTCTATCCACCTGTAAATATGTACGCATTCACCAACCTGTCTTCATTTCTCTTTCCCACCCTCACATTCTTCCCTGCCTGGGGTAACCATCAGTCTATTCTCTATCTTCATGACATCAAGTTTCTTAGCTCCCACATCTGAGTGAAAATGTGTGGTATTTGTTTTTCTGTGCCTGCATTGTTTCACTTAACATGATGACCTCCAGTTTCATCCATGTTTCTGCAAGTGATATAATTTGATTTTTATGGCCAAATAGCATTCCATTACATATATGTACCACATTTTCTTTATCCATTTGTCCATTATGGGATACTTACGTTCATTCCATATCTGTGCTATTGTGAATAGTGCTGTAATAAACATATGAGTGGAGGTATGCCTTTAATTACTCTGATTTCTCTTCTTTTGGATAGATACACAGCGGTGGGATTGCTGGATCATATGGTACTTCTATTTTTAGATTTTTGAGAAATCTTCAGTATTTCAACCAACAGCATATGAGTTCCCTTTTTTCCGTATCCTCACCAGCATCTGTTATTTTTTGTCTTTTTAATAATAGCCATTCTTGGCTGGGTGCAGTGGCTCATGCCTATAATTCTAGCACTTTGGGAGGCCTAGGTGGGCTGATGGCTTGAGGCCAGGAGTTCAAGACTAGCCTGGCCAACATGATGAAACCCTGTCTCTACTGAAAATACAAAAATTAGTGGGGTGTGGTGGCACCTGTCTGTAATCCCAGCTACTCAGGAGGCTGAGGCATGAGAACTGCTTGAGCCCAGGAGGTGGAGGTTACAGTGAGCAGAGATTGCGCCACTGCACTCCAGCCTGGGCAATAGAGTGAGACCCTGTCTCAAAAAAATAATAATAGTAATAGCCATTCTAAATGGGGTAAAATGACATCTCATTGTGGTTTTGATTTGCATTTCCATGATGAATAGTGATGCTCATCACTAATTATCAGGGAAATGCAAATCAAAACCACAATGTGATACCACCTTACTCCTGCAAGGATAGCCATAATCAAAAAACTAAAAATAATAGATGTTGGCATGGATGTGGTGGAAAGGGAACACTTTTACACTGTTGGTGGGAAACTAGTACAACCACTATGGAAAACAGTGTGGAGATTACTTAAAGAACTAAAAGTAGATCTACCATTTGATCCAGCAATCTCACTCCTGGGTATTTACCCAGAGAAAAAGAAGTCATTACACGAAAAAGATACTTGCACACTCATGTTTATAGCAGCACAATTCGCAGTTGCAAAAATATGGAATCAGCCCAAATGCCCATCAATCAATGAGTGGATAAAGAAAATGTAGTATACACACACACACACACACACACACACACACACACACCATGGAATACCACACAGCCATAAAAAGGAATGAAACAGTAGCATTTGCAGCAACGTGGATGGAATTGCAGACCATTATTCTAAGTGAGGTAACTTAGGAATGAAAAACCAAACATCATATGATCAAACTCCTGAGTTCTCACTCACAAGTGGGAGCTATGAGGACTCAAAGGCATAAGAATGATACGATGGACCTTGGGGATTCAGGGCAACAGGTGGAAGGAGGGTGAGGGATAAAAAGTCTTTTATATATAATTTGAATCAAGTAGTGTGATGCCTCTAGCTTTGTACTTTGTGCTAAGAATTGCTTTGGCTATTTGGGCTCCTTTTTAGTTCTGTGTCAATTTTAGGATTGTATTTTCTATCTCTGTGAAAAACGACATTGGTATTTTTATAGAGATTGCATTAAATTTGTATATTGCTTTGGTCAATATATTCATTTTAACTACATTAATTCTTCCAGTCCATGAGCATGGATGGCTTTCCATTTTCTTGCGTCGTCTTCAATTTCTTCCCCCCAGTGTTTTGTAGTTTTTCTTGTAGAGATCTTTACCTCCTTGGTTAAACTGATTCCTAGGTATTTTGGCTGCAATGCAGTGGCACAATCATAGTTCACCGCAATCTCAAACTACTGGGCTCAAGCAATCCTCCCACCTCAGCCTCCCAAGTAGCTGAGACTATAGGTGCACGCCACCACATCCAGCTAATTTTTTTTATTTTTTGTAAAGATGGGCTCTTGCTATTGCCAAGGCCGGTCTTGAACTCCCAACTTCAAGCAATCCTCCTGCCTCAACCTCCCAAAGTACTAGGATTACAGTCATGAGCCACCACATCTGGCTTATTTCATCTTTTGTACTATTATAAATGGGACTGCCTTCTTGATTTCCTTTTCAGCTATTTCATTGTTGGAGTATAGAAACACTACTGATTTTTGTATGTTGACTTTGTATCCTGCAATTTTACTAAATGTGCTTATCACCTCTAGGAGTTTTGTGGTGGAGTCTTTTGCTTTTTCTAAATATAAGAAATGTAATCCGCAAAGAGGGACATTTTGACTTCCTCCTTTCCAATTTGGATTTGTTTGTTTGTTTTTACCTGATTGCTCTGAATAGGACTTCTAGTCCTATGTTGAATAGAGTGGTGAATGTGAGCATCCTTTCTTGTTAGTTCTTAGAGGAAGGGCTTTCAACTTTTCCCCATTCTGTATGATGTTAGCTGTGGGTTTGTCATATATAGCCTTTATTATTTTCCTCTATGCCTAGTTTGTTGAAAGTTTTTATCTTGAAGGGACATTGAACTTTATCAAATGTTTGTTCTGGCCAGGCACAGTGGCTCATGCCTGTAATCCCAGGCCTTTGAGAGGCTGAGGCAAGAGGACTGCTTGAGGCTAGGAGTTCAAGGCCAGCCTGGGCAACATAGAAAGACCCCCATCTCTATTTTCTTTTAATATTTTTATAATAAAAATTTTTTTTAAATTAATGCTTTTTCATCTGGGCGTGGTGGCTCATGCCGGTAATCTCAGCACTTAGGGAGGCTGAGGCAGGCGGATCACGAGGTCAGGAGTTCGAGACCAGTCTAACCAATATGGTGAAAACCTGTCTCTACTAAAAATTAGCTGGGTGTAGTGGCGCGCGCCTGTAGTCCCAGCTACTTGGGAGACTGAGGCAGGAGAATCACTTGAATCCAGGAAGCAGAGGTTGCAGTGAGCCATGATTGAGCCACTGCACTCCAGCCTCGGTGACAGACCAAGACTCTGTCTCCAAAAATAATAATAATAATAATAATAATGCTTTTTCTGTGTCTGTTGAGATAATCATATGGTTTTTGTCCTTCATTCTGTTCGTGTGATATATCACATTTATTGATTTGTATAGGTTAAACCACATCACTGTTTCCCTGGTATAAATCCTACTTGTAAATGGCATATTATCTTTTATCCAGCCTCAGCTTTTCTTTGTTGGGAAACTTCTGTTTGTCTATTTGTCAGTTTGTTTGTTTTTGAGACAGGGTCTCCCTCTGTTGCCCAGGCTGGAGTTCAGTCATGCCTTCATGGCTAACTGCAACCTCAACCTCCTGAGCTCAAGCAATCTTCCCACCTCAGCCTCCCAAGTAGCAGGGACTACAGGTGTATATCACTATGCTTGGCTAATTTTTTTGATTTTTTTTTGTGGAGACAAAGTTTCACTCTGTTTCCCAGGCTGGTCTCATACTCCTGGTCTCAGATGATCCTCCTGTCTCAGCCTTCCAAAATGCTGGGATTACAGGCATGAGCCACTGCACCTGGCCAGGAAATTTCTTCATTACTGTTTCAACCTCATTACTTGTTATTGGTGTTCAGGTTTTATATTTCTTCCTGATTCAATATTGATAGGTTGAATGTTGCCAGGGATTTATCCATTTTCTCCAGGTTTTCCTATTTGGTTAGAGAATAGTTACTCATAATAGTCTCTGGTGATGTTTTGTATTTCTGTGGTATCAGTTGTAATGTTTCCTTTTTCATTTCTGATTTTGTTTATGTAGGTCCTCCCTCTTCTTTTCTTAGTTAATCTAGCTAGCAGTTTATCAATTTTGTTTATCTGCTCCAAGTACCAACTTTTTGGTTTTTTAAATTATACTTTAAGTTCTAGGGTACATGTTCACAACGTGCAGGTTTGTTACATATCTATACATGTGCCATGTTGGTGTGCTGCACCCATTAACTCATCATTTACATTAGGTATGTCTCCTAATGCTACCCCTCCCCACTCCCCCCACCCCACAACAGGCCCCAGTATGTGATGTTCCCCTTCCTGTGTCCAAGTGTAAGTACCAACTTTTTGTTTCATTGATCATTTGTTTTGTATTTTGTTGTTGGTGTTTTTTTTGTTTGTTTTTTGTTTTTTGTTTTAGTCTCTATTTTGTTTAGTTCTGCTCTAATCTTTATTATTCATTTCCGTCTGCTAATTTTGGGCTTGGATTTTTTTTCTTGCTTTTCTAGTTCCTAAGATGTATCATTAGATTGTCTGTTTGAAATTTTTTTACTTTTTTGATGCAGGTGTTTATTACTATAAACTTCTCCCTTAGTTTCATTCTTCTGCATGTGAGTATTCAGTTTTCCCAGCAGCATTTATTGAAGAGACTATTCTTTCCCCAATTTAACTTCTTGGCACTTTTGTTAAAAACGAGTTCACTCTAGATGTATGGATTTATTTCTGGGTTCTCTATTCTGTTCCATTGGTCTATGTGTCTGGTTTTATGCCAGTACTATGCTGTTTTGGTTACTATAACTCTATAGCATAATTTGAAGTTCAGTAATGTGATTTCTCCAGTTTTGTTTTTTTTGCTCAGGATAGCTTTGGCTATTCTGGGTCTTTTGTGCTTCCACAAAAATTTTAGAATTATTTTTTCTATTTCTGTGAAGAATATCATTGGTATTTTGATAGGGATTGCATTGAATCTTTAGATTGCTTTGGGTAGTATGGACACTTTAACAATATTGGTTATTCCAATGCATGAACATGAAATCTATTTTTTTGTGTCCTTTTCCATTTCTTTCTCCAGTGTTTTATAGTTTTTGTTGTAGAGATATTTCACTTCTTTGATTAATTCCTAGATATTTAATTTCATTTGTAGCTACTATAAATGGGATTACTTTCTTGATTTCTTTTTCAGATTGTTTGCTGTTAGAATATAGAAATTCTACTGATTTTTACATGTTGATTTGTATTCTGCAACTCTACTGAATTTGATTATCCATTATAATAGGTTTTTGGTGGAGTCTTTAGGTTTTTCCAAATATAAGATCATATCATCTGCATACAGGGATAATTTGACTTCTTCCTTTCCAATTTGGATGCCCTTTTATTTCTTTCTCTTCTCTGATTGCTCTAGCTAAGACTTAAAATACTATGTTGAATAACAGTGGTGAAAGTGGGCATCTTTGTGGTGTTCCAGATCTTAGGGGAAAGGCTTTCAGTTTTTCCATATTCAGTATGACGCTAGCTATGTGTCTGTCTCATATGTCTTTTATTAGGTTGAGGTATGTTTCTTCTATATCAAGTTTCTTTAGAGTTTTTATTATGAAGGGATGTTGAATTTTATCAAATGCTTTTTCAGCATCAATTGAAATGATCCTATGATTTTTGTCCTTCATTCTGTTGATATGATGTATCACATTGATTGATTTGCATATGTTGAAGCATCCTCGTATAGTCTCTCTATTGTTTATTTGGCTATAAACAGCATCAGTAGTATCTGTGATTTCCTTGGTGGCATAGGTTACAGTTATTAGTTGAGGCTGTGATGGAGAGTGGGACTGTCAAGTAGATCAGAGTTTGGGTTCCAGTGGTGGCGGCAGTGTGCTGAGTATGTCTGTCCTTGGGCTGCATGACAGTATATGACTGGCACACAAGGTAGGTCAGAGTTTGGGCCCCAGTGGTGGCAGCAGTGGGCTGAGCATGTCTGTCCTTGGGCCGCAGGACAGCGTATGCTGTCTCCAATGTCAGTGGGTCCAAGAGGGCCAATCCTTGGGCACCCAGCTGACTTATTGGGGTAGTAGCAGCAGTGGTCTGGGGTAGTAGCAGCAGCAGGCTGGGCAAGTGGACGGGTTCTTGGGCCCCTGGGCAGCCATTGTGACATGCGTAATGACAACTGCAGTGGCAAGACAACCCTCTGGTCCCAAGTGGTCTGTACTGGTGTTGGTGGTGGCTGCAATAGGCTGCATAGGCCAGTCCCCAGGCCTTCAGGTGATGCGTGCCAGCTATGGTGATAGCAGCTGAGTGGTTAGGCCCAAACTCCGGCCCTCAGGAGAGTTCAGGTGCCAGTGGTGGTAGCCTAGGCTGGGCAATTTACTGGCCCCCAGATTGTGTGCTCTGGCACAAGAGGTAGAGGCTAAGCCAGGCCAGACAGACTTGTCCTTAAGCCCCCAGTGGTGAATGCAGGCAAAGTTGTGGTAGGAAGGAGCAGGGCAATCTTTAGGCCACTGGCAGAATGCTCAAGTGGGCAGCGGCCACACTGCTGCTCTGCCACTGGAGTGGGAATGCTGCCTTCAGTGGTGGGCAGCCTAGGCTGGCAGGTGGGGAACACATGTGCCACTTGCACCTCAATCCCTGCTGCAGTAAATGGTACCTTGCTCATTCCTCAGCCCCAACAGCGGTACTCAACGCTTTGGTTGCACTTCAGCCCCGGGTGTGGGTAGCTTTCTCTCCTAAGCCTCCAGGGCCACCTCAGGCCCCTGGACTCCAGGACAGTGTGCAATCTATTGGGGGCAGTGCTCTAAAATGGCAACTTGCTGGAGCTGCTTAGGTTTCAGAAAGTGTGTGGGACCCAGTGCAAGCTCCCTCCCTTAGGTACTGCCATCACACAATCTCCCCAGCAGCTCCCTATGTTAGTTTCAGGGCCTTGTGAGGGTCAAGGGCTTTCCCGCAGCTAGGATTTCAGGAGTCCTCAGTGGGAATGTGGACTACTAGGGTCTCTCATTTACCCTTTTCCTGTAGTGGGAACCTCTCTCAGCTCCCAGCCAATCTTACCAAACAGGGATCTCAGGATTCCTTCTTTGCTTGAGGTATTTCCTATCACTTTTCTGTTGAATTCCAGTGTTCTCTCCTGGATGATCTAATCAAAGTGTGATTATCTGCTCACTGTTTTGGTTCTTCGTAGTGGAGGAGGTAAATACAAAAATGCCTCTAGTCACCCATCTTGAAACATCCATCCGTTTTCATTTATTTCATTTTCTTTTTGTGGATTATTAGTTCAGTCAATTGACAGAGATCAGTTAAGCCCCATCTTCTGACAATTACCCAAGAGGTCTCTCTCAAAGCGCCACATACTCACCAAGCAGAAGCATCCCTAACTGAGTGTATTCATTTTTTATGGCTGCTATAACAAAGTAACACAAACTGGGTGGTTTAAAACAAAAGAAATGTATTTTCTTGCGGTTCTTGAGGCCAGAAGCCTGGAACCAAGGTGTGAAGCCCTCTGTATCCTCTAGAAGAGTATTCTTCCTCGCCTCTGACAGCTTCTGGAAGCCCCAGGCATTCCTTGACTTATGGCAGCCTAACTCCTATCTCTGCCTCCATCTTCACATGACCATCTTCCCTTGTCTGTCTCTTCACATGATGCTGTCCTTGCTATATCTCTGTTTTCTTTTTTTTAAGACAGAGTCTCGCTCTGTCACCCAGTTTGGAGTGCAATGCCACAATCTTGGCTCACTGCAACCTCCACCTCCCAGGTTCAAGCAA
Organism: Homo sapiens; assembly: GCF_000001405.40. NCBI lineage: Eukaryota > Metazoa > Chordata > Mammalia > Primates > Hominidae > Homo > Homo sapiens. The sequence goes on along the minus strand of NC_000011.10, from coordinate 57,919,501 downwards.
TTCTCCTGCCTCAGCCTCCCAAGTAGCTGGGATTATAGGTGCCCGCCACCATGCCAGACTAATTTTTGTATTTTTTGTAGAGACAGGGTTTCACCATGTTGGCCAGACAGGTCTCCAGCTCCTGACAAGTGATCGGCCCACCTCGGCCCTCCAAAGTGCTGGGATTACAGTCATGAGCCACCGCACCCAGCCAGATTTCTTTTCTTATAATGACATCAATCATGTTAGAGTAGAGTTCACCCTAATGAAGTGTGACCTCACATTAACTTGATTAAATCTGCAAAGATCCTACTTCCAAATAAGGTCACAGTCACAGGTACCAGGAGTTAGGATTCCAACGTTTATTTTTGGAAGATATAATTCAACACACAACACTGGGAGAAATTACTGCACTGCGCATTCTAATGACTGGAGGCATCTGATTTCCTGTGTCCCAGGCCTAGGGGACAAGCACTATTGGAGTATTTGCTTCCAAACATGACCCACACTGATCCTTTTAATTATTCCCTCTCTGGGGCAACAGACCAGGCCTCCAATACCTGCTGCAGATGCTGGTTCCCTGTAGAACAGGAAATTTGGGAACAGAAAATGATTCTAACTACATAATAAGGATACAATTCCTAGAACAGGCTGAGGTTTTTTGTGTTTTTTTTTTTTTTTTTTTTTTTTTTGATGGAGTCTTGCTGTGTCACCCCGGCTGGAATGCAGTGGCGCAATCTGGGCTCACTGCAACCCCCATCTCTTGGGTTCAAGTGATTCTCCTGCCTCAGCCTCCTGAGTAGCTGGGACTACAGGCATGTGCCACCACGCCTGGCTAATTTTTTGTATTTTTACTAGAGACGAGGTTTCACCATGTTGGCCAGGCTGGTGTTGAACTCCTGATCTCAGATGATCCACCCACCTCGTCCTCCCAAAGTGCTGGGATTACAGGTGTGAGCCACCACACCTGGCCAGACTGAGTTCTAATTCTACTTTCCTTATGTACTAGCTTTGTGACCTTTGATAAGTTGATCATCTCATTTGGTAAGTTGATCATCTCATTAAATATAAATGGATATAATATTTAAACAGAAGGTATGTATGAAGTTTCAATAGCTGCTTTAAAAATGAGTTAGCACGTGGCTCATAGCAGGTGTTCAATTCTTACCAGTTCCTCTCCCTCTTTCCCTAACACTGTCTATCCTGGGGATATTTAAAAATCTCTGGGCACTGACCCTAACTCTAGGGTACACACGTGTCTTATTTGGTCTCTCTGCAGTGACATGCACACCATGGTGGAGAACCACACCCAAGTCACCTGGTTCCGCCTGCTGGGACTTACAGAGCAGGAGGAGCTCAGAGGCATCCTCTTTGTGCTCTTCCTGCTCATGCATTCAGTCACTGTTATGGGCAACCTGGGAATGATCACTCTGATCCATGCAGACCCACAGCTCCACACCCCCATGTATTTCTTCCTGAGCGTCCTATCCTTGATAGACTCCTCGTTTTCCACAGTGGACATCCCCAGGCTGCTGGAGAGCTTCCTCATCTCAAGCCAATCCATCTCCTTTGCAGGCTGTATGGTCCAGATGGCCCTCATGATCCTCCATGGTACTGCTGAGTGTCTGCTCCTGGCCATCATGGCCTATGACCGATTCACCGCCATCTGCCACCCTCTCCTCTATCACACTATTATATCCCAATGTCTGTGTGCCCTGCTGGTGGTGACCTGCTATACTGTTTCTGTTGCCAATTCAGCTTTGCTGACTGGGTGCATCTTTAAGCTGCCCTACTGTGGCCCCAATGTCATTAACCACTATTTCTGTGACATCCCCCCTGTGCTCCAACTTGCCGGTGCAGATACTACGAGGTTGAGACCATTATCTTCTCATTGTGTGCCTTGCTCATCCTCTTTACCATCACCATTATCCCAGTCTCCTATGCCTACATCCTCGTGACCATTTGCAGGATGCGCTCCCTGCAAGCCCAGAGCAAAGCTCTCTCCACCTGTGCCTCCCACCTCACCATCATCTGCCTCTTCTATAGCACCATCACCTTCATGTATGCTCAGCCAAGCTCTCACAATTCCATGGAACACAACAAGGTCATGTCTGTCTTCTACACTGTGGTCATCCGCAGGCTGAACCCTCTGATCTACAGCCTGAGGAATAAAGATGTAAAATATGCTTTGAAGAGGAGATGCCTGTGCAAGCTGTCTTCATAATCAAGTGTGGAACATTGAGCATCCTATCCCAAGCTGTAACATGGTAGCCACAATATAAAGTATGGATAATATTAACCCTTAGATAGAGCAAAGTATGTGCCAGCACTAGTTTAAACACTTGACACATTATCAACCCATTTAATCTTCACAAGTGTATGAAATGGGCACTATTATTATCCCTTAGGAATCTGGGGCACAGAGAAGCTGAGTAACTTGCCCAAAATCACACAGCTGATAAGAGGCAGTCTGGTTCCAGAGACTATATTCTCAACCAATGCACGGTACTGACTTTTTCTGATGACTACATCTCAAAAAAGAACAATGGCAGCATTCCTTAAATTCCAGATATCATAAGGAGAACCTGGATCACAGCATTATAAAGTGGTGTGGGAGGTTTGTCACTGTATGGGAGGTTGCCTCGATCAGCTCGGGAGGCTTGCATTTATTCATTAAAATTAGTTAACAAAAGCTTGAGTCAACACCATTAGAGGGTAATTGACATTGTGGACTTTCCGAATAAAAAGTATACATCAAAGGCTTAAGGCTTAAGATCACAAGCGTAAACAAGTTAACTAGATAACTTCCCCACATCCCATCGTTTACTACTCTAATTTATTTAACTAAAGGTAATGGGACCAGGCCGCCTTCAGCCCGGTCTATTACCGAGGTCATATGAAAACCCTCAGGCCTTCCAAAAGGGTTTTGTGGCTATCATAACTAATATTTTTCCCACCAGCCTGATCAAATCCCAACATCAGGGACCATGGGGTTTGGAGCCTCTGCACCCACACCTCAGTTCACCTTGCCTCTGAGTGACTCCTTCTCTTGGCCTCTGTGTGATGTTGGGTCAGTCACCTAGATCCTGACCCCCCATTTTCCCAGGTGAAAAGTAGACAGTAACACCCATCTCAACTGGTTATTATTAGGCCTCCATGAGGGAGGATAGGGGCTCCCACAGAGTCTGGCACAAACAACTGTTCACAAACTGTTGGTTTCCTTGCTTTCCTGGGGAAACTGCTCCACAGGATCACATATTCTTATGCATCAACGTTTTTTGAGGGTGAGACCATATTACATAGTGTATTAGTCCATTTTCATACTGCTATGAAGAAATACCCAAAACTGGATAATTTATAAAGAAAAAGATTTCATAGACTCACTGTTCCACATGGCTAGGGAAGCCTCACAGCCATGGAGAAAGACGAAGGAGGAGTGAAGGCACATCTTATGTGATGGCAGGCAAGAGAGCATTAGCAGGGAAACTACCCTTTATAAAACCATCAGATCTTGTTGAGACTTATTCACTACCATAAGAACAGTACGGGAAAACCCACCCTCGTAATTCAATTACCTCTCACTTGGTCCCTCCCATAACACATGGAGATGATGGGAGCCATGATATTAAATAACATTTTGGCTGGGCAAGGTGACTCGCCTCTGTAATCCCAGCACTTTGGGAGGCTGAGGTGGGCAGATCACCTGAGGTCAGGAGTTTGAGACCAGCCTAGCCAACACAGTGAAACCCCGTCTCTACTAAAGATACAAAAAATGAGCTGGGCATGGTGGTGCACGCCTGTAATCCCAGCTACTCGGGAGGCTGAGGCATTAGAGTCACTTGAACACAGGAGGCAGAGGTTGCAGTGAGCCGAGATCGTGCCACTGCACTCTAGCCTGGGCAACAGAGCAAGACTCTGTCTCAAAATAAATAAATAAATAATAAATAAATAATATTTCACTGAATCATGAGAAAGTTCTTTCTTTTCCAATCCTCTTTTTTTTAGCTCTTCTAATATTTTCAAAGTTGAAGTCTGTTTGATACTAGTTTGACTTTAAACCTTCCCTAATCGTGTCTCCTTTTTAACAGAGAGAGCAAGTTTTAGCACTTAACAATAATTAGCTAATATTTAATAATGTTATGTTGTTTTCCTATTTATTTTTATGTTGCGCTTTTATTTATGATTTTAATTTAAAAGGTTTTAAATAACTGTTTAAGACAACCCAAGTTTCAGAAAAATCACAACACATGTGATACGCAGGGCAAAGAAGGTAAACAAATGACTTTAGGAACATTTATATAGGTAATTCATGTTTTTCAAAACATTTTCACGTTCATTATTTTATTTGATCTTCACCAAATGCTGTAAGATAAGTAAGCCAGGTGTTATTACTTCCATTTTACAGATAAACAAAAATAAATAAATCTGAGAGGTTTACTTGATTATCTCTAAGTCTCACTGGAAGGCCACACAATAGCTTAGAACAGAGAACCCAGGGCTCCTGAATTGTGATGGAACCCCCTGCACACAGTTCTCAACTTCCTTTCAGAAAAAATAAATAAATAAAAGTTCTTGATCTTCTCGTATTACGGACTGAATTGTGTCTCCCCTAAATTCATGTTAAAACCCTAATCCCCACCACCATCCCTCAGAATGTGATGGCATTTGGAGATAGTGCCTTTAAATGGGTGATTAAGTTAAAATGAGGCCTTTAGAGTAGGCCCTAGTCCAATCTGACAGGTGTTCTTATAAGAAGGGGGATATTTGGACACAAAAGAGATGCCAGGGGTGCACACAGCGGAAAGACCATGTGAGGATGCAGTGAGAGGGGGGCAGCTGCAAGCCAAGGACAGAGGCTGCAGAAGAAACCAGCCCTGCCAGCACCTTGCTCTTGTATCCATCTCCAGCCTCCAGGACTATAAGAAAATAGATTCCTATGGTTTGAGCTACCCAGTCTGTGGTATTTTGTAATTGCAGCCTGAGCTGACTAATGCAGCTTCCATACTCAAGGCTGCCTCTTGGCCCAATATGGCTGCTGAAGCTCTAGCCATCAGTTCAATGTTTGAAGAAAAAAGGTGGAGGAATGAGAAAAAAAATGCCAGCTGCCTGTTCCCTTTGGTAGCTGCTATGGTGTGAATGTCCACCCCGCCCCTTCCCCCAAAAAAAACTCATGTTGAAATTTAATCATCATTGTGATCTTATTAAGGGGTGGGACTGAAAAAAGGTAATTAGGCCGTGAGAGTTCTGCCTTTATGAATAGATTAATGCCATTATTGAGTGAGTGAATTCATGAGAAAAGCAAGTTTGACCACCACCTCTTGCTCTCTCTTGCTTTTGTGTGCCCTCTTTTGCCCTTTCCCCTTCCACCAAGGGATGACTCAGTAAGAAAGACCACGTCAGATGGAGGCCCTTCAGCCTTGGACTTCCTAGCTTCCAGAAATGAAGAAATAAATTTCTTTTCCCTATAAATTACCCTGTATGTGGTATTCTGTTATCAGCACAAAACAGACTAAGACAGGAGCCTTTCCGGTAACAGCCTCTCGTTAGCCAGAACTTAGTCACAAAGAAGTCACATGTTTGCAAGGGAAGCTGGGAAATATAGTTATTAGCTGGGGACATTGCCATCTTGAGTATTTGGGGATTCTGCTTATAGAAAGCGGTAGAGAATGAATACTGGATAGGCATCTCACAGTCTTGACCATTCCTCCCTTATGTCTACTGCCCAGAGCAGAGGATGGTAGAGAACTGAGGGCACACCCACAACCCTATACTTCCTGCCAATAGATTGTGTGTGGACAGAATGAAACCGCCTTTGCAAAATTATGACTGAGACAGTGAAAGACATCTAACTTAATCGACTCCATCTTGCTTCTAACCTCCAAGTGGTCCTTGTTCATTCCTGGGCATAGGCTGAACTAATTTTGGGAGAAACTTAGTTTATAGTTTATAGTTTTTTGGTTTTTGGGTTTTTTTTTTAGACAGAGTCTCACTTTGTCACCCAGGCAGGAGTGCAGTGGCATGATCTCAGCTCACTGCAACCTCTGTCTCCCAGGTTAAAGGGATTTTCCTGCCTCAGCCTCTGGAGTAGCTGGGATTACAGGGGCCTGCCACCATACCCGGCTAATTTTGTCTTTTTAGTAGAGATAGGGTTTCACTATGTTGGCCAGGCTGGTCTTGAACTTTCTGACCTGAAGTGATCTGCCTGCCTCAGCCTCCCAATGTGCTGGGATTACAGGCGTGAGCCACCACATCCAACCTATAGTTTATAGTTTAAAACAAAGATGATAACAGCCCTTTCCCAAAGCAGACTTCCTTCTTGCCTGGGGACTAAATTGCCTTTGTAGGACTAAAATTAGCCACAAAATTAGAAATTGTGGTTTAGGAGCCATGCAGTTGGAGGCTACAAAATACTGACCCTCCCTAAACTGCTCCTAAGATCAGTGCTTGAGATAGTTTGCAGACCCTGCACTTGACGGATCAGCTGGCACCACTTAGATTGATTACCTGGCTCATCGGATCTTGTGGCCCCTGCACCCAGGAACTGACTCAGAGCAAGAAGACAGCTTCGATTCCCTATGATTTCATCCCTGACCAATCAGCGCTCCTGGTTCACTGGCTTCCCTCAACCCGCCTAGTTGTCCTTAAAAACTCTGCTCCCCGAATGCTCGGGGGAGACTGATTTGAGTAATAATAAAACTCAGGTCTCCTGCACAGCCGGCTCTGTGTGAATTACTCTTTTTCTACTGCATTTCCTCTGTCTTGATAAATCATCTCTGTCTAGACAGTGGGCAAGGTGAACCCATTGGGCAGTTACAAGCATACTAAGTTTAAATTTTCTAGCCAACGTAAAAAATTTGATGAGATAATGTCTTAGACATTTGGGCTGCAAAAATACCATAAATAGAACGGCTTATAAACAGAAATTTCTTTCTTTCTTTTTTTTTTTTTTTTTTTGAGATGGAGGCACCCACCACCACACCTGGCTAATTTTTATATTGTTAGTAGAGATGGGGTTTCACAATGTTGGCCAGGCTGGTCTCGAACTCCTGACCACAGGTGATTCTCCTGCCTCAGCATCCCAAAGTGCTGGGATTACAGGTGTGAGGCACCACGCCCAGCCACAGAAATTTATTTCTCACGGTTCTGGAAGCTGGGAAGTCCAGGGCAGGAGGGCCTGCATTTGGCATGGTCATTCTTGCTGCCTGGAAGCTTCAGTGTCTGGTGAGGACCCACATCCTTGTTCATTGGTAGCACCTTCTCACTGTGTCCTTACACGGTGGAAGGGGCAAGGGAACTCTGGGTTTGTTTTTGGTTTTTTGTTTTTTGCTTTAATGAGGGCACTAATACCATTCATGAAGACTCCACCCTCATGACCTAATCACTTCCCAAAGGCCCCACCTCCTAATAACATCACCTTATGGAATTAGGATTTTAACATATGAACTTGGCTGGTGGGGACACTAACATTTAGACCTTAGCAAAATCATATTTTAAAATTTAATATTCCCAGCTTCTCTGGGAAGGAAAAATGAAAGAGTTCACTATTCTTATTCTCAGCCATAATCATCTGGTGCTGAGTTGCAGCTACGATTTTAGACAGGCAGACTTTCCAGTTCTCCCTCAACCCAATTTTCTCCACCACTCATTATTAAAGGTGTCTGTTGCTTTTTTATCACACCACGTTTTTTCTTACAGTAGACAACCTGTCCTGGCCTGAGCAGGTCATGCAGTTAACATACTTCTTTTTTTGCTAGCATCTTCCCCAGTGCCTGGAAAGTGCGGCTCCCCATTCCTTCTGTCAGAGGCGTGTGAACCACAGCAACTCCATCTTGAATAGGAGCTGGGTAAAATAAGGCTGAAACCTACTGGGCTGCATTCCCAGAGAGTTAAGGCATTCTAAGTCACAGGATAAGATAGGAGGTCAGCACAAGATACAGGTCATAAAGACCTTGCTGATAAAAACTGGTTGCAGTAAAGGAGCCGGCCAAAACCCACCAAAACCAAAATGGTGACGAGAGTGACCTTCGGTTATCCTCACCACCGCACTCCCACCAGTGCTGTGACAGTTTACAAATGCCCTGGCAACATCAGGAAGTTACCCTATGTGGTCTAAGAAAGGGAGGCATGAATAATCCACCCCTTGTTTAGCAAATTAACAAAAAATAATCATAAAAATGGGTAACCAGCAGCCCTACAGGCTGCTCTGCCTAAGGAAGTAGGCATTCTTTTATTCCTTTACTTTCTTAATAAACTTGCCTTCACTTTGCACTGCGGACTCTCCCTGAATTCTTCCTTGTGCGAGATCCAAGAACCCTCTATTGGGGTCTGGATCAGGACCCCTTTCCTATGACATATTTCTGGTGACCACAGCAGGGACTACAGTGCAGCAACCCTGACCTAAAGGCTAACTTTGGGTAAGTGGTGAGGCCTGGTAATATCTTTCTTGTGAACCACAAAAAGGACAATACTGAGGAGGTCCCTGAGCCAAAGGAAATAGACTGCAGCACTGATTGGACAACTTTGGTAAGTGGTGGGGTACCCGGGTAAAGAATGAGATTGGGTTAGAGGCCCAGCTTAGGGGATTTAGAGTCTCTCCTAAGACAGAGTGGGTTAGAGGCCACTCTTAATGAAAGTCAAGGGGGGAGGCTGGCAAGATGGTTGAATAGGAACAGCTCCGATCTGCAGCTCCCAGCGAGATCAATGCAGAAGGTAGATGATTTCTGCATTTCCAACAGGGGTACCCAGCTCATCTCACTGGGACTGGTTAGACAGTGGGTGCAGCCCACACAGGGTGAGCTGAAGCAGGGTGGGGTGTCACCTCACCCAGGAAGTGCAAGGAGTTGGGGAATTCCCTCCACTAGCCAAGGGAAGCCGTGAGGGACTGTGCTGTGAGGAATAGTGCATTTCAGCACAGATACTACGCTTTTCCCATGGCCTTCACAACCCACAGACCAGGAGATTCCCTTGGGTACCTCAGCCACCAGGGCCCTGGGTTTCAAGGACAAAGCTGGGCGGTCGTTTGGGCAGACACCAAGCTAGCTGCAGGAGTTTTTTTCATACCCCAGTAGTACCTGGAGTGCCAGCGAGACAGAACCATTCACTCCTCTGGAAAGGGGGCTGAAGCCAGGTAGCCAAGTTGTCTACCTAAGCAGATCCCACCCCTGTGGAGCCCAGCAAGCTAAGATCCACTGGCTTCAGATTCTTGCTGCCAGCACAGCAGTCTGAAGTCGACCTGGGACACTAGGGCAATCAGGCAAGAGAAAGAAATAAAGGGTATTCAAATAGGAAGAGAGGAAGTCAAATTCTCTCCTTTTGCAGATGACATGATTGTATATTTAGAAAACCCCATCGTCTCAACCCAAAATCTCCTTAGGCTGATAAGCAACTTCAGCAAAATCTCAGGATACAAAAATCAATGTGCAAACATCATAAGCATTCCTACACACCAATAATAGAGAGCCAAATCATGAGTGAACTCCCATTCACAATTGCTACAAAGAGAATAAAATACCTAGGAATACAACTTACAAGGGATGGGAAGGACCTCTTCAAGGAGAACTACAAACCACTGCTCAAGGAAATAAGAGAGGACACAAACAAATGGAAAAACATTTCATGCTCATGAATAGGAAGAATCAATATCATGAAAATGGCCATACTTCCCAAAGTAATTTACAGATTTAATGCTATCCTCATCAACCTACCATTGACTTTCTTCACAGAATTAGATAAAACTACTTTAAATTTCATATGGAACCAAAAAAGAGCCTGTATAGCCAAAACAATCCTAACCAAAAAGAACAAAGTTGGAAGCATCATGCTACCTCACTTCAAACTATACTACAAGGCTACATTAAACAAAACAACATGATACTGGTACCAAAACAGATATATAGACCAATGGAACAGAACAGAGGCCTCAGAAATACCACCACACATCTACAACCATCTGATCTTTGACAAACCTGACAAAAACAAATGATGGAGAAAGGATTCCCTATTTAATAAATGATGCTGGGAAAACTGGCTAGCCATATGCAGAAAATTAAACTGAACCCCTTCCTTACACCTTACACAAAAATTAACTCAAGATGGATTAAAGACTTAAACGTAAGACCTAAAACCATAAAAACCCTAGAAGAAAACTTAGCCAATACCATTCAGGACACAGAAATGGGCAAAGACTTCATGACTAAAACACCAAAAGCAATGGCAACAAAAGCCAAAATTGACTAATGGGATCTAATTAAACTAAAGAGCTTCTGCACAGCAGAAGAAACTATCATCAGAGTGAACAGGCAACCTACAGAATGGGAGAAAATTTTTGCAATCTATCCATATGACAAATGACTAATATCCAGAATTTACAAAGATCTTCAATAAATTTACAAGAAAAAAACAACCCCATCAAAAAGTGGGCAAAGGATATGAACAGACACTTCTCAAAAGAAGACATTTATGTGGCCAACAAACATATGAAAAAAGCCCATCATCACTGGTCATTAGAGAAATGCAAATCAAAACCACAATGAAATATCATCTCATGCCAGTTAGAATGGCAATCATTAAAAAGTCAAGCAATGACAGATGCTGGAGAGGATGTGGAGAAATAGGAATGCTTTTACACTGTCGGTAGGAGTGTAAATTAGTTCATCCATTGAGGAAGACAGTGTGGCAATTCCTCAAGGATCTAAAACCAGAAATACCATTTGACCCATCAATCCCATTACTGGGTATATACCCAAAGGATTATAAATCATTCTATTATAAAGATACATGCACATGTATGTTTATTGCAGCACTGTTCACAATAACAAGGACTTGGAACCAACCCAAATGCCCATCAGTGATACACTGGATAAAGAAAATGTGGCACATATACACCATGGAATACTATGCAGCCATAAAAAAGGATGCATTCATGTCCTTTGCAGGGACATGGGTGAAGCTGGAAACCATCATTCTCAGCAAACACAAGAACACAAAACCAAACATCGCATGTTCTCACTTATAAGTGAGAGTTGAACAATGAGAACACATGGACACAGGGAGGGGAACATCACACCCCAGGGCCTGTCAGTGGGTGGGGCGCTAGAGGAGGGATAGCATTAGGAGAAATAGCTAATGTAGACGATGAGTTGATGGGTGCAGCAAACCACCATGGCACGTGTATACCTATGTAACAAACCTGCACATTCTGCACACGTACCCCAGATCTTAAAGTATAATAAAAAATAAAAAAAATTCAAGGACACTTGACCGACCTTGGGTTACAGGCCCAACTTAGGAGGGTTAGAGTCCCTACTAAGATTTGGGGGATTAGAGGCCCCTCTCAGTAAATTATTTCATGGCTAAGAATAGGTTTGGCATTATGGGCTATTAACTGCCATTCTCTTTGGATTAATCTGCCTTGCGCTCTTTGCTGATGGCTGTGGATGACTGGGTTAGGCATGTACAGGATCATGGGACATGGGAAGCTTTTTCCTCCATAAAAGGGGAAACTTGAGAGTTGATGGGACAGCTGGAAAAGATCCCTTTGCTACTGAGAAGCAGCCGCCTGAACTTTTCAGTGTCACTGCAATGGTTGGGTCTTCCTCTGGCCTCCCTGATTATTTTGCCTTCCCCACCCTGCCACAGGCAATGCTTTTCTCTCTCTCCTTTCTCTTTCTTATCTTTTCTATTACTCAGGGCAGCCATCTTGCCAGAGACCATATGTTGAAACTCTAAGTCGGAGGTTGGATTAAAGATGACAGGGCCCATATGGGTGCAAATTTAAGCCTTGCCAGTTTGATAATGGGTGCTAAGCAGAGTGGCTAATGTCTACGTTTTATCACAAGTATTTTGCTCTGCTCAGAATGAAAAAATAATTTTTCTTTATGCTGCAGCTTGGCCCCCAGGGCAATGGTGCCACAAGCCAGATCGCTAAGGCCTCTCAGGAAAAGGGAACACAGAAGTCTGGCATGCCAGAAAAAGGGTAAGAATTTCTTACCAGTCAGATCTCTGGCTTCACTCTCTCTGTGCAAATGGTTGAATGAATGGTTAAAAAAAAAAATCAGTGTTTATCTTCTCTGTAAAGTTTTGATTAATGCAAAAAAGAATTCTAAGGCTGGTCTTAAGCTGGTGTATTCTGTGCTATGGATCGTTTTTCTGTGTCGAGGTGTACTTTAAGATAAAACACAGGCTTAGAACACCTGTAAGCCTGCTTTTCAAGATGAGCCAGCAAACTGGTTAGTAACAAACTTGGTTACAGGTCCCTGAAACAAACAAAAAACTGGATGAAGTCTCCACCTTGTTTTATGTCCTTGGGAACTTGACTTTTTTGTTTTTTGTTGAGGAGTCTCCCTCTGTTGCCCAGCCTGGAGTGCGATGGTACTATCTCAGCTCAGTGCAACCTCCACCTCCCAGGTTCAAGTGATTCTCCTGTCTCAGCCTTCCAAGTAGCCGGGATTACAGGCGTGTACCACCACACCCAACTAATTTTACATTTTTAGTAGAGACAGAGTTTCACCATGTTGGTCAAGCTGGTCTTGAACTCCTGACGTCAGGTGATCCACCTGCCTCAGCCTCCCAAAGTGCTGGGATTACAGGCATGAGCCACCATGCCCCACTGGGAGTTTGACCTTTTAACCACACGGCAGTACTTTATTTTGGTCTCCATCTTCAGGAAACAGGAATTTTAGGGTTCATGTCATAATTAGCTCTAACAATCATATTAAATAGTTAAAAAGCCTTTTCAAGCTCAAAATTAACTACTGTAGACTCTTTTTGGGAAGGGAAATGATGACTGCTCTGTGCTCTAGCTCAGTAGCAGAGGTTTTGCACTTTCACAGTGGTGGTCGGGGTTTGATTCCCCACCTAGGAAGTAAGTCGTTTCTGGTTTAATATCTGTGTGACTTTGTCTATTCTCTTCTCCTCCACGGACTGTCTCAAATTTTCCTTTCTCTAAGCACCTGGGAGATTACCTTTGGTAAAGTTCAAAAGCCAGAAATATCGACCATTTGGCCTAAGAAATTCTAAAATTAAAGAGTGCTATGGTTAGAATAAGTTTAATTAAAAGTGGATATTCAAGCTCTAACAGCCTGGACTCCTTGGAGGAAAAAACAGGAGGTACCAAAGACCCCTTTCCTGGCCCTGTTCTTCCAAGGGCTCCAGCTTAACCCAGTAGTCCAATTAAGAAACTTAAAAACTGGCAAATGAAAAACCTTACAACTACTGTAGTCATCTTCTTCTGTCTTTCTATGTAGCCATATATGTGTTGTGTGTAATGTTTATATAAAAGAACTCTAATTAATTGGCTTAAACAAAAATATGCACTTAAATCAAATATTTTGAAAGCAAAATAAAAACTGTAATGCCTTTTAGTTCATGTGGCTTTAGTAATCTTTAAGAAACAATAACAGCTTTGAAAATTATTGATAAAATAAAAACATTCAGTCTATATTAGGCAGGTCAGATAAGTTTGCTAAATGCTTTAAGGTCATAAACTACTTCTTTAACTTTTAAAAATTGTTCAATTTACCTACTTTGAAGCCATTAGATTCTAGATAAGGCCTGGAAACATGGAATTAGCCATGCCCCCTGGCTATACAAAGATTATAAAGAAAGAGATTTTATATAAGAAAGGATCTTGTATGGTAAATTCTTGTCCTAAAGTAAAATAACTGGTTATTTAAAAGGAGGGCAAGTCAGAAAGTCAAAGAATGTCTCAGATGGTCTGTGTAAGTCGTGAAAGGATTTGTGAAAGGGAATTTATGCAAGAAACGTTGTACAATTCAAAGGTTGTTAGGCCTCCTAAATGCTTCATAAAATGCCACTATGACTCTTACTGTACAATTTGGTTGCTTAAGTAAGGTAAGGCCTGAGGACATGTGGAGTTAGCCACACCCCCTAGCTATGCTGGAGAGTCAGCCCTTATCTGCCTTTCTGCCTGGTATATCCTGGGTAAGGCTCCACACCTAGTACACAATTAAAATTACTTACTAACCAGGGTTTTCACCAAAGTAAGTTGCTAAAAGTTTAACATTGTCACATATAATTGAGACTATTGAAGAAACAATTTTACATGTAAGGTGTGTAAGGAAAGTAGAATGTACATTTGGTAAAAGATTATAAGAAGGCATAGGAATGTGGATTTTTTTGCCTAAAGAGTTGAAGAATTGTTTTAAGTTAGTTAGAATAAAGCTAAGGTTTAAACAAGTTGTGGAAGGTTTAAACAAGTTGTGGAAGGTTTATAAAAATTAATTGTAAGAGATTCTGTGTGTGAACACATTGGCTAAAGTTAAAGGGGTATTATTCAGTTTTTCTGTAAATTAAATAGAATAAAAGCACAACAGGTTTTTCTTAGAGTACTAATCTGCTCTTTCACAAAAAAAATGTAAAGGGTTATAAAGGTTTATAAGAATCTTACCTTATAGTTAAACATTAAAATTGGGTAAATATGTCTAAAGTTTTATTAAAAATTGGGTTTAACATTAATAATACATTAATACAATAATAATAATAATGCAATAATATACAGTCTGAAAAGGGGAGGCATGAATAATCCACCTCTTGTTTAGCTTATCATCAAAAAATAACCATAAAAATGAGCAATCAGCAGCCCTCGGGGCTGCCCATCTATGGAGTAGCCATTCTTTTATTCCTTTACTTTCTTAATAAACTTGCTTTCACTTTGTGCTGCAGACTCACCCTGAATTCTTTCTTGGCATGAGATCCACCAACCCTCTTGGGGTCTGGATCAGGACCCCTTTTTCCTGTAACACTTCCTTTGTTGGCCTGACAAATCTGTTTTGTCGTTGTTGTTGTGTTTTTTGTTTTTTGAGACCGTCTCGCTCTGTTGCCCAGGCTGGAGTGCAGTGGTGTAGTCACAGCTCACTGAAGCCTCCACCTCCCAGGCTCAAGCGATCCTACCACCCGGCCTCCTGAGTATCTGAAACTGCAGAGGTGCACTACCATGCCTAACTAATTTTTATATTTTTTGTAGAGATAGGGTTTCATCATGCTGCCCAAGCCAAGAATTCCTGGCCTCGAGCGATCCACCCGCCTCAGCCTCCCAGAGTGCTGGGATTATAAGCGTGAGCCACCACGCCCAGCCCAAATCTCTTTATTATTCTAGTTCCAGCATAAAGGTAACTTTTTCTGGGAAAACTTCTTCCTCTCTTACAGATAGAGTTCATTTGTGCTCTGGTTTGCCTTTGTTAAAGAAAAAACAAAAAGTTATCAGAAACCAAAGATTGAATGCTGAATGAAAACAAATTTTTTTACTTTCATGCAGGAAGCCTGATTCGGCACACAGTCTAGGAAAGCCACAGATCTGAGGATGCAGGAGGAGAAACAAGGCAATTTTCTAAAGCTAGAAGACCATAAATTGTCTCCTTCCCATGTTAGCAAACCAAAGTCTCTGGGTGTTACTGACTGGCTGCCAACACTTGGGTTTTTAATTAGACCAGATCTGGCTCTGTTACAGGTGGTCTTCTGCAGACACATGAGGTGGTTGGCCCAGGGTTGTGGCATCCGGCAGCCTCAGCTGAGTACGTGCAGTGCCCGAACCAGGGTGGAGTCACCCAGTTAGCCATGTGCAGTGTGCCTCGCGCGACAGCAGCCTAGGAGACCAGACAGGTTGATGACTCATGCTACCTCCATGCTAGCACTCACCACGCTGCACTACAAATGCCAGTTTTATGTTCTCTCCCAGTAGACATGAGTGACTAGAGCGTTTCTTTGTCAATGTTATGTCTCCAGTCACCCAGCCCCTGGCCCACTGTTGGAAACAGAAAGTATAAACCAAAAATAAAATTCTAAGCCCTCCAATTGACTGAATAGACGCCCCCTTCTTAGCCTGGGGACCCAAAGAAACCTGAAAAACTAGTTCAGGCCACGATGGGAAGGTGGAGTCAGACATGCCATATCCTCTTCTCCCTTTGGAGTTCAGGCGCAACTGACCAACATTAACAGTAAAACAGAGATCCTCAGACTGACAAAACAGGCTCTCTGTGGCAATAAGATACCAAATTCCAACCCAACTCTAGTATAACACCACATGACAGATAAGAAAGGAAATCACAGTATTTTACCCCAGAATATGTTTTTTACCATATTTTGAGAAATGACCCTACACAGCTATCTTTTGTGGGGGAAAATTTGCATCTGTAAAGAATCTCTGTTAACATAACTAGATCTATTCCTTTCCAGGCCCTTCCCATCCTGAAGAGATTAACTGAGAGTCTAGCACCTTTTAAAGGTCTAAATAGGAAACATTTGCCATCAATTGTCACTAAGGATAGCCACCTAAATACTTTCTCTGGATAATAAGAACCTTGATCCCCACAACCCCTTATCTTAATCCACACACTCCTCTCTCTTGATTCCAGGTCTTTAGATAATAACTTAACTCTTTTGACCAACTGCCAATTAAAAAAATATTTAAATCCACCTATGACCTGTAAGCTCCCCAACTCCCACCTCCCCCCACCCCACTTCAAGTTGTTCTGCCTTTCTGGACCCAACTAATGTATATGTCATATGTATTAATTGATGTCTTAATTGTTGCTTGACTAAAATGAGATGACGCAGCGAAGGGTCTGGCATAATGTGTCTGGCACATAAGAGCTGCTCAGCAAATTACAGCTCTCATCCTAGGGTCACATAAGGCTGAATAGTGGGCAGGAATCTTTCTCCCAAGAACAGGGACAGATGCCTCTTCATAAAGCCCAATATAACTGATATAACTGCTACAAAGTGTGCCAGGGCCGCATCTTTCCAGCAAGGAGCTGATACCCCACACCTCCTAATCAGCAAGCTGCACTCATAGCCTTTTTCCCATAGAGACAGCAATCTGGGAGTACCCACTGCCTTGCACCCAGCAGTTCTCCATGGGACAAGCTGTACCTAACTGTGTATGGGCAGTGGGAGCAGGCAGCAGTTCACAGTCTCATCTAATCCTAGGTTTTATTGTTACCTTTGTTTCCCAGAGGAGGTTGCACAGATAGGAAATTGTAACATCAGGATGCAGCCAGAGCCGGTGGGATCCAGAATACAGGCTCTTCCTCCAGCTCTGGGCAACCCCACTCATCACTCTGAGCCCTAGCTGTCTGTTCCTTTGAAGCCTCACTGCCACTGACTCCTCTTTAAAGCCCATTTTTATTTGTTGTGAGTGTTTGGGTTTTGCACCCCTAGCTAGACTATAAATGCTATGAAGGCAGAGAGTGTGCCTTACAGAGCTGGGGTTTATAATCAGGGCTCAATGAAATCTGGTCAAGGAATTATAGAATGGACCTGTCTAAACACCAACAGTGCTGCTCCCCAGAGACCCGGGTTTCTGCAAGAAATTCAGAGGCAAGTTTTTATTCCCTCTGAGAAAACCCTAGCGGCTCCCACGGGCTTCCTCCCTCAGGTGCTCAACATCTGCTCAACAATCCTGGTTCTGGCCAGGAGCTTCTGGTGAGCTCCACGACAGCTGCAGAGGGAGGAGGGAGCAAGAAGAAAAGTAGATGGGCAAGGTAAGAGAATTGGGAGGCCCATCCCCTCTGGGCAAATCTCCAAAGAGCCTATCTCCTGCAGGGAGAGGTCTCTGCCAGGGGCGTGGGGCAAGTGATTCACACCTGGGAAGAAATGCTCCGTTTCTCTCCACCAGCATGAGTTTAGGCAGGCTCAGGAGCACAGGGGAAGGGCCATGAGTCACTGACAATCAAGAAAGAATGGGGGAATGGGACAGGACGGAACAGGTCTCCCCTATTGTGTCAGCATCTCCAGCCTCCCTCCTGACCCCTGTTCAGAGGCAACCAAAGGCCCAAGGCCCTTTCTAGACCTCGGTCAGGGTCTCTCAGCCTTGACACTACTGACATATGGGGCCAGATAATATTTTGTGTAGGGCACTGTCCCATGCACTGTAGAATGTTTAGCAGCATACATGGCCTCTACCCAAGAAGTCAGTAGCACCCTCCCACCAGCTGTGGCAACCAAAGAAGTCTCCAGGCTTTGCCAAATGTCCCCTGGAGATTGGGAGAAATCAGCTGGCTCATTCTTCTTCCCTTCCTTATTCAGAATGTGTGGTGGGGTCTCAGCCTTATCTCCTCTCCTCTAGCTGCCTCTTCTGAGAAATCCCTGAAGATGATCTGTCAGGCCCTTATCACAAAAGGCCTTTGCTGCTGCTTCTTCCAGGGCAGTTGGCAAGAAGTAAATAATGATCATGTAGAAGTAAAAATTTCCAGAACTTAGAGAGGGAAGGAAGAGCCAGGAAGGGAGACAGGAGTCCCCATCTTACGGAAACTGAAAGTCCAGATGGACTGAGGCAGCACTGTCCAACAGAAACATAATGCAGGCCACAAATATGGGCCACCTGTGTTCATTTTAAATGTTTTGAGTAGCTGCATTCAAAAAATAGAAACAAGTGAAATTATTTTTGATAATGTATTTAACCCAATATATCCAAAATATTGTCAACATGTAATCAATATTTTAAAATGAGTAATCAAGTATTTACATTCTTATTTTTCCATACTAAGTCTTCAACATCCAAAGTGCATCTTCCATTTACAACTTATCTCAATTTGGACCAGCCACTTTTCTAGTGCTCAAAAGCCACATGCAGCTAGTGGCTACTATATTGGGCAGCACAGGACTGAGGTTTCCTTACAAAAGGTGAAGATCACCCCCACACTTCTCCTAGCACCAAGGGGCTTCCAAAGGCCAAGACCTTAACTACACAATGGAGCAATCTAGTCTCCAAGTTGATACAGTATTTGTAACTCAGAGAACAAGATACCCATTTCAAGTGCCCACTACCTCAAACACCATGTCCCCTCCTGGGCAGATAAGGCAGCCTGCAGGTTGTCTCTCTGGTCCTTTTCAGAGACTTGGACCTCAACCATTGTTCCACTTCACACCTCTTGTCAGGAAGAAAGTTATAAATCCCTAGGTTGTAAATTACCCTAACTCCATGCTATACACAGACTGTTGCCTAGGAGTCAAGTACCTCCAACCACCCTGTACACACCCAGTATTTCCCCTGGAGCTGAGTTTGCTCACCACTTCTGTGGATCCTGCCCTGTGTACCATTAACAATTCCCTAACCATTTACTCATATCTACTTCCTGGTAGACAGATAATGTCCTCGACTGAGCTGAGCACCTCTCATAAATTGATAAATCCCTAAGCCTTGCTGACAAATTCTTTAGTTAAGGCACAAGACCTGGGATTGAGACTCCTGATGGAGATTTATAGCCTCTGGTTATGAGAGGGATTCTCTGCTTTCCAATAGTTACTTTTCTGTCAATCATCTTCTTTTCTTTTTTTTTTTTTTTTTTTTTAAAAAACACAGGGTCTTGCTCAGTTTCCCAGGATGGAGTGCACTGGCTCAATTATGGCTCAATGCAGCCTCAACCTCCTGGGCTCAGGGGATCCTCCCACCTCAGCCTTTCAGTAGCTGGGACTACAGGTGCACAGCACCACCCCTGGCTAATTTTTTTTTTTTTTGTATTTTCAGTAGAGATGGGGTTTCACCATGTTGCCCAAGCTGGTCTCAAACTCCTAAGCTCAAGTGATCCACCCACCTCAGCATCCCAAAATGCTGGAATTACAGGTGTGAGCCACCATGCCTGGCCCACCTTCTTTTCTTGTTCTGCTAGGATGTGCATCTTGAAATCAACTCACCCTGCCTAAAGGGAAGAAATTCCAAAATCTTCCAAAATTTTTCCACTTGTTATGTTTTCAGATAATCATTCAGCAGCTTTTAAAAAAAAATCTTGATACCCCTAGTACATGATGCTGGGCCTATAGCAGGATCTCAATAAATATATGTATGAATTTGCTGCAGATGGCAAATACAGCTGATACCCTGGGTTGGCAGGGAGATCTCTCAGAGATCTCCATGTTTGAAGCTCAGGAAGGAATGACTCTTTATCTGCACAGTTTCCCAATGCCCTACCCTTTATCCACAGAGGTGTGGGCGGACAGCGAGGTTTATGACTGAAGTCAGTTCCAGCATTCTGCCTGCACCAAGCTGGCAGTCCAGAATCCCCTCCCTTTGTGGATATCAAAGCCACAAGCCCCAGCTGCAAAAACTTACCCATTCCCCTTCTCCTTGGGACCACTGCTTCAAGTTTCACTTACTTTTCTGGCTTTTAAGAGCCTCTTCAGTTCTGAATCTTGGGGACTTTCTTAAGTTTTAAGATCAGTCTATCTTTTGAATTACTTTTGAATTATTTTGTTATTATTCTTCTGTATTTCTGTGTTTGAAATGGGGAAGGAGTTTCTGTTTCTGCTAAGTCTCCCACACTGACTGAAAGTGCCAAGCTGATGTACTAATGCAAATCTGATCATCTAAATAGGCTTAAATGATTCCCCATTTCCTCAGGGTAGAGTTCCAAGAGCAAAACCTAAACACGCGAAGTCATTCAGGATCTGCCCCAGATTGGTTTCCTGAGTTGTTTCTTGGGCAATCCCACACTCACACCCTTTACTCCAATGTCACTAAAATATTTGCTGTGCCCCCAAATTAGCCATGGTCTCTCACACCTCCTGGCATTTAAATATACTGCCTGTCTGCCTGGAACTTTCTTCCTTCTCCTCACTACTCAACCTTTATAATTTACTGGAGATGTTGTTCTCCACAACCAGCATCCCTGACATCTACCCTGCAAGCCTAAATTAATCCCCCACTTCCACTTTTGTGTTCTCTTAGTCTGCTCAAATCTCCTCCCACGGTGTGTTAGTTCATTTTCACACTGCTATAAAGATCCAGAGACTGGGTAATTTATAAACAAGAAGTTTAATTGACTCACAGTTCCACGTGGCTGGGGAGGCCTCAGGAAACTTACAATAATGGCAGAAGGTGAAGGGAAAGTAGGCACCTTCTTCACAAGGCATCAGGAGAGTGAGAGAGTGAAGGGGCAGTGCCATACTTTTAAGCCATCAGCTCTTGTGAGCACTCACTCACTATCATGAGAACAGCATGGGGAAAATCCACCCCCATGATCCAATCACCTCCCACCAGGTCCCTCTCTTGATGTGTGAGGATTACAATTCGAGATGAGATTTGGGTGGGGACACAGAGCCAAACCATATCACACAGTACACAGTATTATAATTGTCTTTCGCTGTAGGATTTTGTTTTGTTTTGTTTTCTCAGGAAACACCCACCTCATCCACCAGGTGAAGTTTCCAGCAACCATTTTGTTCTACAAGACTCTACCTAGAGGCAAATTTTCCATGAAGCTGACAAACCAAAGGCTTCAAGGCTCCTCACTTGCCCAGACTCCAGGCCCAAGGAAGGCAACAGCTATGTGTTTACATGGCTATTTTTTTTTTTTGTAAAAATTTGTAAAAGAAGCTATCTTAACCACAATTGGTTAAAATAAACCCCTGTATCTTTCTACCTTGATTTCCCCTCCTGAAGCTTTAGAGTGGCTGGAGGCAACAGGAGGTCCAGCTAAGGGGGAGTTGAGGTGTAGATACACTACTTTTGGGGAAATCACCTGAGGTCAGGAGTTCAAGACCCACCTGGACAACATGGCAAAACCCTGTCTCTCCTAAAAATACAAAAATTAGCCAGGTGTGGTGGTGGGCGCCTGTAATCCCACCTACTTGGGAGGCTGAGGCAGGAGAATTGCTTGAACCCGAGAGGCAGCTGTGGCAGTGCGCTGAGATCACGCCACTGCACTCTAGCCTAGGCGACAGAGTGAGACCATTCTCAAAAAAAAAAAAAAAAGTGTAGATACACTACTTTTTTTGTATTTATATGGTTTGTAGACACTTTCATATTTAGTTAAATTATTGATAGTCCCCTCAGTGTAGAATGGCTTCCAGGAGCACTGGTATCACCCACTGTACCTGGCATCTTGTTAGAAGTACAAAGCCAGAGTTCAGATCACCATACTCATGTTGCCTGACTCACCTACATGCATATCAGTGGTAGAGGGAAGACAAGGTCTGAAATGCAGTTTGAAGATCGTCTATGGAAACCTCCTCCAACTATCAGAGTTAACTAATATAAACGTTACATCCTTTTTAAAATGTTGTAATGTCTTTGATATTTGTCGGCTTTAGAACATTTTTAATTTGTTGTGATTTATCTTCTCATTCATTCCAAGAAATGATTTTTTTGTGAGTAATCTTGTTTTCTTAAAGAAGGATTTCCAAATGGTATAACATTCAAGCCCCACAAAAATTGCACTTGTCCCTGATCCTATCCCCTTATTACAGCTGACCCAGGTTGGAGCCCATATTCTTTCACACTGAAATTTAGATTCCACTCAGAAACTGAAGTTTCTGTGTGGCTAGAACTGTAACACATAAACTTTAAAGCCACAAGGTGACCATGTTTCTGCCTGTGGGTGAAATACTAGAGAAAGCTGGGAGGCAGAGAGGCCAGAGGAAGGGAGTTCTGTCTACTTCCCAGACTCTGGTTCCTGCCTTCCTTCTTCCCAAGGGGCCTGTTTTAGTTATCTACTGCTGAAAAATAAACTATCCCAAAACTTAGTGTGGCTTATAACAACAAACACTCATTACCTCACAGTGTTCTGCAAGTCAGGAATCTGGGAGCAGCTGAGCTGAGTGGTTCTACTCAGGGTCTCTCAGGAGGTTGCAGACAAGTTATCAACCACAACTGTAGTCAGCCTAAGACTCCACCGGGGCTGGAGGAGCAACCTTCAATGTAGCTCGTTCACATGCCTGTTAGCAGGATACATCAGTTCCCTGCCAAGTGGACTTTGCCACAGGTCAGCTTGAGTGTTCTTGCAACATGGCAGCTGGATTCCCTCAAAGAAGGTGGTCTAAGAAAGAGAGTAAGGAAAAAGCCAAAAGGGCATTTACGACCATAATGCGTTGGATTGTGTATTCTCAAAAATCTATATTGAAGTTCTAACCCCCAGTACCTCAGAATGTGACCTTATTTGGAGATAAGGTCTTTAAAGAGGTAATCAAGTTAAAATTAGGTCATTATGGTGGGCACTAATCCAATATTACTAGTGTCCTTATAAAAAGGGGAAGTTTGAACACAAAGACAGACATAAACATGCATACAGGGACAAGATCATGTTAAGATGAAGGCAGAGATCCAGGTGATGCTTCTATAAGCCAAGAAACACCCAAAACTGCCAGCAAACCACAAGAAGCTAGGAAAAAGGAACAGAATAGATTCTCCCTCACAGCCTTTAGAAGGAACAAAGCCTGCCAACACCTTGGTCTTGGATTTCTAACCTCAGGAAAGGCGACAATAAATTTCTGTTGTTTAAGCCACCCAGTCTACGGTGCCTTGTTACAGCAGCCCTAGCAAACTAATACAATGACCGAGTCTCAGAAGTCACACATCATCACTACTTCCATGTTCTATTTGTTACAAGTGAGCTGCTAAGTTCAGTCCATACTCAAGGGGAGGGGAATTACACTCTATCTCTTTCAAAAAATTTGTGGGCGTATTTTAAAACCACGAACAAGTCCATAAGATACATTTGAAACCTTATGATAAACTCTTCTGTTGTTTAAGCTAACTCCAATTGGATGCAGTAGTTCTTCATTTAAAAGCCTTGTTTTGTTTTGTTTTGTTTTTTGAAAAGTCTTTATTAAGAATTTATCGGGGCCAAGCACTGTGACTCATGCCTGTAATCCCAGCACTTTGGGAGGCTGAGGTGGGGAGATCACATGAGGTCAGGAGTTTGAGACCAACCTGGTCAACATGGCGAAGCCCCTTCCCTCCTAAAAATACAAACATTAGCCAGGCAAGGTGGCAGGTGCCTGTAATCCCACCTACTTGGGAGGCTGAGGCAGAATTGCTTGAACCCAGGAGGCGGCAGTGGCAATGAGCTGAGATTGCACCACTGCACTCCAGCCTAGGCTACAGAGTGAGACTCCTTCTCAAAAAAAAAAAAAAAAAAAAAAAAGATTTTATTTTTATCGGCCAGGCATGGTGGCTCATGCCTGTAATCCCAGCACTTTGGGAGGCAGAAGTGGGTAGATCACTTGAGGCTAGGAGTTAGAGACCAGTCTGGCCAACATGGCAAAACCCCCTCTCTACTAAAAATACAAAAATTAGCCGGGCGTGGTGGTGCGTAACTGTAGAACCAACAATTCGAGAGGCTGAGATAAAAGGATCACTTGAGTCTGGGAGGTGCAGGTTGCAGTGAGCTGAGATTGCACCACTGCACTCCAGCCTGGGTGATCTGGGTGACAGAGTGAGACCCTGTCTCAAAAAGAAAAAAACAAAACAAAACAAAGAATTTATCATAGACTAAAAATGAAGGCACAGAAAAATATATTCCATGCAAATGGAAACCAAAAAGCAAGATAGAGTAGCTCCACTTATATCAGATAGAATGAACTTTAAGTCAAAAACTCTAAAAAGAGAAAAAGCATCATTATATAATGATAAAGGGATCAATTCAGCAAGAGGATATAACAATTATAAACATATATGCACCCAACACTGGAGGACCAAAATACATAAAGTAAATACTGTTAAATTCAAAGGGAGAGATTATAATACAACAATAATGAGGGACTTCAATGCCCCCATTTTCAGCAAAGGACAGATCGTCCAGTCAGAAAATCAACAAGGAAACATCGTATTTAAAATGCATTCTAGACCAAAGGGACCTAACATACATTTACAAAACATTACATCAAACAGCTGCATAATACACATTCTTCTCAACTGCACATAAAACATTCTTCAGGAGAGATCATATGTTAGGCCACAAAACAAGTCTTAAGAAATTTGAGGCCAGGTGTGGTGGCTCACACCTGTAATCCCAACACTTTGGGAGGCCATGGCAGGTGGATCACTTGAGTTCGTGAGTTCAAGGCTAGCTGGGGCAACTTGGTGAGAATTTATCTCTACAAAAAATACAAAAATTAGCCAGGCATGGTGGTGCACATCTGTACTCTCAATGATATAGTTTGGCTCTGTGTCCCCACCCGAACCTCATGTAAAATTGTAATCACCATGTTTCAGGGAGGAACCTGGTGGGAGGTGATTGGATCACGGGGGCAGTTTCCCCTATGCTGTTCTCATGACAGTGAGTGTGTTCTCACGAGATCTGATGGTTTAAATGTGTGTGGCACTTTCCCCTCTCCCGCTGTGCCATGGTAAGATGTGCTTGCTTTCTGCCATGATTGTAAGTTTCCCAAGGCCTCCCAGTCATGCTTCCTGGGAAGCCTGCAGAACTGTGAGTCAACTAACCCACTTTCTTCATAAATTACCCAGTCTCAAATAGTTCTTTATAAGCAGTGTAAAATGGACAAATACACCCAGCTACTTGGGAGGCTGAGGCAGGAGGATCACTTGAGCCTGAAGGGTTGAGGCTGCAGTGAACTGTGTTTGAGCCACTGCACTCCAGCCTAGGCAACAAAGTGAAACCTTGTCTCAAAGTAAAAAGGAAATTTAAGAAGAGAGGTCACATCAAGTGTCCTTTCTGAGCACAATGTTATTAAAAAAAGAAACTGAGTTACAGGAGGAACTTCAGAAATTTTACAAATACACGTAAATTAAACAACATAGTCCTGAATAATCAATGGGTCAATGAAAAAATTAAAAGGAGAATTTAAAATGTTTTGAGGCAATCAAAAATGGAAACATACCAAAACCTACGGAATACAGCAAAAGCAGTTCTGAGAGGAATGTTTATAGGAATAGATGCTTACATCAAAAAAGAAGAAAGATCTCAAGTAAACAACCCAATATTGCACCTCAAGTAACTAGGAAAAAAAGAACAAACTAAACTCAAAATTGATAGAAGAAAAAGAAATAATAAAAATCAGAACAGAAATAAATAAAACTGAGGCTAGAGAAACAATACAAAAGATCCATGAGACAGAGAGTAGGTTTTTTTGAAAATATAAACAAAATCAACAAACCCTCAGCTAGACTAAGTAAAAAAGAAAGAAGACTCGAAATCAAAGGTGAAAAAGAAAACATCACAACTGATACCATAGAAATACAAAGAATCATATGAGACTATTGTATTAGTCTGTTTCATGCTGCTGATAAACACACACCTAAGACTGGGCAATTTACAAAAGAAAGAGGTTTAATTGAACTTACAGTTCCATGTGTCTGGGGAAGCCTCACAGTCATGGCAGAAGGCAAGGAGGAGCAAGTCACGTATTACATGGTAGCAGCAGGCAAAGAGAAAGAACTTGTGCAGGGGAATTCCCCTTTTTAAAACCATCATATCTCATGAGACTTATTCACTATCATGAGAACAGCATGGGAAAGACTTGCCCCATGATTCAGTTACTTCCCACCAGGTCCCTCCCACAACACGTAGGAAATCAAGGTGAGATTTGAGTGGGGACATGGTCAAACTATATCAACTATTATAAACAATTATATGCTAACAAATTGGAAAAAATGGGAATAAATTCCTGGACACACACAATCTACCAAAATTGAATTATAAAGAAATAGAAAATCTGAACAGACCAATAACAAGTGAGAAAATTGAATCAGTAATAAAAAGTCTCCTATTAAAGAAAAACTCAGAACCTGATAGCTGTACTACTAAAATCTACCAAACATATAGAGAACTAATACCAATTATTCTCAAACTATTCCAGAAAATTGGAAAGAAAGAAATATTTTCAAACTCATTCTATGAAGCCAGCATTGCCCTGACACCAAAACCAGACAAGGAAAAAACAAAAAACAAAACAAAACAACAAAAAAAAAACTATAGGCCACTATTCCTGATTAACATAGATGCAAAAATCCTCAACATAATACTAGCAAACTGAATTTAACAGCACATTTAAAAGGTCATTCACTATGTACGTGGGATTCATCCCAGGGATGCAAGAATGGTTCAATATATGCAAATCAATAAATGTGATACATCACATTAGCAGAAAGAAGGACAAAAAGCATATGATCATTTCAATAGATGCAGAAAAAGCATTTGATGAAATTCAGCATCCCTTCATGATAAAAATCTCAGCAAACTGAGTACAGAAGAAACATACCTCAAAACAATAAAGGCCATATATGACAAACCCACAGTTAACATCAAATTGAATGGGGAAAAGTTGAAAGCTTTTTCTCTAAGATCTGGAACTAAACAAGAATACCACTTCTATTCAACATAGTACTAGAACTCCTAGCCAGAGCAATTGGACAAAAGAAAGAAATAAAAGGCATCCAAATTGGAAAGGAGAAAGTCAAATTGCCCTTGTTTGCAGATGACATGATCTCATGTATATAAGACCCTAAAGACTTTACCAAAGAACTGTTAGAACTAACAAATGAATTCAGTATAGTTGCAGGATACGAACATATAAAAATCAGTAGTGTTTCTTATGCTGATAGTAAACTACCTGAAAAATAAGCCAAGAAAACAATCCCATTTTTAATAGCCACACAGATAATAAGGTACCTAGGAATAAATTTAACCAAAGAGGTGAGAGATCTCTACACTGAATATTATAAGACATTGATGAAAAAAATTGAAGAGGACACAGATAAATGGAAAGGTATCCTGCATTAATGAACTGGAAGAATTACTATTTTCAAAATGTTCATACTACCCAAAACAATTTACAAATTCAATGCAATTCTTTTTTTTTTTTTTTTTTTTTTTTTTTGGTGGGGCAGGTGTGGGTTGGGGGAGGGAAGCAGAACAGAGACTCACTCTGTTGCCCAGACTGAAGTACTGGAGTACAGTGGAACAGTCTTGGTTCACTGCAACTTCTGCCTCCCAGGTTCAAGTGATTCTCATGCCTCAGCCTCCTGAGTAGCTGGGATTACAGGCATGTGCCACCATGCCCAGCTAAATTTTGTATTTTTAGTAGAGACGGGGTTTCGCCATGTTGGCCAGGCTGGTCTTAAACCCCTGACCTCAGGTGATCTGCCCACCTTGGCCTCTCAAAGTGCTGGGATTACAAGTGTGAGCCACCATGCCCAGCCCGATTCAATGCAATTCTTTTTGAAATACCAATAACATTCTTCCCAGAAATAGAAAAACAAATCCCAAAATGTGTATGGAACTATAAAAAATGACAAATAGACAAAGCTGGAGGCATCACACTACCTGACTTAAAAATGCACTAATAACCAAAACAGCGTGGTGTTGACATAAAAACAGACACATAGACCAAAGAACAGAACAGAGCCCAGAAATAAATTCACACACTTAACAGCCAACTACATTTGGCAAAGTTGCCAACAACACACAGTGGGAAAGGACAGTCTTTTGAATAAATGGTGCTGGGAAAACTGGACATCCATATGCAGAAGAATGAAACTAGACCACTTTCTCTCACCATATACAAAAATCAACTCAAAATGGGTTAAAGATTTAAACATAAGATGCAAAACTATGAAATTACTAGAAGAAACCATAGGGGAAACACTTTATGACACTGGACTGGGCAAGCATTTTTTTAATAAGACCTCAAAAGTACAGGCAACAAAAGCAAAAAATAGTCAAATAGGATTAGGTCAAACTAAAACACTTCTACATCACAAAGGAAACAATCAACAAAGTGAAGAGACAACCTGTAGAATGAGAGAATATATTTGCAAACTACTCATCTGACAAAAAGTTAACATCCAGAATATGTAAGGAACTCAAACCACTCAATAGCAAAAAATAAATAAATAAATAAATAAATACAATTTTAAAGTGGGCAAAAGATCTTAACAGACATTTATCAAAAGAAAACCTACAAATGACTGACAAGTATTTGAAAAAATGCTCAACATCACTAGTCATCAGGAAAATGCAGATGGAAATCACAAATAGATATCACTCCGCTCCAGTCAGAAGGCTACTATTAGCAAAAAGACAAAAGATAACAAGTGTTGACAAGAATGTGGAGAAAAGGGAACAATTACACACTGTTGGAGGGAATGCAAATTAGTACAACCATTATGGAAAACAGTATGGAGGTTCCTGAAAGAACTAAAAATAGGACTACCATACAATCCAGCAATTCCACTACTGGGTGTATATCCAAAGGAAATGAAATCAGTATGTCTAAGAGATATCTGCACTCCCATGTCTATTGCAGCACTATTCACAATAGCCAAGATATGAAGTCAACCTAAGTGTCCAACAGCAGATGAATGGATAACAGATGAATGGATGAATGTGATATATATATGTGTATATATATACACACACACACATATACATATATACATATATACGTATATATACACATATATACGTATATATACATATACATATACGTATATACACATATACATATATACGTATATATATATACACATATACATATATATACGTATATATATACACACACACACACACAATGGAATCTATTAAAAAGTCCTGTCATTTGTGACAACATTGAGAGGACATCATGTTAAGTGAAATAAACCTGACACAGAAAGACAAATACAGCATGTTCTCACATGAGGAATTTTGAAAAGTTGTTCTCATAGAAGTAGAGAGTAGAACAGTGGTTACCAGAGACTGGAAAGGGTAACAGAAGGGGAGGAATAGGGAGAGGTTGGTCAACAGTCACAATTTGATAAGAGTCACAATTTGATACTCTATTACATACAGAGTAATTACCATTAGCAATAATGTATTATATATTTCAAAATAGCTAGAACAGTTTGAATGCTTTCACCACAAAGAAATAATAAATGTTTAAGATGATGTATGTCCTAATTACTCTGATTTGATAATTATACAATGTATACATGTATCAAAATATTGCATTGTACACCATAAATATGTGCAATTATTATGTTTTAATTTTTTTTTAATTGAGATAGCATCTCACTCTGTCACCCAGGCTGGAGTGCAGTTGCACAATCATGGCTCATTGCAATCCCTGCCTCCTGGGCCCAGGTGATCCTCCCACCTCAGCCTCCCGAGTAGCTGGGACTACAAACGCACATCACCACACCCAGATAACTTTTGTTTTTGTTTTTGTTTGTTCATTGGTTTGTAGAGACAAGGTTTCACCTTGTTGCCCAGGCTGGTCTCGAACTTCTGGGCTCAAGCAGTCTGCCCGCCTCTGCCTCCCAAAGTGCTGGGATTACAGGTGTGAGCCACTGTGGCCAGCTAGAAAAATTTTTAAGAATTTATTTATATGTCACTCTACTCTAATAGGTTCTGGAGGATACTCCAGATTATCTGGAATCTAACCTAGGGCTGGTAACGTTTGTTGTAAACATGAACACATCGATTAATTATGTCAATAAATAACATATTCCATTGGTATATCTTTTTTTTTTTATTGGAGTCTCGCTCTGTCGCCCAGGCTGGAGTGCAGTGGCACGATCTCAGTTCGCTGCAACCTCCGCCTCCTGGGTTCAAGCAATTCTCCTGCCTCAGTCTACTGAGTAGCTGGGATTATGGGTGTGCACCACCAAACCCGGCTAATTTTTGTATTTTTAGTAGAGACAGGGTTTCACCATGTTGGCCAGGCTGGTCTCAAACTCCTGACCTCATGATCTGCCTGTCTTGGCTTCCCAAAATGCTGGGATTGTAGGAGTGAGCCACCACACCCAGCCTCTGCTATCACTTTTTAGACATCATGTAGTGCTTTCCCAGTAGATGTTTGACTTTTGTACCCTTACATAAAGGTATAAAAGTTTTCATACAACTTCATACATTCATGCTTCGAACAAGTATGTATGGAGGGCCCACTATGTCTGCTGGACTAAGCGCAGGAGATATAGTGTGATAATTAAGAAAGTCTGTGCCCTCAGGTAATGTCTAGTCTTGCATTAAAATTCTGTCAGACCATGTGTCCCAAGTTGGCATTCAAAAAACATCTCCGGTGGCTCTGCCTATGTCGGCCTCTGCAACCTGGGCCTTATTTGCCAAGCATTTCCATTTTCTGGGCACTGGATGGTACATTGAGGCCAAGAGCCCCTGCCTTTGAGGAGTGGCTGTTTTAACAGGAGCCAGATGGTGAGAGAAACACAGTTGCCTGAAGTTTAATTTTAATGTTCTGTGAATACTTTTTTTTCCCTTTCATGCTGCAGGGGATCTGGGCCAAGGACTGTGAGTGGTGAAGAGGAAGAGAGAAATGAAAAACTAAAAATGACAAACAAGGGAAGCAATGATACATTCTCACTTGAGAAGTAACTGAGAAGACATTGCTGGGGGTTGCTGGGGGTGTATGCAAATGAGATGTAAATGTGACATCCACGCCAGCTCAAAATTTTAGGGCCTTTTTATTTTAAATACTTGGATGTGGGACATTGGGAATATTCTCCTGGAGTCTACTGTGCGAAGTTATTGACTGCTAACCTCATGCACCCTCACTATGTATTTGATCTTGGCTGAAATGTTTCCCCATTCTGGCCCTTTGTACCTCCTCTCACATGACAGAGTTGGATACATAGTCTTTAAGTTTTCATCCAGCTTTTACATAGGTTCCTAGAGAGTAATAATTTCCTTTGCCATCAGTATTTTCAAGAAATCAGCCCCAGAAGTTGAACACTCCTACAAGGCCTAATCATGGTGAAGATTTGTGGGGTGGGGGGGCGGAGGGTGGGGTGGGAGATGGAGGAAACAGGAAAAGATTGTTTTGGGAAAGAATTAACTACACAGGTCAGAATAGGAGAGACTAGAAAAGATGGGGCTTGCCAGGCGCAGTGGCTCATGCCTGTAATCCCAGCACTTTGGAAGGCCAAGACAGGCAGATCACTTGAGGTCAGGAGTTCAAGACCAGCCTGGGCAACATAGTGAAACCCTGTCTGTACTGAAAATATATATATATATATATATATAAATTAGCTGGGTGTGGTGGCACATGCCCATAATCCCAGCTACTCAGGAGGCTGACGCAGGAGAATCACTTCAACCCAGGAGGTGGAAGTTGCAGTGAGCCAAAATCAGGCCACTGCACTCCAGCCTGGGCGACAGAGCAAGACTATGTCTCAAAAAAGAAAAGAAAAGAAAAGGTAGGGCTGTGCCCAACACAAAGTTGCGAGAAAGTCCCCATGATTTTTTAGGATCCACAGAGATACAGAAACCATAGGTTATCTGTGTCTTCTTGGCAGGTGCACCTAACACAATGCTCTGTACATATTAGGTTATAAAATTTGTTTAATTTTTGAACTGAGAAAATTTCATAGAATTTATTTTCTTGGTAGCTAGTAAATTCTCTAGTATTAAAGGTGTCTGAGCAGAGACTTGATGCCCACCTATGAAGGTTGTTGAAAAAGGTGAATCATGCATTAGTCAATGCCTTTTAGAGTGGTCCTCAATGTCACTTGAAGCCCTGTGATCCTACATTTCTATAAAGTTTAATCAGATTAGATTGAATTGAATCCTCTCAAACTCTCAAATTTTAGGCCTAGCTGCCCCTAAGCCTAATTTGTTTTTTAAGATGGAGTTTTGCTCTTGTTGCCCAGGCTGGCATGCAATGGCATGATCTCTGTTCACTGCAACTTCCGCCTCCCGGGTTCAAGGGATTTTCCTGCCTCAGCCTCCCAAGTAGCTAGGATTACAGGCATGTGTCACCATGCCTGGCTAATTTTGTATTTGTAGTAGAGATGGGGTTTCACCATGTTGGCAAGGCTGGTCTCGAACTCCTGACCTCAGGTGATCTGCCCACCTTGGCCTCCCAAAGTGCTGGGATTACAGGCATAAGCCAATGCACCTGGCCCTGAGACCTAAGTCTAAGTCCTCTTGTAGCCTTCTCTTGCACCAGCACCAACCAATGTTTGGTTATCCCTCCCATCTCTAATCCCCAATCTTTCATTTGGAGCCTAATCTGGGAAAAAATAACAACCTATCAGATTCTCTTATCCTGTACCCTTCCTGAGACACCATCAGTCAACTTTCAATTCACTTGTTGGTTCCTTTCATTTCTCCCGAAGTCATTTCCTTCAGCCAGTTATTTATTGGTTATTACTTCCGCCACATATTTATTCAACCAATAAAAATTTATTGAGCACCACTGTGTATCCTGTTACGTGTTTGGAGCTATCTAGAATACTGAACATGCAAACAGGCCGGGCACAGTGGCTCACGCCTGTAATCCCAGCACTTTGGGAGGCCAAAGCAGGTAGATCTCTTGAGGTCAGGAGTTCGAGACCAAACTGGCCAACATGGAAAAACCCCATCTCTACTAAAAATACAAAAATTAGCCAGGTGTGGTGGTTCACACCTGTAATCCCAGCTACTTGGATGGCTGAGGCAGGAGAATTGCTTGAATCCAGGAGGTGGAGGCTGCAATGATCCAAGATCATGCCACTGCACTCCAGCCTGGGTGAAGGAGTGAGACTCTTTCTCAAAAAAAAAAAAAAAAAAAAAAAAAGAACGTGTAAACAGCAAACACTTTGGTCCCTGCCCTCCATAGAGGCTAAACTGCCACATGTTTAGTAATTTTCAAAATGAGCTTAAGGCAGTTTATTACCAAGAGCTAAGTGGCATATCCAGTGTGAAAATGCTGTAGGATTTCAGAAGAAAGAAATACTACTTTCAGTTAGGGTGGTCTGGAGCAAAGGAAGTTTAAATTAGACATTTAAATATGGGAAAGATAAATCTTGACGGGGAGGAACAAGAAGAAGACAGGAATTAGAGCAGTGTGTTACATGCAAGGGTCTGACTGGATGGAGCACAGGGGAAACCTACGCTGACAGACATGGGAGATAAGACTGATATTTTTTATACAGAGTAGGAGGCAGCTATAACCATGTTTCTGAAAGCTGTCATCCTCAGCATTACAGTCCTGGAGGCTGTGACCCAGCCCCATTAACACTAGGGGCTATTTACGACTGAAGTAGGAAATGTGAAGTCATCAACCCTGAAAGCCTCATTCCAGCTACTTCCTACACGCAGAACCTTCCTAGGAATGAAGCATGTGTTGGCAGCAGCAAGCATCATTTGCAGGAAGGTCAGCAATCAGCCAGCTGGAAGGGAAGATGGGGTGGGACGTGGAGATTTGAGTGAGAGGGTAGATGTAGGTGGAAGGTTGAGGTGACAGACTGTGAGAAGGGTGGAGAAGAGGAGGTGTACCTGAGATATTGTTAGGAAGCACAGACATGTTGAGATAAAATTACTTGCAACTTTGTCTGCAGCACTGTGCTATTTCAGCACCCTTGTGACTGGACAGCACTTTCCCCCTTTGGCCACTCTGAGTCTGTTATGTGATATCTTCTTCCAACTCTACTTCTGATTCACCTTTTCCCTATTCTTTCCAATGGCCATCTCCACTGCCCTTTACCATCCTCAGCAGGCTGCCTGAATGAATTACTGTCATCTCCTTGGAGATGCCTGCATTTAGCAACCCAAGGAAAATCTATTCTACTAGGATGCAATCAAATGGGTTGATTTTTTTGTCTTTGTTTCCTGGAAGACAAAACTACATTTGGCAATTTTAGTGAATCTAAATTGCAACCCATAATCAGTATAAGCTATCATTCACTGGGAGCTAACTAGGTGCCAGGCACTATGCTGATCTACATACTGTGCATGCTATTTCTTGTTTGATTCTCACAACATTCCTTGTGAGGTAGGAATTTTCAACTCCTCTTTACATAGATGAGGAACCTGGCAATCACAGATATTATGTAGCTTATCCAACACTATACCACCAATAAATATCAGAACCAGGATTTATACCTGGTTTAAGTGATTTCCAAGGCCAAAGTGTGGACAACAGGATTTTAGGTGAAACACAAGTTAACAAATGTATTTCAATAGTTATTGTATTAGTCTGTTTTCACACTGCTATAAAGAACTGCCTGAGACTGGATAATTTATAAAGGAAAGAGGTTTTAATTGACTCATAGTTCAGCATGGCTGGGGAGGCCTCAGGAAACTTACAATCATGGCAGAAGGCAAAGGGGAAGCAAGGCACCTTCTTCACAAGGCAGCAGGAATGAGAACAAATGCAGGAGAAACTACCAAACACTTATAAAACCATCGGATCTTGGCCGGGTGCAGCAGCTTATTCCTGTAATCCCAGTACTTTGGGAGGCCGAGGCAGGTGGATTACTTGAGGTCAGGAGTTCAAGACCAGCATGGCCAACATGGTGAAACCCCTTCTCTACTAAAACCACAAAAATTAACCAGGCTGGTGCGTGCCTGTAGTCCCAGCTACTCAGGAGGCTGAGATGGGAGAATTGCTTGAACCCGGGTTGTAGTGAGCCGAACTCATGCCACTGCACTCCAGCCTGGGCAACAGAGCAAGGCTCTGTCTTAAAAAAAAAGATCTCATGAGAACTTACTCACTCACTCACCATCATGAGAACAGCATGGGGGAAACCACCCTTATGATTCAATTACCTCCACCTCGTCTCTCTATTGGGGATTATGGGGATTACAATTCAAGATGAGATTTTGGGTGGGGACATAGCCAAATCATATCAGTTATACATTTATTTTAGTATGCATTAAAGATACAACTGTTGCATTACATCCATGGACTTTAATGAAATTGGCAGGTCTAGACTTAGTTTATTTTTAAATAAGTTGGATTTTTTAAATATTAAGTAAATATTACAACTAGAATGAAAATTGGCAAAAAATATGACTGACTTTTGGAAAACACTGCACTAGGCTAGACTTTGCATATTATTGAGTGATATTTCTGAGAATTTACCCAATCCCCAATCTTGCAAATGCCACTATAGCATATAATTTCCCTATAAAATGCATAGTCAACAAAGGCACACTGATATGCAAATGCTAGGGGTTCTGCTAAATGGACTCACTAGGAAAGTGACTCATTGCAAACACCAGTGGGGCAGTGCAGATGGTTGAAATTCATAGCTCAGCAAAATTGCAAGTTTTCTTTCTGAAAAATCTTCAAGGTTAATTCGGTGAGTTCCTAGAGTCCCTTGTAATCAGCTCTCACCAAGTACCTATTCCTACTTCATCTATATTGATGTCTCCCAACCTGGAATTTTGGAACTTCTGGAGATCCATAAAGATCACAAGAGAGGTATCTTAGATCTAATATTAATATCTCCAAAAGCTGATGAAAGTGACACTTTAGTAAAGCAACACAGGCTAATTAAAAACATCAAGTGTTGCTGTTTATAGTTGGAATAACATAAACTCTATGCAGTAATTCTAATTATTTTTTTCTTTTTTAGAGACGGAGTCTTGCTCTGTCACCCAGGCTGGAGTGCAGTGGGGCAATCTTGGCTCACTGCAAGCTCCACCTCCTGGGTTCACGCCATTCTCCTGCCTCAGCCTCCTGAGTAGCTGGGACTACAGGCGCCCGCCACCATGCCCAGCTAATTTTTGTACTTTTAGTAGAGACGGGATTTCACCATGTTAGCCAGGATGGTCTTGATCTCCTGACCTTGTGATCCACCCACCTCAGCCTCCCAAAGTGCTGGGATTACAGGCGTGAGCCACTGCACCCGGCCTAGTAATTCTAATTTTTTAATTTTTATTCAAAACCTGGTTGGTAGTTAGTCTTTAATTTATAAAAATGAGAACTGCTCAGGTAAGGTGGCTCATGCCTGTAATCCCAGCACTTTGGGAGGCCAAGACTGGAGGATCACTTGAGACCAAGAGTTCGAGACCAGCCTGGGCAACGTGGTGAGACCTCATCTCTACAAAAAAATTTTTAAAGTTAGCTGGGCATGGCGATGCATGCCTATAGTCTCAGCTACTGGGGAGGCTGAGGTGGGAAGATCGCTTGAAGCTGGGAGTTAGAGGCGGTAGTGAGTTGTGATTGCATCACTGCACTACAGCCTGGACAACAAAGCGAGACCCTGTCTCAACAACAACAAAAAATGGGAGCTGCATTACATTAATAAGTGTTTTCGGAGGCAGCCACAATATTTCAGTATATGAAGTTTACAGAATATACTGCTTTGAGGTGAAAGGAGAGAGCCACTCTTGTAAATGATTCCAGGTTTGTTACCTATTAATGTCCTATTTTGTGCTGCACTTTGCTCTATCCAAGGATTTTTTGTATGTAAGAAACAGAAAACTATTCAAGTTGAGCTCAAATAAAGAGGAGGTGTACTGCAAAGGCAGCACAATCTTTCAGATGCTAAACACATCAGGCTTCCTTAGGACTTGGATCTGGCTTGTATGTGGGAGGCTGTCAGGGATGGAGCCTCCATGCATCTCCCTCTTACTGGAGGTGAATGATGTTGTATCTCTGCTTCTTCTTGTATGCCTTTCCCCATCTCTTCACTGCAGTGTGGCCCCCTCTGCTTAGCCATGGTTTCTGCTCCCCACTAATGCAGCTTACACATGGTTCTGGTTGCCATGGTGCCAGCCCCTAGCCTGATTGAAATGGGCTTCTGAGTTTAGCCACCACAAGCACATTTGTTCCCCAGATTCCTGGGAAAGACCAGTTTGGAGATGTCCATTCCTGGTCCAATAAGCCATGCCCAGAGAGGGAGCCATGACATGGTACTCTAGACTATACCTAAGTGGCAGCCTAGACTATATCTCAAACTGAAATGAAAGAGCAGTTCCCAGAGAAAGGGGCTATGGACAGGCAGGCATCCCAACACACATTCACTACAAGCTTTTATTTGCAAAAGATATCAAGTCTTCTTGGAAATGGTCACTATATAAATCTTAAAGAATAGTAATTAATATTAACAAGGAACTCATCAGATATTTATTGAGAACCTGTTATGGGCAGCTGTGTGGATGCTACAGTCTGGTTAGGAGGGAAAAGGATATACACACACATAAATGAAAAGTATGTAATTATTGACGTAAGTGTGGCCCCACCAAAAAGCAAGACAGGAAGTCACTAAAGGGAGGAACCAGAGATCAGAATTGCTTGGCAAGCCCAGCACTTCCCCCTCTCAGCCTATTCCTACTGTTTCATCTCGCGGTGACCACCTTTCCTCTCCACCTCTCTTTAACCTGTATCAATGCAAACCCTACCTCCCTACACCACCCCCCAAAAAATCTTTCCTGATTAAACCAGCCAGAAGTAATTTCTGCATTCATAGAACCTTTCACAGCACTTCTAAGCACTTCTTTTAGGGCACTTAAACCTTTGTGCTGTTCATTATATAATCATTGAAGTACAGTAATATCTCTTCTACCAGACTGTAACCTCCTTGATAATAAAAACCATGATAGTCAAAGGACCTAGGGCAGCTCCTTGCACATGGTAGGCATTTAATTAATATCTATCACATTAATTAATGCATAAAATACCTGCATATAAGCATGAATAAGCAAACAGTAGGTATATGTAGGTAGGATTTGAACATGTGCTACAGAGAGGATATTCAAGGTAAGGTAAGAGAAAGTTTGTTTATTTATTTATTATTTATGTAGGCAGAGTCTCACTGTTGCCCAGGCTGGACTATGGAGGGCAGTGGTGCGATCTCAGCTCACTGCAGCTTCCGCCTCCTGGGTTCAAGCGATTCTCATGCTTCAGCCTCCTGAGTAGCAGGGATTACAGGCATGCACCACCACCCCCGGCTAATTTTTGTATTTTTAGTAAAGACAGGGTTTCTCCATATTGGCCAGGTAGGTCTTGAACTCCTGGTCTCAAGTGATCCACCTGCCTCAGCCTCCCAAAGTGCTGGGATTACAGGTGTGAGTCACCACGCCCAGTCAGATAAGAGGAAGTTTTTGTTTTTCCTTCACAGTGACAGCAGTTTACATGTAGACACCAAATTCATCCAGGGCACATTTTTCTGAGCCTCACCTGGTATCAGTAGATTAAGTAACCATGCTTGTCTTTCTTACCAATCTAAGCCCACTGTTACAGACTCAACAAAAATGTCCACCCTTTCTCTCTTGACTGCATCAAACTATAGAGGCTTGATAAGCCAATTGCTCTTTCCCAGGCCCTTTGTGGCTAGAAGTGATCATATGATATACATCTGGCCAATGAGCTTTAGGAGAAATCAGCCAGCTGGTTCTTGGCTTCTGCAGAAGACATTTCCTGACAAGACCACTGCAAAACTTCTTGTAAACAAAGAATAAATATTCTTACAGCTTAAGTCACCTTGCTTGAGTTTTCTGTCACTTGTAGCTGGACAAATGTAATAGACCCATCTAACAAATATTCCATTAATTCAGCAAGTTATTCTTTTAAGCTCCTACTAAAACCTAAGCCCTATTCTCTTCTCACCTTACACAAAGTTTGCCATCCTCGCACATACTCTATTCTTTTTTCTCTCTTTATCTATTGGGAAATATTGGTCCTTCCTCTCCTCTACTTTACATTTTGTGGGTCCATGAGAAAACACCTGCTTAATTAATTCATTCTATTCCAAAATAGAGAAGGAAGGCAATTAGACTTAACCCATGCTTTACAAACTGACATGCCTCTCAGGTGAATCTTTACAACCACACTTTGTGGTATTTTACGCTCATTTTGCAAACAGAAACCTTAGGCTAATTGTAACCGAGGTAAATGTGATGAAGCCAGATTGTCTTTACCTGTTTAATTGCAAAAGCCATGCTCTTTCGGCCTCCTTGGGCTCTCTCCCACCTACTCTCACTTCCATATAAATTGGCTTCTTTGGGCTTATGCTGTTTAAACAATCAACAAAGTCCACACATTCACCTCCATTTCTATGTCTGTATTTGTCCTTCACAGTCAGCACTTGGTTATCAGCATCCATGGGAAGACAGCAGTTGCACAGATACCCCAAACATAACTCAGTCTCAGAAACCCACAAGGTAATGTGTTTTGACAGCAGATTTTCCTTCTAAGTGCTTGTGGAGGCTAACACTAAGAAAAACTGGAGCTTTCTAAATACTCATCCAACGATGGCAAAGTAAAAAAGCCCAGGCTGAGAAAGGCAGCCACCTGGTAGGGTTAGAAATGACAGCAGGTGGGTGCCGGGCGCAGTGGCTCACACTTGTAATCCTAGCATTTTCGGAGGCCGAGGTGGGAGGATCACCTGAGGTCAGGAGTTCAAGCCAGCCTGGCCAACATGGTGAAACCCCATCTCTACTAAAAATACAAAAATTAGCCAGGCATTTTGGAGCATGCTTGTAATCCCAGTGACTCGGGAGGCTGAGGCAGGAGAATCGCTTGAATCCAGGAGGCGGAGGTTGCAGCAAGCTGAGATCATGCCACTGCACTCCAGCCTGGGCAACAGAGTAAGACTGTCCCAAAAAAAAAAAAAAAAGAAATGACAGTAGGTGGGGTAGTAGGCCCCATGTAGACAGTGGGAAGTTAGCTACACAATTGTATGTTCAGACTCTGAACTCAGAAATTAATACAGATCAAAAGAAAAGCCATGCTCTTTTGACTTTTTCTAAGGAAACGAGGGAGAAGAGGAGGAAGAAACTAGCAGCAGCTACAATTTACTGAGTATCTGCAATGTGTTCCTGTTCTCTCACAAGTAGTCTATCATTTAACTCTTACAGCAAGCCTGGAAGTCAGGAACCATCACATCCTCTCTTTTTAACATAGAGTTTATCATTTTAACCATTCAAATATACAATTTACAATCTAAGTATATTGCATACAATATAGATTGTACATATACAATTTAAGTGCATTCACAATATTGTGCAAGCATCAACACTGTCCCTTTTCAGAATCTTTCATCATCTCAGACAGAAACTCTGTACCTATTAACAACTTCCCATTCCCTCCCTTCTTCCCCCAGCCCCTAGTCTACTTTCTGTATCTATGAATTTGCCTATTCTAGTTATCTTGTATTTGTCTGTTCTTGCACTGCTATGAAGAAATACATGAGACTGGGTAATTTATAAAGAAAAGAGGTTTAATTTGCTTACAGTTCTGAAGACTGTACAGGTAGCATGGCTGAGAAGCCCTCAGGAAACTTTCAATCATGGCAGAAGGTGAAGGGGAAGCAGGGATGTCTTACATAGCTGGAGCAGGAAGAAGAGAGGTGCCACGCACTTTTTTTTTTTTTTTTTTTTGAAATGGAGTCTCATTCTGTCACCCAGAGTGCAGTGGCACTATCTCAGCTCACTGCAACATCTGCCTCCTGGGTGCAAGCGATTCTCATGCTTCAGCCTCCCGAGTAGCTGGGATTACAGGCGGGCACCACCACACCCAGCTAATGTTTGTATTTTTAGTAGAGACAGGGTTTCACCATGCTGGCCAGGCTGGCCTCGAACTCCTGACCTCAGGTGATCCACCTGCCTCAGCCTCCCAAAGTACTGGGATTACAGGTGTTAGCCACTGCGCCCAGCCAGATGCCACACACTTTTAAACAACCAGATATCATGAGAACTCACTCACTATCACAAGAACAGCAAGGCAGAAGTCCTCCCCCATGATCCAATCACCTCCCACTACGCCCCTCCTCCAACACTGGGGATTACAACTGGACATGAGATTTGAGTGGAACACAATTCCAAACCATATCATTGTATAAGTGAGATCATGCAACAGTTGTCCTTTTGAGTCTGGTTTACTTCATTTAACATAAAGTGACGGTTCACACACGTTGTATGTAACCAGATACATACTATATACAGTGGAACACTCTATGGTAAAATTATAGTTAAAATGAATGATGAACTATAACTATGTTATTAGCATTGGCTGGGCATGGTGGCTCATGCCAGCAATCCCAGCACTTTGGGAGGCCAAGGTGAGAGGATTGCTTGAGGCCAGGAGTTTAAGACCATCCTGGGCAACAAAGAGACACCCCATCTCTATTTTTTTTAATAACTATATTAACATCCTGAAGAGTTCTTCAAAATATTATGTTGAGAGCAAAACAGCAAATGGCAAACTAATATGTAAACTCTGGGATTAAATCATAGTTCTTCCACTTTCTAACTGTATATAACTGTGGAATTTACTTCTCTGTGTCTGTTTTCCATCTGTAAAATAAGAATAA
Source organism: Homo sapiens (assembly GCF_000001405.40). Classification (NCBI taxonomy): domain Eukaryota; kingdom Metazoa; phylum Chordata; class Mammalia; order Primates; family Hominidae; genus Homo; species Homo sapiens. The sequence goes on along the minus strand of NC_000011.10, from coordinate 57,877,815 downwards.
TAATTGGACCTAATGTTGGTGTCGAGGGACTAAATGGACTTAATATGTACCTTTGCCTTAAAAGAGTGCTGGCACCAATAAATGCTCATGATTATTATTATTACTTATAGATTCACATCAGTAGTAAAATATAGACTTGCTAAAAAAAATTATTCTAAACGTGGAAATAATGGGAAAAGGTGTGGGATGTCCTTTCAATATCATATGGGGACATTATTTAATAGATTTAATAGGTCCACCAAGGGTAATTCAGGAGAATATACTTGATTTGACTCACTGCTTCCTATTGACTAAAAGTCTCAAATTTAGTGAAATTACATGTTAACTTACACATTCTTGTTCAGTAGAGATGCAAATAATTTCTGTCTTATAGAAAAGATAGCCCCAAAGTTTACAGTTTATTGCATATAGGACAAGAACCACTTGAATATCCAATCCAATATCTTATTGTTTTAATTTTTTTGAAAATTATGCTTTCCTGCACTGAAGGATACAAGCCAAATTTATGATAATGGTTGTCTCTCTAGCAAGGGAGAGGCATAGGACTCGGGTAGAATACATAGGGATTTCAATGACCTGTAGTGTGTTATCTGATTAAATATTTATGTAAGGCTGGGCATGGTGACTCATGCCTGTAATCCCAGCACTTTGAGAGGCTGAGGCGGGAGGATCACTTGAGGTCAGGAGTTTGAGACCAGCCTAGACAACATGGTGAAACTCTGTCTCTACTAAAAATACAAAAATTAGCTGGGCATAGTGGCACATGCCTGTAATCCCAGCTACTCGGGAGGTTGAGGCATGAGAATCACTTGAACCTGGGAAGTGGAGATTGCAGTAAGCCAAGGTCACACCACTGCACTCCAGCCTGGGCAACATAGTGTGACTCTGTCTCAAAAAAAAAAAAACACCTTGTAAACTGGGCACAGTGGCTCACGCCTATAATCCCAGCACTTTGGGAAACTGAGGTGGATGGATCACCTGAGGTCAGGAGTTCGAGACCAGCCTAGCCAATATGGTGAAACTCCCTCTCTACTAAAAATACAAATATTAGCCAGGCATGGTAGTGGGCATCTGTGATCCCAGCTACTCAGGAGGCTGAGGCAGGAGAATCGCTTGAACCTGAGAGGCGGAGCTCGCAGTGGGCCAAGATCGCCCCACTGCACTCTGCTTGGGTGATAAAGTGAGACTCCATCTCAAATAAATAAATATGTATGTAGGCCAGGCATGGTGGCATGTGCCTGAAGTCCCAGCTATTCAAGACGGTGAGGAGGCAGGAGGATCGCTTGAGCCCAGGAGTTTGAGGCCAGTCTGGGCAACAGAATGAGACCCCATCTCTGAAAAAATTTTTTAATACAAATAAAAAATAAACATATTTGAAACGTATAACAAAAATATTCATGTTTATTAAGTCAAGTGGTAGACACATCTAAATCTTTGTGTTTTCAATTAAAAAAAAATTACCCAAAAAAATCAAAGTAACAAAGTACTGAAGCTTCTTGTTAGGGCAAGACAAAAAGCTCTGTGCATTCATTTATGCCAAATTATTGACCAGGCACTCTTTGACAGGATGATGGGACCACATAAAGATTTGTAGACTGGAATCCAAGAGACACGGGTTACAATTTTGAGTCTAGAACTAATTAGTTGTATGACCCTGGGTAAGTCACTTCTCATTGAACACCAGCTTTATTTCCTGTTAAGATGAGTGCTGAGCTGGGCATGGTGGCTCACGTCTATAATTCCAGCAGCACTGAAAAATTATGTGCATACCACTCCACTTATGAATTTTCTTTCTTTCTTTTTTTTTTTAGTCAGGGTCTCCCTATGTCACCCAGACTAGAGTGCAGTGGCACAATCTCAGCTCACTGCAACCTCCACCTCCTGGGTTCAAGAGATTCTCTCACCTCAGACTCCCAAGTAGCTGGGTCTACAGGTGTGCACCACCAAACCCGGTTAATTTTTTTGTGTTTTTAGTAGAGATGGTGTTTCGCCATGTTGGCCAGACTGGTCTCGAACTCCTGGCCTCCAGTGATCTGCCCGCCTTGGTCTCCCAAAGTGCTGGGATTACAGGCTTGAGCCAGTGAGCCCAGCCTCACTTAGGAATTTTCTTTAACCCAGTTCCAAACTGAAAAAAAACTTCAGTATAAGGAATTGCAACAAAGTTTTAATTTTTCTATGATGCTTCGATGTTTTTAAAAATTACCATTAAAAGGTTCAAATATATACCAAAGCAGACAGTATAATAAACTGACTTCCATGTACCTATCACTCAGCCTCAACATTTATCATTTTATAATCAGTTCTTGCTTTATCTTTCCACTCTTCCCAGCCAGATTATTTTAAAGCAAATTCCAACGTTCTATCCTTTCCTGGTGCTTTTTAAAAAAATGTCCAAATGAGTCTTTTTTTTTTTTTTTTTTTTTTTTTTGATGCGTCTACTTTGCTGGTGCCCCAAGCATGTTCTTGGTCTTCCCATGTTCGGGACTCCAATCCTGCCTCAGGCACTGCTGTACCGTCACATCTCAGCTGAGAGCCCGCCGGACTGGATACTGTGTAATTCCCTTTAGCTGGAACAATCCATTATTCACAGAACCACAACCACCAGCACTCCAGTAGCCTCAGCTGAGCTCCTCGAGACGCAGTCTCAGGACAGCGGAGTCAGCTGACACAAGCGTAAGGAGGAACCCACCCTCCCACCACAAAGCGCTGTCAGAGAGGGAGGAAAGGAGGAGAGAAGCAACAACTGGGAGATGATCAGTCTGTGTGTTCGCTCCTGGTAACAAATCCCTTGGCTCCTCCTTATGCCCATCAGCATTTCCTGTGCTTAGAAGTTAGCTTCATTTCTGGAAATATCATCTTTTTATTTTTTTATTTTTTGTCTTGTTTTTCCCTTGGATTTTGAGATGGAGTTTCGCTCTTGTTGCCCAGGCTGGAGTGCAACGGCGCGATCTCGGCTCACCGCAACCTGTGCCTCCTGGGTGAAAATGATTCTCCTGCCTCAGCCTCCCGAGTAGCTGAGATTACAGGCATGGGCCACCACACCCAGCTAATTTTGTATTTTCAGTAGAGACGGGGTTTCTCCGTGTTGGTCAGGCTGGTCTCGAGCTCCTGACCTCAGGTGATCTGCCCGCCTCAGCATCTCAAAGTGCTGGGACCACAGAAGTGAGCCACTGCACCCAGCAGCATTTTTTTTTAAATATCATATTTTTTAATTGCTAATATAAACTACCCATTCCATTAACAAGGCCCCTAGTGCCTCCTCCGATGAGTCCCCAGTGGGTGAAGCCTAGAGAGCTTCCTGGAAGGGCCCCAGAGTCCCTGCCCTAGTGTGCTCCCAGCTCCCCTCAGTGCTCCGTCACTGCTGGGACCCAGCCTTGAGCAACAGTGACGGAAGTTTATGACGCAAAAAGGGACTTAGCTCTAGCCCTGGCCCTAACCCTAGACCACTCTCAGCTCCTTACCAACCTCTGAACTTAGTGTCCCCGATTTGTTTGATCAGTATTGAGGCCCACAACAGACCCTCAATGTTCAGCAAAGAAGGCCCCTTGGGTCATTTAGTCAAAAACCTCATAGACTGTCCCCCAGGTTCCTGTAAGCTCCCAAGGGACAAGATGACTTTTCCTCGTTCAGACTTCAGAATCCAAGGAGGAGGCAGGACGTCTCCTACCGGCTCGTGCTAAGACTTTCTACTGCCAAGAACGGAGTGACAATGGCTAGGCATCATGGCTCAAGCCTGTAATCCCAGCACTTTGGGAGAATGAGGCAGGGGAATAGCTTGAGCCCAGGAGTTCGAAACCAGCCTGGGGGGCAACATAGGGAAATCCTACCTTAAAAAAAACTAGAACGACAAACTCCATCTCCTCAAGGAGATCCTAACCCCCCTATCCCCGCTGTGCCTCAAGAACAAAACAAATGCCTGAAATCTAGAGGGAGAGATAATCTCTTCTTCCCTGAGGCCTGAACCTCCCAGGTAGGGAGGTGGTGTGTTTCAAGGACCTTCCAGAGCTCTAAGCCTCCAGAGCCACCAGAGATCAAGAGGAGATGAAGCCAGCTTTATAAGCTCTGGGCAGGACCAAGATGCAACCGTAGCTTCAGTCCTGAATGCCACATCCTGTTTGCCTGAGCTGTGTGTCTTATCAAGTCTGAATGTGTGGCTACCCCAGGAACAGCTTTAGAGAGGAGAAATTGAAGATACAGGCTGGAGTGGAAGGGAGTCCCAGAACTACCCCTACGTGGCTGGCCTGGGAGGATCTTGAGTCCCCCCAGCCATCTTGAGGTATATCGGGCTGGGGAGCACCATCTGCTAAGGTTGGTATTTTTCTATTGCAGATTTTACTGCGTTCCACCAGAGCTGATTCAGAAGGCTGAGGTTGCCTGTTCTCTTCCCCTTCCCTTCAAAATCCACACCCACACCATCCCTTACTCTGTCAGCCTTTAAGCATTTCCTGAGATCCCATGGTATTCAACGGTCTTGAGCAATGTTTTCCAGCTCCCCATTCATCAGGTACGCATAATCTAACTTGGTGGAAGTTAATGTACATCAGGTACCTACCTTGTTTCCAGAAGTGTGCTGAGTACAACATTGACACGCATTGTCTTTCAATCCTCACAGAAACTGAGGCTCAGAGAGGTTAAGTAACTCTGCCAAGTTTCCTGACCCCTTCCAATGCACCTTTTGCCCGGTAAATGTTTACTGAGGTTAATTCCCAGTTCCAGGTGATCGCACTTCCCCATCTCCTCCAACTAGCAACACCTTTCTCATTCCTCAAGGCTCAGCCCCGTGCCTCCTGGTCCTGAAGTCTCCCCAGAGCACCCCAAGCTGCAATCACCCTTCCCTCAATGGGTTCCTGCTGGCAGTGGGCTCCACCCAACTTCACTCGTTTTCATGGAAGCAAGTGTGTCTCTTAACAAAATTTTAAGATCTTAAGTGGCCACAGCCGTGTCTTATGCTATTGTTTAAATACTTTGAACAACTATGATGGTTTAAATACTTTGAACAACCATAATTGTTTAAACCCTTTTGAACGACTGCAATTGTTCAAATATTTTCAGATTATAGTAGTTGTTCAAATAGTCACTGACAGCTTCTTATATAGCTTAAAACAGCCTCTGCTCTCAGAAGTTATGTGATAGGGAAGCAAAGCAACACCATGCAGGAGGGAAGAAAGACTTAGAAACATTGACAGACCCTGTTACACAATTCTAAATATGTGTGTGAGTAAAAATCAACTGCCAGATGACAACAGCACACAAAACAAGGACTCACTGGGGAAAGGGAAGTCTTACTAGAAGGACTGAGGGATGGCATTGCGGGATTATAGAGGAAGCCGGAAGGGATGATAGAGGAGACCTGGAGGGATGATAGAGGAGACCTGGAGGGATGCTAGAGGAGACCTGGAGGGATGCTAGAGGAGACCTGGAGGGATGCTAGAGGAGACCTGGAGGGATGCTTGAGGAGACCTGGAGGGATGATAGAGGAAACCTGGAAATACTCTGCACTTGGGAACCTCAAAGTACACCTGGAAGGCTGTTGCCGAGGTCACAACAATTGAGAATTATTAATAGGTGTGTCTCTGAAGGAATCAAATGGCCATATGGAAGTTGAGATGGGAGCAGTGGAGGATTAGGAGGGAATGCAGTACTGGGCCGTGGGAAGATGGTGGAAGAGAGGGATTGGGAAGGTAAACAAGAAACATTATTTGCTGGATTCCAGGAATTCAGCCTAAATATATGGCTGGGCATGGTGGCTCATGCCTGTTATCCCAACACTTTGGGAGGCCAAGGTGGGCAGACCACCTGAGGTCAGGAGTTCAAGACCAGACTGACCAACATGGTGAAACCCTGTCTCTACTAAAAATACAAAAATTAGCCAGGCATAGTGGCACGTGCCTGTAATTCCAGCTACTCAGGAGGCTGAGGCAGGAGAATTGCTTGAAGCCGGGAGGCAGAGGTTGCAGTGAGCCGAGATCATGCTGCTGCACTCCAGTCTGGGTGACAGAGCGAGACTGTCTCAAAAAAAAAATTGTTTTAAATAATAATAATGCTGAGTATGACTTTGTGAATGTGCGTGCCTAAGGGACTGGTCTGTCATCCTATCAGAGAAAAATGAAAGCAATAATACTCATTGTAGATCAGAGACTCGTGGACATTTAGATTTGAACAGAAGGAAACCCCTAAGAAAGGTAGAAAAGAATAAGCGTAAATGATACATGGGGCATCTGGGTGGAGAAACTGGGGCACAGGCCAGGAGGCTGACTGTGCTAGGTTGAACGTCAAGGGTGAATCACGGATAGGATTCTGCCACACCACCAGGACCCTGACTTTTGAGATCACATATTCTGACCTTTCCAGTAAATAGACGGTCATTCTGCGAAGGGCATGGAATGTTTCTTGAATTCTCCTACAGTCACATAATCACAGGCCCATCTCTGGGAGGGAGGGAGGAGAGGCAGCAAGGGCGGAGGCAGGGTCTTGGAGGTTTCAGTAGCCGGCTAGTTCTTCTAAGGCCACAGTCTTCAAATGAGGGTTGGTAGCCCTGAGGGTAAGTGAAGACTCTTCAAAGGGTTCACAGGCAAGACCTTCTAAGGGCACCGGTTTCCAGAACCTCAATGTCCATATCTATGCTTTCCTAAAACTGACATGCTTGAGAACACCTCTGTGATGAGAATGCTGGACTGTCTCTCATCTCCCCCTTCACAATTGCCCTTCTCCCACTTTTGAAAAGAAATGCATGCTTTTTTTTTTTTGCTTTTTTTTTTTTTTTTTTTGAGATGGAGTCTTGCTTTGTCCCCCAGGCTGGAGAGCAGTGGCTTGCTCTCAGCTCACTGCAACCTTCACCTCCCAGGTTCAAGCGATTCTCCTGCCTCAGACTCTTGAGTAGCTGGGATTATAGGCACACACCACCACGCCCAGCTAATTTTTGTATTTTTAGTAGAAACAGGGTTTCACTATGTTGGCCAGGCTGGTCTCCAACTCCTGACCTCAAGTTATCCACCCTCCTTGGCCTCTCAAAGTGCTGGGATTATAGGCATGAGCCACCACACCCAGCCAAGAAATATATGCTTCTAACCTATGCTGAATCTTATGAGAAGGCATCTCACCAGCATATGCAAATTTCCAGAATACCACACGAAGATATAATTTGATAACTAAGTATTGAAAAAGTAAATAGAGATACTGCTTAGTCCAGAGCCTATTAGCTAGGCTTGTTCTCTCCTTTCGAATCAGAGGTTTCTGCTGCAGACATGCCCCACCAGACCCTTAGTCAGACCAAGAAGAATCCGAGTTTGATATCCTGCTTCATATTTATTGGAGCTGGGAGTACTGGAGCAGCATGGTATGTCTTGTGTCTGGCATCTTTCAGTCCAGATGTTAGTTGGGCCAGAAACAATAACCCAGAACCCTGGAACAAACTGAGTCCCAATGATCAATACAAGTCCTACTCAGTGAATGTAGATTACAGCAAACTGAAGAAAGAAGGCCCAGATTTCTAAATGAAATGCTTCACTGTAAAGCTGCTTAGAATTAGGATCTTCTAGACGCCATCCACACACTTTTCCACTTAACCAGGAAATATTTCTCCTCCACAAACATGAAATCATGCTGGTGTACTGCGTTGGACATTACACTGATGAATAAATAACTGAAACGTGAAAAAAAGGAAAGAAAAAGCAACTAACTTTAGAATGCCTACAAAATCCCTTTTTTGGCTTCTTGTAGAAGGAGCCTTATACTTAACTTGGTATTTGATATAGTTTGGATGTTTGTCCCCACCAAATCTCATGTTGAAATGTGGTCCCCAGTGTTGGAGGTGGAGGCTGGTGGGAGGTGTTTGGGTCATAGGGGCTGATCCCTCATGAACGTCTTGGTGCCATCCCCACGGTAATGAGTGAGTTCCTGCTCTGTTAGTTCACACAAGAGCTGGTTGTTTAAAGGAGCCTGGCACCTCCTCCCCATTCTCTCTTGCTCCCTTTCTTGCTGTGTAACACACCTGCTCCCCCTTCCCCTTCCTCCATGAGTAAAAGCTTCCTGAAGTCCTGACCAGAACAGATGCTGGGGCTATGCTTTTCAACCTGCAGAATCATGAGCCACATAAATCACTTTTGTTTATAAATTACCTAGTCTCAGATATTCCTTTATAGCAACGCAAAATAGACTCACAGAAAATTCGTACTGAGAAGTGGGGTGCCTCTATAAAGATACCTGAAAATGTGGAAGTGGCTTTGGAACTGGGTAATGAGCAGAGGCTAGAAGAGTTGGCAGGGCTCAGAAGAAGACAGGAAGACGAGGGAGAGTTTGAACTTCTTAGAGACTGGTTAATGGTTGTGATCAAAATGCTAATAGAAATATGGACAGTAAAGGCCAGACTGACAAGGTCTCAGAGGGAAATGAGAAATTTATTGGAAACTGGAGTAAAGGTCACCCTTGTTATGCCTTTGCAAAGAGCTTGGCTGCCTTGTGTTCATGCCCTAGAGATTTGTGGAAGGTTGAACTTAAGAATGATGACCTAGGGAGCTGGGTGCAGTGGCTCACATCTGTAATCCCAGCACTTTGGGAGGCCAACGCAGGAGGTTTGCTTGAGTGCAAGAGTTTGAGAATAGCCTGGGCACCCTAGTGAGACCCTGTCTCTAGAAAAAATTTAAAAATTAGCTAGGCATGGTGGCACATGCCTGTAGTCCCAACAACTTAGGAGGCTGAGGTGGGAGGATCTCTTGAGCCTTGGGGGTCGAGGCTGCAGTGAGCCATGATCGGTGCCACTGCACTCCAGCCTGAGTAACAGAGTGAGACCCTGTCTCAAAAAAAAAAAAAAAATGATGATGACTTAGAGTATCAGGTAGAAAAAATTTCTAAGTAGCAAAGCATTCAAGATGTGGAATGGCTGCTTCTAACACCTATGATGACATACTGAAACTTACTAAAATGTTAGTGCAGTGTAAAAATTTGGAAAATCACAACCTGGCCATGTGGCAGAGAAGAAAAAAGCATTTTCAGGAGAAGCCAAGAGGGCTGTGGAGCAACCACTTGCTAGAGAGATTTGCATGAGTATAAGGGAGGCAGGTGCTAATATCCAAGACAATGGGAAAAAGGCTTTGAAGCCATTTCAGAAATCTTTGAGGCAGCCTCTTCTACCACAGGCCCAGAGGCCTGGAGGGGTGGGGGGAATGGTTTCAGGAGCAGGGCCCCAGTCCATGCTGCCCTGCTCAGCCTCAGGACACTGCTCCCCTAATCCCAGATGCCACGGCTACAGCTACAGCTGTGTTTCAGAGGGCCCCAGGTTCAGCTCAGGCCACCATTCTAGAGGGCACAAGCCGTAAGCCTTGGTGGTTTCCATGTGGTGTTAAGCCTGCAGGTGTGCAGAGTGCAAGAGTGAAGGAGGCTTGGAAGCTTCTATCTAGATTTCAAAGGATGTATGGAAAAGCCTGGGTGCCCAGGCAGATGCCCCATGCAGGGGAAATGCCCCCACAGAGAGCCTTTACAAGGGCAGTGTTGAGGGGAAAGATGGTGTTGGAGCCCCCATACAAAGTCTCCACCAGGGCACTGCCCAGTGGAGCTGCAGGAACAGAGCCACTGCCCTCCAGATCCCAGGATGAGCCACTAGCAGCTTGCAAACTCAGCATGGAAAAGCCACTTTAACCCATGAGAACAGCCATGTGGGCCACACCCAGCAAAGCCACAGGGGTGGAGCTTCCCAAGGCCTTGGGAGGCCACCCCTTTCACCAGGATGCAGGACATGGAGTCAAGGATGATTGTGGAGCTTTAAGATTTAATATCTGCCTTGCTGGGTTTTGGACTTGTGTGAGGCCTGTTGCCCCTTTCTTTTCAACAGTTTCTCCCTTGTGGAATGAAATATTTACCCAATGCCTGTACCACTAATGTGTCTTAGAAGTAAGTTACATGGTTTTTTATTTTACAGGCTCATAGGTGGAAGGAACTGGCCTGGAGTCTCAGATGACACTTTGGACTTTGGACTTTTCAGCTGATGCTGGTACAAGTTAAGACTTTGGGGGACTATTGGGAAGGCATGATTGTGTTTTGCAAGGGGAAAGGAACATGAGATTTGGGGGGCCAGGGGAAGAATGCTATAGTTTAGATGTTTTTCCCCTCCAAATCTCCCCAGCGTTGGAGGTGGGGCCTGGTGGGAGGTATTTGGGTCATGGGGGAAGATCCCTTGTGAATGTCTTACTGCCCCCTCCATGGTAATGAGTGAGTTCTTGCTCTGTTAGTTCATGCAATAGCTGGTTGTTTAAAGGAGCCTGGCACCTCCTGCCCTCTCTTGTGCTCCCTTTCTCACCATGTGTCATGCCTGCTCCCCCTTCGCCTTCCACCATGAGTAAAAGCCTGCTGAGTTCCTGACCAGAACAGATGCTGATGCCATGCTTGCACAGCCTGCAGAACCAGGAGCCAAATAAATCTCTTTTCTTTATAAATTTACCCAGTTTCAGATATTCCTTAATAGCAACACAAAACAGATTGAAATTCTTCCTCATTGTACCTTGCACAGATGTAGACGTGCTCAAGTAATACTGTTTGAGTGATTGCCAACTGTAACCTCTGCAGATGACACCTGGAGAACTAGCCCTTGCCAGTGGCAACCACACCCCAGTCACCAAGTTCATCTTGCAGGGATTCTCCAATTATCCAGACCTCCAGGAGCTTCTCTTCGGAGCCATCCTGCTCATCTATGCCATAACAGTGGTGGGCAACTTGGGAATGATGGCACTCATCTTCACAGACTCCCATCTCCAAAGCCCAATGTATTTCTTCCTCAATGTCCTCTCGTTTCTTGATATTTGTTACTCTTCTGTGGTCACACCTAAGCTCTTGGTCAACTTCCTGGTCTCTGACAAGTCCATCTCTTTTGAGGGCTGTGTGGTCCAGCTCGCCTTCTTTGTAGTGCATGTGACAGCTGAGAGCTTCCTGCTGGCCTCCATGGCCTATGACCGCTTCCTAGCCATCTGTCAACCCCTCCATTATGGTTCTATCATGACCAGGGGGACCTGTCTCCAGCTGGTAGCTGTGTCCTATGCATTTGGTGGAGCCAACTCCGCTATCCAGACTGGAAATGTCTTTGCCCTGCCTTTCTGTGGGCCCAACTAGCTAACACACTACTACTGTGACATACCACCCCTTCTCCACCTGGCTTGTGCCAACACAGCCACAGCAAGAGTGGTCCTCTATGTCTTTTCTGCTCTGGTCACCCTTCTGCCTGCTGCAGTCATTCTCACCTCCTACTGCTTGGTCTTGGTGGCCATTGGGAGGATGCGCTCAGTAGCAGGGAGGGAGAAGGACCTCTCCACTTGTGCCTCCCACTTTCTGGCCATTGCCATTTTCTATGGCACCGTGGTTTTCACCTATGTTCAGCCCCATGGATCTACTAACAATACCAATGGCCAAGTAGTGTCCGTCTTCTACACCATCATAATTCCCATGCTCAATCCCTTCATCTATAGCCTCCGCAACAAGGAGGTGAAGGGCGCTCTGCAGAGGAAGCTTCAGGTCAACATCTTTCCCGGCTGAGCCCTGCAAGGTGACTTGTTGGAATGAGGAAGGTATAACATCTTCCAAAGCACACTATGAATTAACGTAACCAATCAAGAGCAGCCCTGGTTTTGGAGGAGATAGAAAAAGTAAATGAGAAACAGCAAATATATCTTGTACAGACCATTACAGTTTATAAAGCATCTTCTTACCCATTATCATATCAAATTCTCACCACCATATTGTGAGGCACCCTTTGTTACAATGATCCCATTTTACAAATGAAAGATACATGACTCAGAAAAAATAAATTAATTACCTAAAGTCATGCCATGAGTGAGAGGGTGAGTATCTAAAATCAGGGATTTCACATCACGACCAGAGATAGTTCAATTACACCACGACCACAAGTTGAGTCTTTATTGGCAGCTTATTGTAACTTCCAAGAAACATCAGACAAGGTGCAACACAGTCATTTCTGTTTTGCCACTGATTTCATGAACTGGGAATGGGCAACAAGTGACTTAGTTCTTTTTTCCTGCTCTAAAAGGAGAGATAACCAGGATAGAAATGTCCTTATTTCTTATTGCAACCACATTTTGCTGAACTGTTCCATGATAACCTCCGGATCCAGACAGATCTTTTCTTGTACGTCTGTATCTTAGCCAAATGTGTGTGTGTGTGTGTCTCATAATTCTCAAGGGTTTGGTGGCAGGGGGACGTGTATGATGATTAGGCAGTTACATCATTATATTAGATACTGTGCTTTGGGAAACTGATGTTTTAAATGTTTATATTTGGCCTATTTTTAAGTGTACATGTATATGGTGAGCACATGTGTTTTATAGAATCACACAAATGATGAAGCTGACCTTGAAGACCTAATTCAGGGTTGAGCACTGGATTAGAAAGCATACTCTTAAACCAATGCAAAGTCCTAATCTGAATGGAGTTGGTTTCAGCCTGAGATTTTTGGATTACTAAAAAGCTTTTTTTTTTTTCAGATATACCTCAAGACAATTATTCTAAATACAGAAAATCTTACTATACAAATAGGTCTATCATAGCAGCACACGTGAAAATGAAAAATTGGTAATGACCTAAATGTTCAAAAGAGAAAAGGATTAAATAACTTATTCCCTAGATGTATTATAACATCAACCATTACAAATTATGCTTGTGAAGACTATGTAATAACATAGAAAATAGCAGGCCAGAACATCTAGAGTGCAATCACAATAATCTAACAGAAACAAGAAGCCTAAAAATACAAAAAATGTACATTATAGTATTAAAGGAGGAAAAATGTTTTTCTATTTTTCTCAAACATTTTCCAAAACTTTTTTAATTAGTTTTTTGTTTGTTTGTTTGTTTGAGACGGAGTTTTGCTCTTTTTGCCCAGGCTGAAGTGCAATGGCGTGATCTCAGTTCACTGCAACCTCCGCCTCCTAGGTTCAAGTGATTCTCCTGCATCAGCCTCCCAAGTAGCTGAGATTACAGGTGCATGCCACCACACCTGGCTAATTTTGTATTTTTAGTAGAGATGGGGTTTCACCATGTTGGCCAGGCTGGTCTTGAACTCCTGACCTCAGATGATCCACCCACCTCGGCCTCCCAAAGTGCTGGGATAACAGGCATGAGCCATGGCGCCCAGCCTAATAAGCATGTTTAATTTTGATACTTTGTTCTTGTTACTAGTGGTGAATCCATACAGCTCTGTAGCAAATTTGATCCTTGCCTCCTTGGAGGGAAAGAATTCAGCTGAGGGGCAGATGTAGGGTTAAGGAAGAGAGAGAGACTGAGGCAAGTTTTAGAGCAGGAGTGAAAGTTTATGAAAAACTTTTAGAGCAGGAATGAAAGGAAGTAAACTTCGAAGAGGGCCAAGTGGGCAACTTGAGAGATCCAGGTGCCTTGATCAACTCTTGACTTGGGGTTTTATTACATTGGCATGGTTCTGGGTCTTCTTTTCTCCTCCTTTGATTCTTCCCTTGGGGTGGGTCGTGCACATGCTCAGTGGGCCGCCAGCACTTGGGAGGGGGGCCACATGCGCAGTGTGTTTACTGAAGCTGTAGGCATGCTCACTTGAGGCATTTTTCCCTTGCCAGTTAAGTGTTCCTGGAAGAAAACCACACAGGCCGGGCACAGTGGCTCACGCCTGTAATCCCAGCACTTTGGGAGGCCAAGGCAGGCGGATCACAAGGTCAGGAGATCGAGACCATCCTGGCTAACACGGTGAAACCCCATCTCTACTAAAAATGCAAAAAATTAGCCAGGTGCGGTGGTGGGGGCCTGTAGTCCCAGCTACTCGAGAGGCTGAGGCAGGAGAATGGCGTGAACCTGGGAGGCGGAGCTTGCAGTGAGCCGAGATAACGCCACTGCAGTCCGGCCTGGGCGAAAGAGCGAGACTCCGTCTCAAAAAAAAAAAAAAAAAAAAAGAAGACCACACAGCAATTAAACTTCACCATTTTACCTCTTAGCATGCATGCATGAGCCCACTCACCCAACTCCTGACATCTTATGGGGAAGCTGCTGATCATCAGCTTCAGGTGTTTTTTGGGGGGGTAGGGGTTTAGGTTGTTTTGTTTTGTTTTGTTTTGAGATGGAGTCTCACTCTGTCACCCAGGCTGGAGTGCAGTGGCACAATCTCGACTCACTGCAACCTCCACCTCTTGGATTCAAGCGATTCTCTTGCCTCAGCCTCCTGAGTAGCTGGGATTACAAGTGCACACCACCACACCTAGCTAATTTTTGTATTTTTAGTAGAGAAGGTGTTTCGCCATGTTGGCCAGGCTGGTCTCAGACTCCTGACCTCAAATGATCAACCCACCTCGGCCTCCCAAAATGTTGGGACTATAGGTGTGAACCACGGTGCCGGGCCCACGTGTTTTCTATTGGAAGACTGTCTCTCCCTGGCACTGGCTGCAACCAGTTATTACTTTAGAGAGACAGTTTAACAACCCCCTGACCATCACTTGATGCTTGCCTGACATTCCTGGAGGGGGGACCTGTCTTGCCCTGATCATGTCTGCCTAACTACCTACCTACCTACTACCTACATTCTAAAAATGAACAATTTAAAAATCCCTTCCAGGAAGCTGAGGGTGAAAATTTCTCATTTTTGTCTTCTTTCATTCAGCAAATCTTTACTAAATTCCTCCTATGCTCCACCTACTTTTAACTTATAAACTAAATTTTTAGTACATTCAGTTGAAGTCAGGACTAGAATCTTATGGTAAAGAGATTTAGTAAAAATTAATCTAATTCATTCATCTCGAAAATATTTATGTGGCAATTAGGTGTAACACAATGTGGTAGGCCCTAGCTTGACAGTCAGAACACCTATTAGGCAGATTGCTTATGCCATAGTAACAAACAAACCCCAAATGTCAGTGACTTCATACCACAAAGCTTTCCACCTATGCTAAATTTGAGACACATCAGGTGACTCTCAGGGAAATTTATCCATCCAGTGTCTCCACATCTGAGCCCCTCTCATCTTGCAATCCTGCCATCTCACCCTTTGACCTCCAAGATCTTAATGGTGGGGGAAATGGTCAAGGTCACACAGCATTTTTAAGCACCTGGCCTGAGGTTGGCTCACATCACTTTGACCCGTGTATCATTGGCCTGAAACCAGTCTTACAGCTAATATATGGCAAAGAAGGCTGGGAAATGCAGTCCTTTTTTCACCCAGAGGAGGAAAAAGAAATGAGATTTAGTAAATACATAGCTTTGTGTGTCACTGGCCAACTGGACATTTGATTAGACCATCATCTGTAAGAAGTAGTAAAACATCACTGGAATAAATCAGAAATAAGGTACTGGTTAACTCATGTTTCTACATAATTGAGGTAGACTGTTTCTTTGGGTGGACATTTTAAAACACTCCTTGCCTGGACTGACCTATCTCTGTTCAGCATTTTTTGAATCACATGCCCAAGTTGTATGGTGCCACTACAGGCAGTAAAACTAATGATGAGACCAGTCATTTGATGGCTGCCTGAAGCTTCACGTCACAGTTACCTCCTTGAATTATAAAACTAAATAATGTACAACATAGTGGTATCTACTAAGAGTGATTTTATCTAAGTTTAACCCCATAATCTATCACCCAAGAAGTGGTACACACACAAACACATACTCTCATGAAGAAAGAAGAAACTACAAAACAAAAACGCATTGGAAAGCATGAAAGTCAGATAAAAATACAAAAGTTGAATGTGCATATCATGTGGCTCAACTGTACAATTTTAGCTAGTAGACTATAAGTTGCTATCCACCTCAACTATATAAATATTGAATAAATACTTACAGGCTTTCAATCTGAGAGTGATAAATTATTATCCTGCCCCATCCACTGTTATATCTTCTATGTCTAGAATAATACCTGGCACATGGCAGGCACTCAATAAACATCTGTTCAATAAATGAGTGAATGGGTATCCACATGATTGTTTTCCTTGGACTAGCAGCACTGTCATCACCTGGGAACTTTCAG
Source organism: Homo sapiens (assembly GCF_000001405.40). Taxonomy (NCBI): domain Eukaryota; kingdom Metazoa; phylum Chordata; class Mammalia; order Primates; family Hominidae; genus Homo; species Homo sapiens. Next base: position 57,861,839 of record NC_000011.10, on the reverse strand, counting down.
ATGTAGAATCTGGGGCCCCACTCCTGACCTGCTGAATAAGAATCTGCATTTTGGCTGGGCGCAGTGGCTCACGCCTGTTATCCCAGCACTTTGGGAGGCCGTGGTGGGCGGATCACCAGAGGTCAGGAGTTCGAGACCAGCCTGTCCAACATGATGAAAGCCCGTCTCTACTAAAAATACAAAAAAAAAAAAAAATTATCCAGGCATGGTGGCAGGTGCCTGTAATCTCAGCTACTTGGAAGTCTGAGGAAGGAGAATAGCTTGAACCCGGGAGGCGGAGGTTGCAGTGAGCCAAGATCTCACCACTGCACTCCAGTCTGGGCGACAGAGTGAGACTCTGCCTCAAAAAAAAAAAAAAAGAATTTGCATTTTAACATGATCCCCATATAATTCGCATGCACGTGAAAGTTTGAGAAGCACTGAAACATATGACTCAATCTAGCCCTAAATTTGTGAACAAAGTACGCAATTCTTCTCCTTCCAGAGCTCACAGTTTAGGCCGGGAGAGTGTTCTTAGCAGAGGGAAAAGCATAGCAAAGACCAAGAAGTGAGAAAAGAACAATGTGTCCTCTTCCCTGATCCTCTTTCACCATTGCATGTGATCTACATTAAAATGAGCATTAGGAGGAGAATCAGCATTAACAAAGTCATCATGTTACCTAATGTGGGAAGTGGGATGATAGGAAGGAATAGGTCACTATGGGAATAGTGACCTCTCCCCAGCAAAACTGGCCAAAGTGATATCTAAAAGTAAACTAAGTAATTTTGATAATGGCAAAAAAGTTAAGCAGTTCATATGAGTTCTCACAGCTAGTAAAGATATGAAGGACCTGGTTAGCTAATAAACATGAAAATCTCATTTTTTGAAGTAGCAATTAAAAATCTCAAGATACACTTTCTTGGCTTTTGGTAAGCAATGTGGTTTGTTTTTGTTTAATTTTTTAATTGACGAATAACAATTGTACATATTAATGGGGGCACATACTGATGTTTCGATACACATAATGTACAGTGATCAGATCAGGGTAATTAGCTTATCCATCACCTCAAACATTTATCAATTGTTTGTGTTGAGAATGTTCAATATCCTCCCTCTAGCTATTTGAAACTATATATTATTGTTAACTATAGTCATCCTATAGTGGTATAGGACACTAGAATTTATTCCTCCTAACTAGCTGTAATTTTGTAGCCTTTAATCTCTCCCTATTCCTCCCTTTTCCCTACCCATCCCAGCCTCTAGTACCCTCTGTTCTACTTTTTACTCCTATGAGATCAACTTTTTTTAGCTTCTACATATGAGTAAGAACATATGGTTTTTAACTCTCTGTGCCTGGCTTATTTCACTTTACATAATGTCCTCCAGTTCCATCCATGTTGCCAGGAATAACAGGGTTTCATCCTTTTTTATGGCTGAATAATATTCCATTGTGTATACATACCAATTTTCTTTATCCATTCACCTGTTGTAGAACACCCAGGTTGATTCCATACCAAAATACACTTTTACAGCCACCTAATCTCCAAAAAAATCTGACCAGCCCAGTGTTAGTGGATGTGGAATGTGGGGTGGGGTGTGAATTGGATTGACCACTTTCAACAACAATTTAGCATCAAAATAAACATTGAAGATATATATACTCTATGATCCTGCAGTTCTATTCGTAGGCATATAATCTAAAGAAGTTCTGGCACATTTGCACTGTAAAACATGTACCAGAAATTTGTTTGTCATAGCAAAAAAGTGAAAGCAACCAAATGTCCATCAACAATAGAAATTCATGCATAAGATAGGCCCTATTCATGGCCAAGCGCGGTGGCTCATGCCTGTAATCTCAGCACTTCGGGAGGCCGAGGCGGGTGGATCACCTGAGGTCAGGAGTTCGATACCAGCCTGGCCAACATGGCGAAACCCCATCTCTACTAAAAATACAAAAATTAGCCAGGCATGGTGGCAGGCACCTGTAATCTCAGCTACTAGGGGGGTGCTGAGACAGGAGAATTGCTCGAACCTGGGAGGCGGAGGTTGCAGTGAGCCAAGATCGCGCCACTGCACTCCAGCCTGGGCAATAGCATGAAACTCAGTCTCAAAAAAAAAAAAAAAAAAAGAGGCTATTCATACATCAGAAACTAACAAGTGGCAAAAATTAATGAACTACAGGTCTCCGCATCAACATGAATGTGGCTGTAAAACACAAGATTGAATAAAATAAGCAAGTCACAGAGAATGTACAACTTATTTTTTCATTTGTATAAAATTTTAAAATAGGCAAAACTAAACAGTTATAATGTTTAAAAATGTATTACAGATAAACTATTTAAAATAAAACAAGGAATAATTGATGCAAAATTTAAGAAAGTGTCTACCTCTTATGGAGATAAAAGGGATAGAATTAGGAGAAGCACACGGGAGCCATCTCAGATCATGCTACTCCACGCGTGATCCTTGGCCCACTGGTATCTGGGTCACTTGGTAGCCTGTTAGAAATACAGAATCTCAGACTCTTTCACACACCTACTAAATCAGAATCCACACTTTAAAATGATCCCCAGGTGATTCATAAGCTATTAAAGATATTTGTAAAGTTCTATTTCTAAGGTGGATGGTACAAAAATGGGTGTTTATTTTAGCAATATTCTTTAAATGCCAGAGGTTTTAATACACTTTTGTATGTATCATATATTTTATAATTAATAATATTTTGAGGCCAGGCACGGTGGCTCACGCCTGTAATCCCACCACTTTGGGAGACCGAGGCAAGTGGATCACTTGAGCCCAGGAGTTCAAGACTAGCCTGGGCAACATGGTGAAATCCCGTCTCTATTATAAATTTTTTAAAAAGAAAAATAATATTTTTGAACTATATAGTTTTAATGATGTTTTATTTAAAAATATGTATAAAGACAGAAACAAAAATGAAGACCACAAAGATGACAAAGAACTGAAACCATTTAGACTCAAAATCCAGGGCTATTCTCACTATAATGATATAATAAGGCCCACTACCTTTTTTTTTTTTTTTACATCTCTTGTGCTGCATCAGTAAACAGAACTTTGGTTAGTTTTATGAAATGCAACATCTAACCCCTTGTTTTCTGGGAAAAAGAAACTGCAATGACTTGGAGTTAAGAATGGCCGGGTGCAGTGTTGGCTCAGGCGGGGCACGGTGGTGGCTCATGCCTGTAATCTCAGCACTTTGGGAGGCCAAGGCAGATGGATCACCTGAGGTCAGGAGATCGAGACCAGCCTGGCCAAAATGGTGAAACCCCGTATCTACTAAAAATACAAAAACTAGCCGGGGGTGGTGGCAGGCGCCTGTAATCCCAGCTCCTCAGGAGGCTGAGGCAGGAGAATTGCTTGCACCTGCGAGGTGGATGTTGCGGTGAGTGGAGATCGCGCCACTGCACTCCAGCCTGGGCAACAGAGTGAGA